>NC_000019.10:38452995-38756025 GCF_000001405.40 Homo sapiens | reverse complement strand
CCGTGCCCAGCCTGACCTTATGTTTTAAAATAAATTAAAAGAAGAAAAGAAAAATACATTTCTGGGGCTCTTCATTTCTTCCTGTGGATTTGAGTTTCTGTCTACTGTCATTTTCAGTGTGAGGGGTTTCCTTGAGTATTCCCTGCGTTTAGGTATATGCTAGTCAGGAATTCTCTTTTTGTTTATCTGGGAATGATTTTCTTTTGCCTTTTGTTTTGAAGTATAGTTTTGTTGAATATAGAATTATCAGTTGACAGTTTTATTTTTCTTTCAGTGTTTTGAATAAATCATTCATCTGCCTTCTGGCCTCCATTGTTCCTAGGAGAATCTAGCCATTAATTCTATTGTTCCCCTGTACATAATGAGCTGTTTTTCACTTGCTCCTTTAAAATTTTCCATTTTCCTGGCACGGTGGCTCACGCCTGTAATCCCAGCACTTTGGGAGGCCAAGGAGGGTGGATCACGAGGTCAGGAGATCGAGAACATCCTGGCTAACACGGTGAAACCCCGTCTCTACTAAAAATACAGAAAATTAGCCAGGCGTGGTGGTGGGTGCCTGTAGTCCCAGCTACTCGGGAGGCTGAGGCAGGAGAATGGTGTGAACCCGGGAGATGGAGCTTATAGTGAGCCGAGATTGTGCCACTGCACTCCAGCCTGGGCGACAGAGTGAGACTCTGCCTCAAAAAAAAAAAAAAATGCCCTTTTTGAATTGTTTTCAGCAGTTTTACTTTCACTCGCGTCCGTGTGAAGAGACCACCAAACAGGCTTTGTGTAAGCAATAAAACTGTTTATTTCACCTGGGTGCAGGCGGGCTGAGTCTGAAAAGAGTCAGCGAAGGGAGATAAGGGCGGGGCTGTTTTTATAGGATTTGGGTAGATAAAGGAAAATTATAGTCAAAGGGGGGTTCTCTGGAGGGCAGAGTGGGGGTCACAAGATGCTCAGTAGGGGAGCTTTTGAACCAGGATGAGCCAGGAGAAGGAATTTGACAAGACAATGTCATCAGTTAAGGCAAGAACAGGCCATTTTCACTTCTTTTGTGGTGGAATGTCATCAGTTAAGGCAGGAACCGGCCATCTAGATGTGTACGTGCAGGTCACAGGGGATATGATGGCTTAGCTTGGGCTCAGAGGCCTGACATTCCTGTCTTCTTATATTAAGAAAAATAAAATGAAATAGTAGTAAAGTGTTGGGACAGTGAAAATTTTTGGGGGTGGTATGGAGAGATAATGGGTGATGTTTCTTAGGGCTGCTTCCAGCGGTATTAGGGGCGGCGTGGGAACTTAGAGTGGGAGAGATTAAGCTGAAGGAAGATTTTGTGGTAAAGGGTGATATTGTGGGGTTGTTAGAAGAAACATTTGTCGTGTAGAATGATTGGTGATGGCCTGGATACGGTTTTGTATGAATTGAAAAACTAAACGGAATAAGAGAAGGAGAAAAACAGGTATTAAAGGACTAAGAATTGGGAGGACCTAGGACATCTAATTAGAGAGTGCCTAAGGAGGTTCAGCATAGCCTTGCCAGCAAAGATTATTTATTTACTTCAAGAGTTAAGAGTGGCAGTTTGGGGATAGCACGAGGAGATATCAGCTGTGATGGCTTGGAGAAACTGTGTAAACTGGCAGTGTAAACAAGAGCAGGGCATGCATGAGTAGTTGAGAACGGTGAATAGGAGTATGACTAGACAGAAGATAGTAGGGATGACAAGTTATTTGGGGGCACAGTCTAAGTTGGTCTGGTGTCTGGAATGAGACTGGGGCCTAATAAAAAGGAGTGTCTATACAGGAACTTAAATGGGCTGTATCTTGTAGCATTCTGAGGACAGGCCTGAATTCTGAGAAGCGAAAGTGGTAAAAATATTGTCCAGTCCTTTTTAAGTTGGTGGCTGAGGTTGGTGAGGTGTGTTTTAGTCTGTCACTGAATACTAAGAGCCTGAAAAAATGCTTGGCTGATTTGACAAATAAAGGCTGGTCTGTTATCAGACTGTATAGAGGTGGGAAGGCTAAATTGAGGAATTACGTCTGACAGAAGGGAATGATAAGGCTAAACTGAAGAATTATGTCTGACAGAAGGGAAGAAATGACTGTGGTGGCCTTCTCAGACCCTGTAGGAAAGGACTCTACTTATCCAGTGAAAGTGTCTACCTAGACTAAGAGGTGTTTTAGTTATCTTACTCGGGGCATGTTGAGTAAAGCTAATTTGCCAGTCCTGGGTGGGGGCAAATCCTCGAGTTGATGTGTAGGGAAGGGAGGGGGCTTGAATAATCCATGAGGAGTAGTAGAATAGCAGATGGAACACTGAGAATTTATTTCTTTGAAGATAGATTTCCACAATGGAAAGGAAGTGAGAGGTTCTAAGAGGCAGGCTAGTGGCTTGTACTATAGCATAGCCTGCCTTTGCTGGTGTGTGGCGATTAGGCCTGGTGGAACTGCCATCAATAAATCAAGCGTGATCAGGGTGAGGAACAGGGAAGAAGGAAATGTGGGGAAATGGGATGAATGTCAGGTGGATCAGAGAGATGCCGTCATGGGGGTCAGGTGTGGTATCTGGAATAATGTGGGAGGCCGGATTGAAGTCCGGGCCAGGAACAATGGTCATTGTGGGACTTAACAAAGAGTGAGTACAGCTGAAGGAGCCAGGGAGCAGAAAGTATATGCGTCAGGTGTGAGGAAGAAAATAGATTTTGGAAATTATGAGAGCTGTAGAGAGTGAGTTGAGCATAGTTTGTGATTTTGAGGGCCTCTAAAAGTGTTAAAGCAGCGGCACGCGCTGCACGGAGACATGAGGGCTAGGCTAAAACAGTAAGGTCAAGTTGTTTGGGCAGAAAGGCTACAGGGTGCGGGCCTGGCTCTTGTGTAATAATTCTGACCGAACTAACCATGCCTAGGAAGGAAAGGAGTTGTTGTTTTGTAAGGGATCGAGGTTTGGGAGATTAATCGGACACAAGCAGCAGGGAGAGCACGTGTGTTTTTATGAGAATTATGCCAAGATAGGTAACAGATGAGGATGAAATTTGGGCTTGACTGAAGTAATGGGGTCTGTCTGTGAAGCCTTGAGGCAGTACAGCCCAGGTAATTTGCTGAGCCTGATTGGTGTCAGGGTCAGTCCAAGTGAAAGCAAAGAGAGGCTGGGATGACAGGTGCAAAGGAATAGGAAAGAAAGCATGTTTGAGGTCCAGAACAGAATAATGGATTGTGGAGGGAGGTACTGAGGATAGGAGAGTATATGGGTTTGGCACCACAGGGTGGATAGGCAAAACAATTTGGTTGATAAGGCGCAGATCCTGAATTAACCTGTAAGTCTTGTCTGGTTTTAGGACAGGTAAAATGGGGGAATTGTAAGGAGAGTTTATAGGCTTTAAAAGGCCATGCTGTAACAGGCGAGTGATAACAGGCTTTAATCCTTTCAAAGCATGCTGTGGGATGGGATATTGGCATTGAGCGGGGTAAGGGTGATTAGATTTTAATGAGATGGTAAGGGGTGCATGATTGGTCGCCAAGGAGGGAGTAGAGGTATCTTATACCTTTGGGTTAAGGTGGGGGGATACAAGAGGAGGATGCAAAGGAGGCTTTGGATTGGGAAGAAGGGCGGCAATGAGATGCAGCTGTAATCCAGGAATAGTCAGGGAAGCAGATAATTTGAAGTGTCTCGGCCTAATTAGGGAACTGGGCAGGTGGAGATAACTAAAAGGAGTGCATAAAAGAATATTGTCTAAGTTGGCACCAGAGTTGGGGAGTTTTAAGAGGTTTAGAAGCCTGGCTGTCAATACCCACTACAGTTATGGAGGCAAGGGAAACAGGCCTTTGAAAAGAAGGTAATGTGGAGTGGGTAGCCTCCGTATTGATTAAGAAGGGGACGGACTTACCTTCCACTGTGAGAGTTACTTAAAGCTTGGTGTCCGTGATGGTCTACGGGGCTTCCGAGGCAATCGGGCAGCATCAGTCTTCAGCTGCTAAGCCGAGAAGATCTGGGAAGGAGTCAGTCAGAGAGCCTTGGGCCAGAGTTCCAGGGGCTCTGGGAGTGGCTGCCAGGTGAGTTGGACAGTCCGATTTCCAGTGGGGTCCTGCACAGATGGGACACGGCTTAGGAGGAATCCTGGGCTGCGGGCATTCCTTGGCCTGGTGGCCAGATTTCTGGCACTTGTAGCAAGCTCCTGGGGGAGGCGGTTCTGGAGGAACGCCTGGCCACTGCGGTTTAGGCGTTTGGAGGTTCTTTTGTGCTGGAGATGTGGCTGAGGTTTGTCTCACAGTGGAGGCAAGGAATTGCAACTCAGAAATATGTTGCTACTTGGCTGCCTCTATTATTGTACACCTTGAAGGCGAGGTTAATTAAGTCCTGTTGTGGGGTTTGAGGGCCGGAATTTAATTTTTGGAGTTTTATTTAATGTCGGGAGCAGATTGGGTAATAAAATGTATATTGAGAATAAGACGGCCTTTTGACATTTTAGGGTCTAGGGCTGTAAAGTGTCTCAGGGTTGCTGCCGAACGAGCCATGAACTGGGCTGGATTTTTATATTTGATGAAAAAGAGCCTAAACACTATCTGATTTGGGATAAAGGAAAAGGAGCATTAACCTTGACTATGCCTTTAGCTCCAGCCACCTTTTTAAGAGTAAATTGCTGGGCAGGTGGGGAAGGGCTAGTCACGGAACGAAACTGTAAGGGGGACCGGGTGTGAGGAGGGGAGGCGATAAAAGGATTATAGGGTGGAGGAGCGGAGGCTGAGGAAGAATTGGGACCTAGCTCAGCCTAGCAAGGAGGGGAGAGGTCAGATAGGTCTGTAGAAAAGGAAGATTAGAAAGACTCAGTGACACTTGGGGTTGGGACTGAGGGGACAGGTGGGAGGGAAAGAAGGAAGATTTGGGACGAGTTGCATTGGGAACAGAGGCTAGGGAGAGCCTGATGTGTAAAAGAATGCCTGGATGTCAGGCACCTCACACCATTTGCCTATTTTATGATAAGAATTATTTAGATCTTGTAGGATGGAAAAATTGAAAGTGCTGTTTTCTGGCTATTTGGAACTACTGTCAAGTTTGTATGGGGGTCAAGCGGCGTTTCAGAAGAAAATTAGATGCTTAGATTTTACATCAGGTGAGAGTTGAAGAGGTTTTAAGATCTTAAGAACACAGGCTAAGGGAGAAGGAGGAATGGAAGGTGGAAGCTTGCCCATAGTGAAGGAGGCAAGCCCAGAGAAAAGAGAGTAGAGACATGGAGAAGGGGTGGGGGGGTTCTTGCCCTCCAGAAAAGCAGAGAAGGGGTTGGGGCACAGAGATAAGAGGTTGGGGTGCAGAAATAAGGGATGGGGCACAGAGATAAGAGGTCTGGGCATGGAAATAAGGGATCGGGGTGCAGAGATAAGAGGTCGGGGTTCCTGTCCCTCCTCCAGAAAAGCGGGACTTGCTACTAAGGGTGAAGGAGAAGGGGTTGAGGGGTTCTTGCCACTCAGAAAAGCAGAGAAGGGGTAGAGACACGGAGAGAAGGGGTTGGGGTACTTGCCCCTCCCCCAGAAAAGCGGGACTTGCCACTAACGGTGAAGGAGAAGGGGTTGAGGGGTTCTTCTTTTGTGGTGGAATGTCATCAGTTAAGGCAGGAACCGGCCATCTAGATGTGTATGTGCAAGTCACAAAAGATAATGATAGCTTAGCTTAAGCTCAAAGGCCTGACATTTACTACGATGAATCTAGATATGGCTCTCTTTGTATTTATACTTCTTGGAGTTTGTGTAAATTAACGTTTACACCAAGTTTGAAAAGTTTCCAGCCATTAATGCTTCAAAAATTTTTCTCCTTCCTCTCCTTTCCCCAGAGTCCTATTATACATATGTTTGTTTGCTTGATGTTATTCAGCTGGTCTCAGAGGCGCTTTTCTTTTTTCTTTTTTTTGAGATGGAGTCTCGCTCTGTTGCCCAGTCTGGAGTGCAGTGGCGCAATCTTGGCTCACTGCAAGCTCCGCCTCCTGGGTTCACACCATTCTCCTGCCTCAGTCTCCCCAGCAGCTGGGACTACAGGCACACGCCACCATGCCCAGCTAATTTTTGTATTTTTAGTAGAGATGGGGTTTCACTGTGTTAGCCAGGATTGTCTGGATCTCCTGACCTTGTGATCCGCCCACCTCAGCCTGCCAAAGTGCTGGGATTACAGGCGTGAGCCACCTCACCCAGCCTTTTTATTTTTGAGACAGAGTCTTGTTCTGTTGCCCAGGCTGGAGTGTAGTGGTGCGATCTCGGCTCACTGCAACCTCTGCCTCCTAAGTTCAAGTGATTCTCCTGTATCAGCCTCCCAAGTAGCTGGGACTACAGGTGCCTGCCACCATGCCCGGCTAATTTTTGTATTTTTAGTAGAAACGGGGTTTCACCATGTTAGCCAGGCTGGTCTCGAACTCCTGACCTCAGGTGATCTGCCCGCTTCGGCTTCCCAAAGTGCTGGGATTACAGACGTGAGCCACCGTGCTCGGCCTTTTATTTTTTAAATTGAGTCTTTGCAAATGTTTGATATATGCTTGAAAATCATGAGTGTATATAGATGTAATGAGTGTGCATATATATTAAATTCACTGTATTCTATTATTCAAAATATCACATTTTAAAAGACTTGATATTTGAAGAATAATGGTGGTTTCAAATTACCCATGACCACTACTGTGTTTCTGTGTATTTTTCCTTTTGTTTCTAATAGTGTAATAAATGATCACTTTTTTTTTTTTTTGAGATGGAGTCTCACACTGTCACCCAGGCTGGAGTGCAGTGTCTCACTGCAACCTCTGCCTCCCAGGTTCAAGTGATTCTCCTGCCTCAGCCTCGTGAGTAGCTGGGATTACAGGCACACACCACACCTGGCTTTTTGTATTTTTAGTGGAGCCAGGTTTCACCATGTTGGCCAGGCTAGTTTTGAACTCCTGACCTTGAGTAATCCGTCTGCCTGGGCCTCCCAAACTGCTGAGATTACAGGCGTGAGCCATCGCTCCCAGCCTTTTTTTTTTTTTTTTTAGACAGAGTCTTGTCCTGTCACCCAGGCTGGAGTGCACTGGCACAATCTGGGCTCACTGCAACCTCCACCTCCTGGGTTCAAGTGATTCTTGAGCCTTAGCCTCCCGAGTAGCTGAGATTACAGGCATGCACCACTATGCCCAGCTAATTTTTGTATTTTTAATAGAGACGGGGTTTCACCATGTCGGCCAGGCTGGTCTCAAACTGCCGACCTCAAGTGATCCACCTGCCTCAGCCTTCCAAAGTGCTGGGATTGCAGGCATGAGCCACTGCACCCATCCAATCACTTTTCATTCTGGATCATACACTTTATCAATAGAAAATAACTCCTTTTGTCCAAAGTAATGCTATCTGCTTTAAATCCGGTTTTCTCTAATATCAGATTTGCCCTGATTTTTGTGTATCTGCTTTTGACTGATAGCTATTTCTAATCCTTTTATTTTAAAACTTGGTGGTGTTATCTTTGGAAAGTGTTTTGAAAGCTAAACAGTTGAATTTTGTTTGTTGATGTTCCCAAGTACGTTTCACACATTTGCATAATGTTGTTATAACTGATATGCTTGGTTTTATTTAGGTCATTGTGTGATGCTTTTTGCTTTTATTTTCTATGATTCGCTGCATTTTCCTTTGCTTTTCGACCATTGCCAAATAGATTACATTTTCTTTTCCTTTCATTTTAAGCTACTTCAGTGGTTTGAAAGTTGTACATCTGGCCAGGTGCAGTGGGTCAGGCCTATAATCCTAGCACTTTGGGAAGCTGACATGGGAAGTTTGCTTGAGCTCAGGGATTCAAGACCAGCCCTGGCAACAAAGTGAGACTCCATTCCACCAAAAAGTCTAAAAATTTGCTGGGTATGGTGGCACAAGCCTGTGGTCCCAGCTACTCAGGAAGCTGAGGCAGGAGGATTGCTTGAGCCCGGGAGGTCAAGGCTGCAGTGAGCCAAGATTGTGCCACTGCACTCCAGCCTGGGCAACAGAGTCAGACCCTGTCTCAGAAACAAAACAAAACAATACAAAAAAAGAAACAGTAAGACATGGCGCGGTGGCTCCTGTCTGTAATCCCAGCACTTTTGGAGGCCAAGGCGGGTGGATCACCTGAAGTGAGGCTTTCAAGACCAGCCTGACCAATATGGTGAAACCCTGTCTCTACTAAAAATACAAAAATTAGCCAGCCGTGGTGGCACATGCCTGTAATTCTAGCTACTCGGGAGGCTGAGGCAGGAGAATCACTTGAACCTGGGAGGCGGAGGTTGTAGTGAGCCAAGATCACGCCACTGCACTCCAGCCTGGGTGACGAGGCGAGACTGTCCCAAAAAATAAACCAACAAACAAGTGAAAGAAACAGCAGCCCAGATCCAAGGAGACAGGTTGACTGTGGATGGCCGAGGCCGCCCACCTCGGCCTCCCAAAGTGCTGGGATTACAGGCGTGACCCACCACGCCCAGCCAGAAAGCTCGTTTTGTAACCCACTTTTGGTAGCCATGTACGTAGGCAGCTTGGACAATATCTGTGGGTCCACTTGGAGGGAAGGAGGCCAGAAGGCTTGAGGGACATCTGAGTGGCATGGAGGTGACAAGGCTCTGGGAGGGCAGCAGACACTCTTGAACGCCAAGGCATGGTCAATGCCTCGTGCAGTGAGCAGCGACTCTGTGTCAGGCACTTCTCTGAACTCATCCCACGTACGAACTCATTCGCTTCCCACAGCAACCCTCCGAGGTACGCCCTATCATCATCCGCATTGCAGAGATGAGGAAACTGAAGCACAGAGAAGTTAAGTGATGTGCCCAAAGACACACAGGTGTAGGTGGCAGAGCTGGGATTGGACCCCAGGTGCTGTGGCTCCTAATCCCGGCAGGCTGGAAGCACTCCCATATGACTCCCGTGGGGCTGGGGTGGGCTTGGCAATCCTACACGAAGAAAACTTTTTTTTTTTTTTTTTTGAGATGGAGTCTCACTCTCTCACCCAGGCTGGAGTGCAGTGGCGTGATCTTGGCTCACTGCAACCTCCGCCTCCCAGGTTCAAGCGATTCTCCTGCCTCACCCTCCTGAGTAGCTGGGATTACAGGTGTGTACCACCATGCCCAGCTAATTTTTTTTTTTTTTTTTTTTTTTGAGACAGAGTCTTGCTCTGTCAACCAGGCTGGAGTGCAGTGGCGGCTCACTGCAAGCTTCGCCTCCTGGGTCCACGTCATTCTCCTGCCTCAGCCTCCCGAGTAGCTGGGACTACAGGTGGCCGCCACCATGCCTGGCTAATTTTTTGTATTTTTTGTAGTAGAGATGGGGTTTCACCGTGTTAGCCAGGATGGTCTTGATCTCCTGACCTCGTGATCTGCCTGCTTTGGCCTCCCAAAGTGCTGCTGGGATTACAGGCTTGAGCCACCGTGCCCGGCCTTTTTTTTTTTTTTTTTGAGATGGAGTTTTGCTCTCTTGCCGAGGCTGGAGTGCAGTGGTGCAGTCTTGGCTCACTGAAACCTCCACCTCTCGGGTTCAAGCGATTCTCCTACCTCAGCCTCCTGAGTAGCTGGGATTACAGGTGCGTGCCACCACACCCAGCTAATTTTTTTGTATTTTTTAGTAGAGATGGGGTTTCACCATGTTGGCCAGGCTGGTCTGGAACTCCTGACCCGCCCGTCTCGGCCTCCCAAAGTGCTGGGATTACAGGCGTAGTAAACTACCGCGTCCAGCCTAATTTTTGTATTTTTAATAGAGATGGTGTTTCACCATGTTGGCCAGGCTGGTCTTGAACTCCTGGCCTCAAGTGTTCTGCCCACCTCAGCCTCCCAAAGTGCTGGGATTACGGGCATGAGCCACCATGCCCGGCCCTGTTTTGGGGGGTTTTTTGAGATGCAGTCTTGCCCTGTTGCCCAGGCTGGAGTGCAGTGGCACAATCTCGGCTCACTGCAACCTCCGCCTCCCAGATTCAAGCGGTTCTCCTGCCTCAGCCTTCTGAGTAGCTGGGATTACAGGTGCCCGCAACTATGTCCGGCTAATTTTTGTATTTTAGTAGAGACGGAGTTTCACTACATTGGCCTGGCTGGTCTCGAACTCCTGACCTCAGGTGATCTGCCTGCCTCGGCCTCCCAAAGTGCTGGGATTACAGGCATGAGCCACCACGCCCAGCCAGAAAGCCTGTTTTGTAACCCACTTTTGGTAGCCGTGTACGTGGGTGGCTTGGACAATATTTGTGGGTCCA
This sequence comes from Homo sapiens, assembly GCF_000001405.40. Lineage (NCBI taxonomy): Eukaryota > Metazoa > Chordata > Mammalia > Primates > Hominidae > Homo > Homo sapiens. The sequence continues at coordinate 38,745,852 of NC_000019.10, read as the reverse complement.
CTTGGAGGGAAGAAGGCCAAAAGGCTTGAGGGACATCTGAGTGGCGTGGAGGTGACAAGGCTCTGGGAGGGCAGCAGACACCCTCAACGAGGGTGGAAGGTCTGCTGGGACCAGCACTGCTGAGGCTCTGGCATCTCCGTACCTGTTTCTCCCATTTCCTCCAATGGCTCCAGAGTCCTTTGGGGGAAATACTGCTCCATCCAGACTCTGAGTGGCGTGGGCCAGGGCAGGGCATCATGGTCACCAGATGGCTCCCAGCACAGGAGAGGTACAGAGCCATCCCTCCAGGGTCAGCCTCCCTGGGCAAGCAGGCTGAGTCTACCTTGTCCGGGAGGGGAGGAGGCGCATCCTGAGGGCTTAGGGGGCGTGAGCGGAGGGGAGCTCAGGGTCCCTCGGTGGATGATGGAGGAGCCACATATGGGTTACAGGGACAGACAGAAAGATGGAGAGGAAGAGACAGGGAGGCAGACACAAGGTACACTGACAGGGTCTGAAGGAGGAGGGGCTGGGGGCCTGGACTCCTGGGTCTGACAGGTACAGAGAGGAACAGACACACGCTGAAAGAGACACAAAGAGAGAGGGGACAGGCATAGTGATTCACGCCTGTAATCCCAACACTTTGGGAGGCCAAGCGGGGAGGATCACTTGAGCCCAGGAGTTCGAGACCAGTCTGGGCAACAAAGTGAGATCCCCGCCCCATCTCTACAAAAAAAAAAAAAAAAAAAAAAAGAGGGTGGGGTGGGGAGAGGGGTGGAGTTGGGGAAATACAGAGACACAAATATTGCCAGAAACAAAAAACAAGAAAGGGCCAGGCACAGTAGCTCACATCTGTAATCCCAGCTCTCTGGGAGGCTGCTGAAGCAGGAGGATCACTTGAGGCCAGCAGTTCAAGACCAGCCTGGGGAACATATGGGACCGCCCCCCGCCACCCCTCTGTCTCTACTTTAAAAAAAATTTTTTTTAATTAACAAAACCTGACCAGGCACAGTGGCTCACGTCTGTAATCCCAGCACTTTGGGAGGCCAAGGTGGGCGGATTGCTTGAGGCCAGGAGTTCAAGACCAGCCTGGTCAACATGGTAAAATCCCTTCTCTAACAAAAAATACAAAAATTAGCTGGGCATGGTGACACGAGCCTGTAATCCCAGCTACTTGGGAGGCTGAGGCAGGAGAATCACTTGAACCTAGAAGGCGGAGGTTGCAGTGAGCTGAGATCGTGCCACTGCACTCCAGAAACTGATGGAGAAGAAACATGAAGGCGGGGAGAGAGAAACTGTCAGAGGGAGGGGGAGAGAGGCAGTCTGAGAGATAGAGACACCGAGGTAAACCCGCCTCCTTCCCCAGCCCCACAGGCATAAGTAGGCAGAAGCTCACCCCCACACTGACCTCCTTCTTGGTGCTCTGACAGCGGCAGCCGGTCCTCCCTCAGCTCTGCCCGCCTTCTCTCCTGCTGCTGGCCAAGCCCATTAAGCTGCTACCTTGGCCACAACTGAAGGCCCCACGCCCTGGGAAGAAAGCTACTGAAGAGGCGTCCCTGCTCCCCAGCACCCCAAACCATCAATTAATATTAACGAGGGAAGGCTCCTCATTGCCTAAAGACCCCACTGGGGCTCCAATGGAAGAGAGGCCCCGCCCCCGTGACTCAGGAGGTTAAAGGGCCTGGTGCCGGCTTGTGAGGCCAGTGTCCAGATGGCATCCAGCAGTGGGAGGGTCACCATCCAGCTCGTGGATGAGGAGGCTGGGGTCGGAGCCGGGCGCCTGCAGCTTTTTCGGGGCCAGAGCTATGAGGCAATTCGGGCAGCCTGCCTGGATTCGGGGATCCTGTTCCGCGACCCTTACTTCCCTGCTGGCCCTGATGCCCTTGGCTATGACCAGCTGGGGCCGGACTCGGAGAAGGCCAAAGGCGTGAAATGGATGAGGCCCCATGTAAAGTGTGGCTGGGGTCTGGGCTCTGGGGTCTGAGGGAGGAGGGGCTGGAGGCATGGACTCCTGGGTCTGAGGAAGGAAGGCTGGGGGCCTGGACTCCCTGGTCTGAGGGAGGAGGGGCTCGAGACCTGGACTCTTAGGTCTGAGGGAGGAGGGGCTGGGCCTGGACTCCTGGGTCTGAGGGAGGAAGGGCTGGGCCTGGACTCTTGGGTCTGAGGGAGGAGGGGCTGGGGACCTGGACTCCTGGGTCTGAGGGAGGAGGGGGCTTGGACCTGGACTTCTGGATCTGAGGGAGGAGAGGCCAAGGCCTGGACACCTGGGTCTGAGGGAAGAGGGGGCTGGGGACCTGGACTCCGGGGTCTGAGGGAGGAGGGGCTGGACCTGGACTCCTGGGTCTGAGGGAGGAGGGGCTGGGGACCTGGATTCTTGGGTCTGAGGGAGGAGGGGCTCGGGACCTGGACTCCTGGGTCTGAGGGAGGAGGGGCTGGGCCTGGACTCCTGGGTCTGAGGGAGGAGGGGCTCGGGACCTGGACTCCTGGGTCTGAGGGAGGAGGGGCTGGGCCTGGACTCCTGGGTCTGAGGGAGGAGGGGCTCGGGACATGGACTCCTGGGTCTGAGGGAGGAGGGGCTGGGCCTGGACTCCCGGGTCTGAGGGAGGAGGGGGCTACCATGGGACTGGCTCAGCACAACTTCTGGAGACCCAGGGAAGCCATGCTCCTGCCCACAGGCTTCCAGGCCTTTCATGGGCTTGGAGGCCCTCACTCCTCTGGATGAGACCTTTCCTCGCTTTCTCAGGCTGAGGCCTGGAATCCCCCACCACCCACAGGAGTTCTGTGCTGAGCCGAAGTTCATCTGTGAAGACATGAGCCGCACAGACGTGTGTCAGGGGAGCCTGGGTGAGACCCTGAACCCACCTGGAGTCCTCAGATCCAGCTAGTTTCAGCTGAGATCCTGACAGCTCCATCCCTTTGTCCACCCACTCCCGGCCCCTGGATCCCTCCTCAGTCTCTTCTCTCCCTAGGCCTCTCTCTCCCTCCTCCCTCCTTCCTTCCTTCCTTTTTTTTTTTTTTTTTTTTTTGAGATGGGGTCTCACTCTGTCACCCATTCTGGAATACAGTGGCACCATCATAGCTCACTGCAGCCTTAACCTCCTGGACTCAAGCAATCTTCCTGCCTCAGCCTCCCAAGTAGCTGGGACTACAGGTGCATGCCACCATGCCCAGCTAATTTTTAAATTTTCTTGTAGTGGAGTCTTGCCATGTTGGCCAGGCTGGTCTTGAACTCCTAGGCTCACGTGATCTTTCTGCCTTGGCCTCCCAAAGTGCTGGGATTAGAGGCATGAGCCACCGCACCAGGCCTCCCTCCTTCCATCCTCACCTAATCCTGGCCTCTCCTCCCAGGTAACTGCTGGTTCCTTGCAGCTGCCGCCTCCCTTACTCTGTATCCCCGGCTCCTGCGCCGGGTGGTCCCTCCTGGACAGGATTTCCAGCATGGCTACGCAGGCGTCTTCCACTTCCAGGTACAGCTCAGTTCCTCTGCCCATGCCTCCGTTTCCCCCATGGTGACTTGGTGATATGGATTTTTCTTTTTTTTTTTTTTTGAGATGGAATCTCACTCTGTCATCCAGGCTGGAGTGCAGTGGCACAATCTCGGCTCACTGCAACCTTCGCCCCGCCCCCAGGTTCAAGCAATTCTCTGCCTCAGCCTCCTGAGTAGCTGGGATTACAGGCACCCGCCATCATGCCCAGCTAATTTTTTCTTATTTTTAGTAGAGATGGTATTTCACCATCTTAGCCAGGCTGGTCTCGAATTCCTGACCTCGTGATCCATCCGCCTCGGCCTCCCAAAGTGCTGGGATTACAGATGTGAGCCACCGCACCCGGCCAGCCATATGGATTTCATAGTTAACGTTGACTTGGGGCTGTAATTCCTGACTCTGGGACTGGCACAGCAGAGGCAGGGCCCAGGCAGGGTTGGAGGTTGGAAGCCGAGTCCGGCCCTGCATCTTCTCCCACCAGCTCTGGCAGTTTGGCCGCTGGATGGACGTCGTGGTGGATGACAGGCTGCCCGTGCGTGAGGGGAAGCTGATGTTCGTGCGCTCGGAACAGCGGAATGAGTTCTGGGCCCCACTCCTGGAGAAGGCCTACGCCAAGTGAGGACCCCAGTTCCAACCAGCTGCAGCCCTAAGTCCCCACAGCAGGCATCAAGCCACAGGGGGACCCAGAGTCCCCCAAGCTCTGCAATCCTCCAAACACCCCACCAAGAATCCCAAACCAAGTGACAACCGCCAGAACCCTCATATCACAACATCACCTGAGCAACTTCATGTTTTTTTTTTTTTTCTTTTTTTTTGAGACGGAGTCTCACTCACTCTGTCGCCCAGGCTGGAGTGCAGTAGCGCGATCTTGGCTCACTGCAACCTCTGCCTCCCAGGTTCCAGCGATTCTCCTGTCTCAGCCTCCCGACTAGCTGGGATTACAGGAGCGCACCACCATGCCTGGCTAATTTTTATATTTTTAGTAGAGATGGGGTTTCACCATGTTGGTCAGGCTGGTCTCCAACTCCTGATCTCAGGTGATCCACCTTCCTTGGCCTCCCAAAGTACTGGGATTACAGGTGTGAGCCACTGTGCTCAGCTGTACCTTCAAATCTTAAACCCCTCTCTCCATCAATATTTCACACAAAACATTCCTGGAGACCCCCAGTCACTCATAATTCTTAAGGATCCTGAAATCTCATATATCAGGCCCTGGATTCACCAAATCTGGGATTTATCCCCTCGGGTGAGCTGTATATCTTAGATTGTCTCTCCTGGTCCATTGAGAAATCTAAAGCACCCCCAAAATATTGGGGGTCACCCTGGGACCCTCAAATCTTTGCCTTTTCCCCATTCTGAGGCTCTGAAATTCCTGACAAGCCCCCATAGGGATGATCCCCCAAAGCGGACATCTACCAGAGGTTCAAGGTTTCAGACAGCACCAGGACTCTCAGAATTCTAACACAGCTCTCCCATGCCCCCCACCAAACCGAAGTCCTGGTCACCCCAAGGACCACAGGCCCAATCTCCAAGGGCTTCTGTATGTGCCACAGTTCCCCCCGTCAAGAGTCTGAATTTTTTTTTTTTTTTTGAGATGGAGTTTCACTCTTGTTGCCCAGGCTACAGTGCAATGGCGTGATCTTGGCTCACTGCAACCTTCGCCTCCCGAGTTCAAGCGATTCTCCTGCCTCAGCCTCCCGAGTAGCTGGGATTACAGGCATGTGCCACCACGCCCAGCTAATTTTTGTATTTTTAGTAGAGACGGGGTTTCACCGTATTGGCCAGGCTGGTCTCAAACTCCTGACCTCAGGTGATCCACTTGCCTCGGCTTCCCAAAGCGCTGGGATTACAGGCGTGAGCCACCATGCCTGGCCAAGAGTCTGAAATTGTTTTAGCTGGGTGTGGTGGTGTGCACCTGTGGGCCCAGCTCCTCGGGAGGCTGAGGTGGGAGGAGGATCGCTTGAACCCGGGAGTTTGAGGCTACAGTGAGATGAGATCACGCCACTGCACTCCGGCCTGGGCCACAGGGTGACCCTGGAAAAAGTCTCAAAACTTCAGGAATTTCCCCTGGGGATTCCACACCCTGAGACACAGGCCCCTGCAGATCCCAGGGCAGGGGTGCCTGAGACGCTTGTACTTGCCTCAACCCTCACCCCAGATCTGCCCCCACAGGCTCCACGGCTCCTATGAGGTGATGCGGGGCGGCCACATGAATGAGGCTTTTGTGGATTTCACAGGCGGCGTGGGCGAGGTGCTCTATCTGAGACAAAACAGCATGGGGCTGTTCTCTGCCCTGCGCCATGCCCTGGCCAAGGAGTCCCTCGTGGGCGCCACTGCCCTGGTAAGAGACCTGGACTCGCATGCGGAACCCCCACCAGGACCAGAGCACAGTCAGGGGTGTGGTGGGGTGGGCGGAGTGCTTCCTCTGTTCTCTGCTTCCGTTACTGGCTTAGGCTCGCTCATAAATCTAACTAGTCAAAAATAAATTCATTTGCTCTCATGAATCAGGGGCTTCAGGCACAGCTGGATCCAGATGCTGAGGGTGTTGCAACTATGTTTATTTCTCATTCTGTGTTAGTGTCACTCTCAGCCAGGCTCTCCCCTCATGGGCATAAAAGGATCCCCCATAGCTGCAGGTATCTCCTACCACCCTAGGGTTTATTTAAAAAAAAAAAAAAAAAGTGCCTCTTTCTGAGAATTTCAGTAAAAGTCCCAGGATTGATTCTCGTGGGCTTAGCTTGGGTCATGTGTTCATCTGTGACCCCATGACACACTCATTCATTCACTGAGTTGGTCTAACTCCTTCACTCATTCATTTACTTAAATCCTCTGAGTTACTGCTTCTCTTTTTCTTTTGTGTCTGTTTCTCTCTTCTGTATCTTTCTTTGTCTCTGTCTCTGTCTCTCTACTCTTTCCATCTTTTTTTTTTTTTTTTTTTTTTTTGAGACGGAATCTTGCTCTGTCACCCAGGCTGGAGTGCAGTGGCACGACCTTGGCTCACTGTAACCTCTGTCACCCAAGTTCAAGCAATTCTCCTGCTTTGCCTCCCGAGTAGCTGGGACTACAGGCGCCCGCCACCATGCCCAGCTAGTTTTTTGTATTTTTAGTAGAGATGGGGTTTCACTGTGTTAGCCAGGATGGTCTCAATCTCCTGACCTTGTGATCTGCCCGCCTCGGCCTCCCAAAGTGCTGGGATTACAGGTGTGAGCCACCACAACAGGCCTCTTTCCATCTATTTTGTTTGTTTTTGTTTTTGGAGGCAGGGTCTCATCTCACTCTGTCACCCAGGCCAGAGTGCAGTAGTGTCATCATAGCTCACTATAGCCTTGACCTCTGGGCTCAAGGGATCCTCCTGCCTCAGCCTCCAGAGTAGCTGGGACCACTGGTGTGCACCACCACGCCTGTTGAATTTTTAAAATTTTTGTAGACTTGGGGTCTTGCTATGTTGCCCAGGCTGGTCTTGGACTCCTGGCCTCAAGTAGTCCTTCCACCTCGACCTCCCTAAGTGCTGGGATTACAGGCGTGAGCCCGTACCTCCATCTCCTTTTGTCTCGTTTCCATCTCCCTTCCTCTCCTTTTCTCTTTCGCCTTCAGTCACTAACCCTGACATGGTCTCTGAGCTGCGTGCCATTCAGTTCAGTGCTCTGGTTGGCTCCTGCCTTGGTGGCAGGAGGTTGGGGGCAGGGAGGAGCAGCTGCCCTCCTGTCCCCTACCTTGGCCTCACCATCCCATCCCCTGCCCAGAGTGATCGGGGTGAGTACCGCACAGAAGAGGGCCTGGTAAAGGGACACGCGTATTCCATCACGGGCACACACAAGGTAAGTGTCCCCCATGGGTGGGGTGGCAGGCCATGTCCAGGCATCACCCCCACTGACGATGCTGCCCCAGGTGTTCCTGGGCTTCACCAAGGTGCGGCTGCTGCGGCTGCGGAACCCATGGGGCTGCGTGGAGTGGACGGGGGCCTGGAGCGACAGGTGGGATGGGTCTGGGGTGGGTGTGGGGCTGGACCCCACCTGCCCGCCCCTCACACCACAGTCTCTCCAGCTGCCCACGCTGGGACACACTCCCCACCGAGTGCCGCGATGCCCTGCTGGTGAAAAAGGAGGATGGCGAGTTCTGGTCAGTTCGTCAGGGTCCCAGCTCTGCCTCTGGGAGGGTCTCTGCCAAGGGGTTCAGGGAGGGCGAGCCCCAGTTGAAGGATGGGTCCTAATAGGGAGAAACTGTGTACATCGGTGGTAATTTTGGGGCCAGGTTCTATTTTGGGAAATCAAGGAAGAATTGGTAGTAATATTAGAGAACCTCTGATTGGAGTGGGTTTAAAAAAGTAGTAATATGAGGGGAATTTGAAGGCCTAGTTATCTGTGGAGGATTGAAAGGGATGGGCAGTATTTAGGGCAATGGAGGAAGGCTTGGTGATATTTGGGGCATTTCTTGAGATTTGGCAATGTTGAGGGGCTGAAGGGTACTTGTTGGTAATTTAGAGTCTGAGGGTCTTGCTATTTGGGGGTTGGTGGCAATTTAACGATATTTGGGGGCAGCTTGTGAATCTTGGCGATTTGTGGGGCATGTCTGAGGACTTGGAGGAATTTGGCAGAGCTAGAGGCCCAGGCATTTGGGGTTCATTTCTGGAGCCTGAAGGGTATTTGACAATATTTAAGAAATGTGAGGGGCTTTGGGATCTGGGAGTCATTTCCGGGATCTTGGGACCCCCTCGAGGTGGGGCCGGGCAGGGTCTGACTGGGCCACCGTGCAGGATGGAGCTGCGGGACTTCCTCCTCCATTTCGACACCGTGCAGATCTGCTCGCTGAGCCCGGAGGTGCTGGGCCCCAGCCCGGAGGGGGGCGGCTGGCACGTCCACACCTTCCAAGGCCGCTGGGTGCGTGGCTTCAACTCCGGCGGGAGCCAGCCTAATGCTGGTGAGGCCTGAGGGGCCCTGAGAGGCTTCCTGGGGTGGGGGGCGCTGTGGCCGGCTAGGAAACCCCCTTTTTTCCTCCTCCCTTAGAAACCTTCTGGACCAATCCTCAGTTCCGTTTAACGCTGCTGGAGCCTGATGAGGAGGATGACGAGGATGAGGAAGGGCCCTGGGGGGGCTGGGGGGCTGCAGGGGCACGGGGCCCAGCGCGGGGGGGCCGCACGCCCAAGTGCACGGTCCTTCTGTCCCTCATCCAGCGCAACCGGCGGCGCCTGAGAGCCAAGGGCCTCACTTACCTCACCGTTGGCTTCCACGTGTTCCAGGTGAGGTCCTGGGCAAAGCTGAGGCTGGAGGGAACCCGGAGGGTGGAGGGGCGGGGCCGGGCCAAGGAGCGGGGGAGGCATGGAGGGGCGGGGCCAGTGGGAAGAGGGGAGGTGTGGAGGGCGGGGCCAAGGGGGAAGAGGGGGAGTGGTGGAGGGGTGGGACTGAAGAGGATCGGGGAGGAGGGGAGGAGTGGAGGAGCAGGGCCAAGAGGGGGCGGCGCTGGGAGGGGAGTAGGGGGCTAGTAGGGCTGGGGGGCCAGGTCTCAGAGGGGAGAGGGAGCTAAGGGAATGAGAGGGAGGGGCTCAGGGACAGACAGAGGGACGAGGTTAGGGACAGAGAGAGGCTGGGGGTTAGAAGGGCCAGAGGGGACCAAGGATACAGAGAAGGCGCTGGGAGCGCAGATGGGGAAGGAAGAGTTGGGGAGGGGTCGGCGAGGGCCTGGGTCGGGGACTGCGGGGCAAAGGTTCAATAAGGGTCTAATAGGACGAAGAAGGAGGGAGAGAGCACAGAGGTGAGAAGGGGCAGGGAGGAGACCCTGAGCGGCGGCCACCTCTCCCCTGCCCCGACGCCCCTTGCTCTTGCTTCTTTCAGATTCCAGAGGAGGTGAGTCTGGGATGGGGTCAACCGGCCCTGGGGCTTGGTCAACCTGCCCTGGGGCTTGGTCAACCTGCCCTGGGGCTTGGTCAAACTGCCCTGGGGGTGGGGGGGCAGAGCCGGGTCCGGGGGCAGGGGAGGCGTGGACAGGGGTTAGGCAGGGTGGACGGGGCGCGCTGGAGGGTGCGGGGATGAAGGGCCGGGGGTGAGCCTGGTCCGTGGTCATGCCGCCCCGTCCCCAGCTGCTGGGCCTCTGGGATTCCCCGCGCAGCCATGCGCTCCTGCCCCGGCTGCTGCGCGCCGACCGCTCGCCCCTCAGCGCCCGCCGCGACGTGACCCGCCGCTGCTGCCTGCGTCCAGGCCACTACCTGGTGGTGCCGAGCACCGCCCACGCCGGCGACGAGGCTGACTTCACTCTGCGTGTCTTCTCCGAGCGCCGCCACACGGCCGTGTGAGCCCCGGGCACCCAAATCCGACCCCATCCCTGCCTAGACAGGCCCCGAGACCCCCGAGACCCCCGAGACCCCCGAGACCCCCGAGACCCCCGAGACCTGACCTGCCCCGCCCCCAGAACCCCTGCCCCGCCCCGCCCCGCCCCCAGAACCCCCGCCCCGCCCCGCCCCCAGAACCCCCGCCCCGCCCCGCCCCGCCCCCAGAACCCCCGCCCCGCCCCGCCCCGCCCCGCCCCGCCCGCAGAACCACCGCCCCGCCCCGCCCCGCCCCCAGAACCCCCGCCCCGCCCCCAGAACCCCCGCCCCGCCCCGCCCCCAGAACCCCCGCCCCGCCCCGCCCCCAGAACCCCCGCCCCGCCCCCAGAACCCCCGCCCCGCCCCCAGAACCCCCGCCCCGCCCCCAGAACCCCCGCCCCGCCCCCAGAACCCCCGCCCCGCGAGGATGAGCCCAGGGCTCCACGGTCCCTACCTAGACCCCACGCGATTCCTCACCTGAGACCCCGTCCCACACAGCCCCAGCTGGGGCAAACAGCCCCCTCCCCACTTCCCATCTGTAATTTGCAGGGAGATCGACGACGTGATCAGCGCAGACCTGCAGTCTCTCCAGGTGGGGACTGTTCCTGGAGGGGCGGCATGGGGCGGGGATCTTGGCCAGCGCTAAACTTCCGCCATGCGGCAGGGCCCCTACCTGCCCCTGGAGCTGGGGTTGGAGCAGCTGTTTCAGGAGCTGGCTGGAGAGGTGAGGAGGGGGATTGGACTGAGGGGGTATCCCGCTGCGGCCTCCCCTTGGGGACCCCCCTTCCCCCACCCCAGCATCTCAGGTGTCTCATTTTGCTTGCTTTTTCCTCCCTCCGGGCTTAAATCTCCTGACCTTTTCTTGAAATGCTCACAGCTCCTCCCTGCCTCAGGGCCTTGGGCTCAGTCCATACCCTCTCCCAGGACCACCCTCTCCCTCCTGACACCTCCAGCCAGGCTCAGGTCTCATCTAAGGTGCCCAGCCCTGGAAGCTCTCCCTGACCACCCCCCTGCCCCAGGCCGGTCTGCTGGCCCCCCACCAGCAACCACAGCCCAGTGCTTCCCCCGTCACAGCCCTGGCCCTGTGGGGACAGGTCTGTCTCCCCCACTCCTGGAGCTAGGGCTCTGAGGCTCTGTCAGCCCCTGCCGTGTCCCTAGCACAGGGCTTGGCCCAGAGCAGCTGGATGAGTAAATGGCCTCACAAGCCCTCTTTCCTGGACTAGGAGGAAGAACTCAATGCCTCTCAGCTCCAGGCCTTACTAAGCATTGCCCTGGAGCCTGGTGAGTTGGCTGGGATAGGGGCAGGAGGAGGGGTCTTAGCCAGGGGTCCTGCAACCAGAGCCGGTGCCACCCTATGTCTATGAACCCACCGCGCTGCTGGGAGTTGGGCTCAGGAAGCCAGGGCTCAGCCTGGCAGCATCTCCCTGCAGGGGATCTTGTGTGGGCCCCGTGACCTGGGCCACGGCTGCTCGCAAGCTCCCCTTCCGCTGAAAGGCAAGGCTGCCTTGAGCACAGACTGGGCACCCCCTGCCTGGATTTGAATCCCAGCTCTGCTAGGCGCAGCAGTCACTGGCTCCCTGTGCCTCGGCTTCTATAATATGGGACTGACAACATCACCTGCTTAAGGGAGTCACATCCACCCAGCCCTTAAAGTGGTGGCCAGAATGCAGGAAGTGCTGTGGTTTGACTTTGTTTTTCCTGTAGCCAGGGCCCATACCTCCACCCCCAGAGAGATCGGGCTCAGGACCTGTGAGCAGCTGCTGCAGTGTTTCGGGGTACATGGGGGGCAGTGCCTGGGTGAGGGAGGGAGTGGGGAAGGGGACGTTGGGGTCTCTCCTCCCCTTCTGGAGAGATTGACCTTAACCAGATGCCCCCGACCCCCAACACAGCATGGGCAAAGCCTGGCCTTACACCACTTCCAGCAGCTCTGGGGCTACCTCCTGGAGTGGCAGGTGAGGTGGGAGACTGGGCCTCTTCCCAGAAAGAGAGAAACCTTTACTAACAGAGACATAGGCACCCTGTGGGCTATCAGGTCCCCAGGGAACGAGGGGGTACTGGACTAGGCTGACTTGGAGAGATCTGGCTGGGATATCCCTGCCCCCACCCAGCCTCAGCTTGTCCTCTGGGTCATTGCTCTTATTCCCATTTTACAGATTGGGAAACAGAAGTCCCAAGTGGCTAGGCTGCTTGCTGGGGGTCCACACCAGAAGAAAGGGAGTTGGGATGGGCACCAGGCTGTCTTGCCTGGGAGGCCCCATTGGCAGCCCTCTTCAGGGCATGGAGGGCAGCCCTGACTCATCCTTCCTGCCCAGGCCATATTTAACAAGTTCGATGAGGACACCTCTGGAACCATGAACTCCTACGAGCTGAGGCTGGCACTGAATGCAGCAGGTGTGGACAGGGTCCTGGGGTGGTCGTGGGGACAGGACCTGTTCTCTCCCATCCCATTGTCTCCAAGTCCCCCTGCTCAGCTGTGGCCGTCTGCACTGTGGCCATCCACAGGCCCACACCTTAGCTTGTTGCCAGTCCCTGGCAGGGGTTGGGTGACCCTGAAAGAGGCCAAATAAGGAAGGAGAAGGGCAAGGGGCGTGTGTGGGGTGGGGAGGACATGAAAGGGGGATGTGCCTGGTAGGGGTTCTGGGGCAGGGAGAGGCCCCTCCAGGAAGGGGAAGATTAGGAGCTGGTATCTGAGAGGGTCTGGCCCCCAGGGCAGCATGGTAGAATGTTCTGGATTCTGGTGCACCGGGGTTGGAATCCTCACTCTACTGACTCCAGGAGGGGCCCTGGGCACTTGACTTCATCTCTTTGAGCCTCCATTTTCCTCTCTAAAATGGCCAGGGCCTGGTGTGGTGGCTCACACCTATGGTCCCAGCTACTCAGGAGGCTGAGGCTTGAGGATGGCTTGAGCCCGGGAGGCTGAGGCTGCAGTGAGCCGTGATTGTGCCTGGGTGACAGAGCAAGAGCCTGCCTCTCAAAAAAAAAAAAAAAAAGCTAGTACACAGGGTGGTGAGGAGTCGTCCATGCACTGCAGGGCATAGCACTTAGTGATTGGAGAATGCAGCTTTCATTACCAAAAGCCCCAAAGAGAGCCGGCCAATGGCCTCTGCTACTAGGCTGAGTTCCTCCTGATGAGCTGGAACAAGCCCAGCACAACATCCTAACCAAGAAAGAGAGCCAGAGAGAAAGGCTTTCCATGGGCTCCAAGGCAGATGAGACAGTACAGCACTGTGACCCTCATGTGGAGGGGATTTGGAGAGTGGGCTGGGGTCAGAACTTGGAGTTCCCAGATCCCCAACCCCACTCTGGGGCCTGTCTGCCACCACACAGCAGATGGAGCCACAGGGAGATGGGGGCTGGGGTGACTGTGATGGAGTCGGAGAGCCAGAGGGAGAGGGTTTGGGTGTGGCTGTGAGTGTGAGACCCAGAGAAGGTGGTCAAGTGTCCAAAAGAGCCAGCCGGGCGTGGTGGCTCACGCCTGTAATGCCAGCACTTTGGGAGGCTAAGGCAGGCAGATTGCCAGATTGCTTGAGCCTAGGAGTTCAAGACCAGCCTGGGCAACATGGCGGAACCCCCGTCTCTACTAAAACTACAAAAATTAGCCAGGCGTGGTGGTGCGTGCCTGTAATCCCAGCTACTTGGGAGGCTGAGACAGGAGAATCTCTTGAACCCGGGAGGTGGAGGTTGCAGTGAGCCAAGATCATGCCATTGTACTCCAGCCTGGGCAACAGAGCGAGACTCCGTCTCAAAAAAGAAAAAAGAAAAAGCCCAAGTCAAAGGGGGAGAAATGGGGTCAGAGACAGCCAAGGATTGGGAGACGTGGGGCAGAGAGGGAGAGGCTGGGCCGGAGATAGACAGGAGTGGAGGTGAGGGAGCAAGGACTCACAGCAGGTGGCAGGTGGCAGGCTTGTGTTCACGCATCTGGCACCAGTGAGTGCCTGTTACATGCCAGGAGTTATTCCAGGAAGAAGGAAACTGATAAAGTGCCCTTGAGAATTTCTCAAACGGGAACTCCTGCAGTGGCAGCTGAGGGGCTCCAGCGCCTTCTCGGGTCCTTCCACCCCATCTGGCTGGGTTTCCCCATAGCCCTGGGCATGGCAGCCTCCACCCCTATGCCCGAGGGCAGATGAATGCCAGAGGGAGTGACCTGGGGCAGGTCACACGGGCAGGAAGAGGCTGCAGGCCACCTGCCCTCCTGTTAAAACAGCACCTGGCACTGGGCACAGCATGAAATGGCACTTACTTGGTAGATATTTGTGAAGAGAATGAACACACAGAATGGGGGTGAAGATGGGCTTTGGAAGCAGCAGAAGCCCATGAAACGGTACTTGGAACTGGGTTTGTCTGGCCGTGTGGGAGACAAAGGTCATCAGGCACAACCTTGCATCTCAGAAGGGGTCAAGAACCCATTGTTTTGGGTTTTTAAAAGCCTCCAATGAGACTCCACAGCAGACATGGTTTCTCAGCTTTAGAAATCGCCTCTGAGGTAGACTGTAAGGAAACTGACTCCATATGGGATTGACTATATTTTTTGCTGCACAGAAATATCCTCCAGTGCCCACTGGCAAGGAGAAAGCCCCACAGGATTTAAGGAGTAACAGTACCCACACATCGAGTCACGTGTCAGACGCTGTCCTGAGCGTTCTGTCTTCACACACCCTATGGGGTCGGGGCTGTCTTAGTCCGTTTGATGGATGAGGAAACAGGCCCAGAGGATTGAAGGGATCAGCCTGTACTCACCCTGCCGGGATGGGGCAGAGTTGGGGTGTGACACCCTGTGGCATTCATGTCCTCCCTGAGGAGGTGGGGTGGGGATGCAATGCCAAGGTGGGTTCCCTGTGGGCCACTGGGCTCAGAAGCAGCCTCCCCCTAGGCTTCCACCTGAACAACCAGCTGACCCAGACCCTCACCAGCCGCTACCGGGATAGCCGTCTGCGTGTGGACTTCGAGCGGTTCGTGTCCTGTGTGGCCCACCTCACCTGCATCTTCTGTGAGTACCACCCCGGCATGGTGGGGCATGGGGGGAAGGGGTACGGGGACTGGTGGGCACTCACCCTGCCCCTCTCTGCACAGGCCACTGCAGCCAGCACCTGGATGGGGGTGAGGGGGTCATCTGCCTGACCCACAGACAGGTGAGCCAGGTGGGAGGGACAGGGTGGCTCAGGCTCTGTCCTGCGAGCTCCCTGCCTCAAGCCACTGTCTTCCTTCTCTTCCTTAGTGGATGGAGGTGGCCACCTTCTCCTAGGATCTCCGGATGGGCGCACCTGCTGCTCAGGGCAGGGTTGCTGAGCAAGACCACCTCCCTAGGCCTTGCCTGGCATGGGTGCCACTCTCTCTGGCATCCACCTGTCTGGGGCTAGTCTCTGGCCCTCACTGCTCACGGCCGGGTGACCACTCTGGCCTGCGTACTCCTCACTCAGAAACAAGAACAGCGACAGCCCTTCTCGAGCAGATGACACGAGCTAGTCCACGTTGACAGCTTAAGACAGTGCTAGCTCTGCCCTGGCTCTCCTAGAAGGTGGAGGACAGACACAGGAGAAATAAAAAAAGATGATGCTGCAGGAATCCTTCTTAAAAATATTACATGTTTTATTATCCTGTCCCCAGAGGGTGGTTTATCCAGAAACCAAGAAAAAAAATCAATCAGAATAAACTCAAAAAAAAAAGGTAGGGGGAGCAAAACCATCAACCACCAGGCAGCCAGGCCATCAGCCCACCTCCACCTCTGGAGGGTCCCCAGAGACCCACGCCCGACGCAGACCCGGAGGAGCATCAGCAAGGGGCCCGGGCAGAGAATCGGCTATGTCTTCATTATGAGAGCAGGAGAGACGGCAGAGATATGTTGCTAGGTGAATATATATTTATATAATAAATCCGTAAGTTAATAAAGTAAATAGTAATTCTCTGAAAGTTTTTAATTCTTTCTTTTTTATAGTTTTTTTGTTTTTGTGATTTTTTTTTTTTTTGGTTTTTGTTGTTTTGTGTTTTTTTTCCTTTTTTTTTTTTGGTTCTTAGAAAATCTGAGACACGTGAGGCCAGACAAAGCAAGGCCGGGGCTGGTGGGATGGGGTGCGGTTCAGGGGGGCCCGGTCTGCCAACTCAGCTCCTCTGCTGCAAAAGCGGGGTGCTTGTTGGGGCCATCTCCTGGCAATGGCAAGTGAGTCTGGAGCAGAGAGGGGAGAGGGGCTGGGTGGGTCCCCAGCCGTCAGGTGGTGGTGGCGCCCTCTGCTGGCCCCTCGCATGGCCCAGGCAGTTCCTGGACAAGGCACATGGGGCTTTGGCCTGGATTGGGGAGGCCTTGAAGGGACCTCAGAGCAAAGGAAGAGACCTGGGTGTGGTGAGGCATCCCAGGGCATGGAAGGGACCGGTTGTGCTGTGGGAATCCACTGGCCCCTCCTTGGTTAAAAAAGCACAACACATCATACATATTTACCAGACCAGAAGCGCTGGCCCCAAGTCTCCCCAACCTGGTCGGGGGAACCTCCTGGCCAACCCACAAAGAGAGAGAGGAGAGAGCCTGCCCCAGCCCCTCCCTGCCCACCCACCCACCCCGGAGGACTGCAGAGAGTGCTTTGCATAGATACAGAGTGGAGGAATGGGACTGTGGGGCTGCCCAGGCCCCTCCTGGAGGCCGTCGGGGGTGTTGGGTCAGGTCTCTGGGGCCTCACAGGTCGCTCTCGCCATACAAGGCCGTGGAGAAGGACTTGTAGTCGAGGGCACCGGGCACGGCGTCAGGGCCCTGGTATGGCGCCATGCGGGCGATGCAGTACTCGGCCTGGTCGGGGGGCAGCTCTCTCCGCAGCTCCTCAGCTGTGATGAAGTTCTGGGGCAGGCAGGATGGGACTCTGAGCCATCCCCACCCACACACTGGCCCCCTCAGCCCCTCCCACTGCAGGGACCCCTCTCGCCAGCCCCCATGCACCTCGTAGGGGTCTCGCTCACCTTGTCCCCTGCTAAGACCTTGAAGGAAGCGATGACCTGGTCAGCCGTGTCCGTGTCGGTGGTCTCCCGCGACATGAAGTCGATGAAGGCTTGGAAGGTCACAAGGCCGCTATGGTTGGGGTCGACCAGGCTCATGATGCGGTTGAACTCGGCCTCACCCTGCAAGGAGAGGGTGGGGTGGGGGACACCCGACATTTAGTGGGGCAGGGGCAGCCAGGCCCACACTGGTGGGGTCTCCAGGGAAACAGCCGAGAGAGTAGGGCCCAACCCACGTGTGCGTGCGCCCTGTTCCCCGCCTGCTCCAGCAGCCTTGGCCCCGGGCAGAGCCTGCCACTGCTCCAGCTGACCCAGGCCTCCAAGCCCCCAGTGCCCCAGGCCGGGAAGCAGGGCCTCTCTGCACCCTCCCCTCTCGTGGTCTCCCACAGCAGGGAACTGGGGTCTACTGCCCTCAGCCCAGGCTCACGAGTAAGCTCTGGAGGATGGGGAAGAAAGAGAGAAAGAGAAAGAAAAAGGGGAGAGAGTGGGAGAGCTGCCCCCTCTTTCTGGAGACTTCTAGGGAAGAAGGGGGGCTCGGGAAGTCATCGGAGGGACCCCACCCCGGCAGATGCAGCAGAGGAAGAGGCAGGCACGGCTGCGCTGCTCGGGCGGAGGAGTGTCCCCGAGGACGAGGAAGCTCTGGAGGCGGTGAGGGGGAGAGGTGGGGGGGAGGAGGAGGAGGAGGAGGAGGAGGAGGAGGAGGAGGAGCGGGTGGCTGGGGAGACAGAGCTGCATACCAGGCTGTATCCTGTGGAGATAAGCAGAGCCCTGAAGTCATCGGAGTCCATGCTGCCTGTCTGCTTCTGCTCCGAGGACGCAGGCATAGCAGAGGAGGCCGGGCCCAGAGTAGGCAAGAGGGGCCGCCCCATGTGCACAGCAGGCAGACAGGACAGTGGCGGGGAGCAGGGAGACAGCGGCCCCAAGAGACCAGGTAAAAGGGAAGGGGTCCAGGGAGATGTGGGCAGGGAGGCAAGAGAGCCATGAGATGGCACACAGGATGGCAGGGGTGGGATGGCGAGGGGAGAAAGAGAGAAGGAGAGAGAGAGAGAGAGCAGTTAATGCCATGGTCCGCTGGGGCCCAGGGTGCAGTACCTGCCGGTCGTTCTCCACGTCGTAGCCCAGGCTGATGAGGCAGGCCTTGAACTCCTCGGGCCCCAGCGCCCCGCCATGATCCTGCCGGGGCCATCCGAAGGCAGGTGTGCGGGAGGGGCGGCGTGGAGACCAGGATGAGGGATCGGGGTCACATGCAGAGGGCAGGGGGAAGGGACACGTAGGGGAGGGAAACACAGAGTTAGAGGCAACATGGACAAGGAGATGGCCAGGGACACGTGGGGTCGGGGGCGGCACGGGCCCCTTTCATCCTTTCCCCAACCTCGGAAGCTCAAAGGAAGGCAGAGGCCTCCCCGACCTCTCTGCCCACAGCAGGGGTGGCAGCTGGATGCTACAGAACTGAGGACAAGTCCCAGGACTGGTGGAGGGTCGGGGGGGGGGTTCTCCTTGCCTTTGGGATTTGGAGTGGGACAGAGGGGACTGTATCCTGTCCTGGGGGCGCCAGGTGCAGAGCTGAGGCTGCACACTTCTCAGTCCGTCAGCCCGGCAGGGGTGGGCTGGGGATGGCAGCAAACTCTGGCGCTCAGGGCCCCTCTGATGAGGCTGCCGGACCAAATCTGAATTCTAAAAGCACTGTGCGGGGTGTCTGTGTCCAGGTTCACAGACCGGGTCGCAAAGCCTGGGTGTGCTGAGACTTCATCTGCCCTGGGGGTGGTGAGGATGCCACCCCAGAAGGCAGGACTTGGGACCTCCGGCCCCCTGCCTGTGCGTGTGAAGTGGCCCAGGCTGGGGTCTTGGTGCCGCACACCTACACCCTGACAGTGGCAGGGCCCTGCTGGCCCTGGGAGTGGCGGCCGACGCTCAGCAACTGTGATGGGAATGGACGAACAGATGCAGAGACGAAGGTGTGGGCTGGTACGGCAACGGCGGGAGGGGAGAGGCCGAGGAGGTGGCAGGCTGCTCACCTTGTCGAAGTGGTTGAAGGACGCCCGGAACTCCTGCATCTGCTCCTGGCTGATGCCCTTGGCGTCGCGGGTGAGGATCTGGTTCTCCACCTCGTTGATGGTGCGGGCAATGGTGGTGAGCAGCTGCTCCCAGCCCACGCGGATGTGCTGCGGAAAGACGGGGGCGTGATCGTGGGCCGGGTGCTGTGAACTGTCCTCACCGTGGTTCACACGTGGAGGACTGTGAACTGTCCTCCCGCCCTGGGGAAAGCCCCTGCTCTCCTGTACACCTCACAGGGGACACGGGCCATGGTGCCTCCCTGCTGCCTCTGCCAATGTCTGTCTCCACAGTAAGTGTGTTTCCCAGCTACAGGGGCAGCAGAAGGGCAAGGACCCATGAATCTTGTGCCGGGATCCCTGTGGAGACTGTTTGGACAAACTCTGGTCAGTGTCTCACCACTGGCTCTCAGGGGAAAAAAACAAAAAAGCCAACTCTGGTTTGAAGCATCTGTGGACCTGTATGGGTTGGATCAAGAGTGTCCAGTCTTTTGGTTTCTCAAGCTACCAATATGACGGCGACCAGCTTGTAATGTCCCCGGAGTGTTAGCCAGTGGGAGCTGCTGCCCTGACCCGGCACCCGCTGGCTGGCTCTGGCCCTGAGCAAGGCTGATACTGCTAAGGCCACAGGGCAAACGGTGCCCTCTGTGGGCCCCTAGAACAGCTTGTCCTGTGAGGGGCATTGTCATGGTGATGAGAGCAGTGCTAGGGAAAGTGTAATTTTTAAAAATGTCTAAACATTTTGATCTAGTCTTTTCAATCTTTTTTTTTTTTTTTTTTGAGACAGAGTCTGGCTCTGTCACCCAGACCGAAGTGTGGTGGCATGACCTCGGCTCACCTCAACCTCTGCCTCCCTGGCTCAAGCAATCTGCCCACCTCAACCTCCTGGGGAGCTGGGACTATAGGCATGCACCACCATGCCTGGCTAATATTTTCATTTTTTGTAGAGACAGGGTCTTGCTATGTTGCCCAGGCTGGTCTTGAACTCCTGGGCTCAAGCCATCCTCCCACTTGGCCTCCCAAAGTGCTGGTCTCTTCAATAATTTTTAAACAGAGTGAAAAACAACAGACAGCAGACAGCTATCTTCTCACTGGCCCGAACCATTTCCAGTGAGGAAGCCGGCCATGCTGGTGGAAAGGCCAGCGGGCGGGGCAGCCGCGCACCTCCATGGTATAGTTGGTGTGCTTGTTGTCGAAGATGAGGGCCTCCTGGATGAGCTGGTGCTGCTGCTCCAGCAGGTCCAGGTTGGGCTTGTAGTCCACGATGCTGCGTTCATACTGCTTCAGGTGGCTCAGCTGGTCCTCCAGGGTCCCGTTCATCTCAATGGAGATGCGCCCGATCTCCTACGGGGGTGGGTGCAGGCGGTGGGGTGAGGCTGGTGGGCCTGCCCCCACTGACCACCTGGAGGAGCCCACTCGCGCTGCTGGCCTGCATCTTCCCCGGGGCCCCTTTGGCCTGGGGCCTTGGCCCATGGGTCCCTGGGAGGGAAGGCCCACTGCTCACAACTGTCCCCTCCGGTCCTGCCCTCTCATGTTAAAGCAGCTATGACAATGACAGGGAGGTTTTCTCTGCCAAGCGCTCCCTGTGCCCAACTTCATTTTACCCTTGACCTCTCTGTGAGGCCAGGGCTGTGGCAGGCCCTGACTGCAGAGGTAGAAACCGAGGCTCACGGAGGACAGCTCAGTGCTGTTAGAGGCAGAGTTGGGATCTGAACCCTGGCCTGGCTGCAGCTCCTGACCTCGGGCACTCCATGTCTCGGCACCCACAAGTCCACATGCTGCGTGGCTGGCATGAACCTCAGGGCTGACCTGCCTGGCACCCGGACCCCCTCTCAGGCTTGCTGGGTTTAAACGAGGTTGCCTGCTGCCAGCCTGGTTGCCTGGTATGTAGTGAGTGCTCAGTGAGTGGTGGTCAGAACTGCTGTAAGAATGACAGCACTCATGTGGCTGGTTAGTTGGTGCAAAAAGCATTTGTTGAAGTAATAAGGTAACTGTTTTCATCCCCATTTTAGAGCTGGGAGGACAGGATCAGAGGTTCAATAGTGCCTGAGTCTCACAATCATCAGACCAGGGCATTCAGGGATCAAACCCACCTCCCATAGGTAGCCCACTAGAGACCACAGGGTCTCGCTGTCAGGCTGAAGTGCAGTGGCATGATCGTAGCTCACGGCAGCCTCGACCTCCTTGGGCTGCGCACCATCATGCCCAGCTAATTTTTGTATTTTTTGTAGAGTTGGGGTCTCACTATGTTGCCCAGGCTGGTCTCGAACTCCTGGGCTCAAGCGATCCGCCCGCCTCAGCCTCCCCAGGTGCCGGGATTCCAGGCGCAAGCTCTGTGGACTCTCCTAACCCCGCAGGGTGATCACGGCCCCTGGGTGGTGAGAATTGGGACCTGCTCTGCCAGGCGCCTCAGTCTGCAGGCCCTGGGCTGGCCGGGGACCCCCTCACTACGGGAGCTCTCTTGGAACCTTCTCAGCTCTGTGGGGCTCAGCCGTGCCTCACCTCCATCTTGGTCTGGATCCAGGGCCCCACAACATTGGCCTGGCTGGCGAACTGGCGGCGCAGGTGCTCGTTGGACTGCTGCTTGCTCTGCTCCTCCAGGAGGGCATGGTCCCGTTTTGGCACCAGCTGCTGCACCTGGCAGAGGAGACGCGGTGTGGGAGCGGTCAGGGAGGTGGCCCCCAGCCCCGCCGTCCTGCCCCAGCCCCTACGGATGGCCCCGGCCCACCTTCTCCCACTTGGAGTTGATGATTTGCGGGGTGACGGTGGTGTAGGGGTTGCTGCCCGACAGCTTGATGTGGTTGCTCTCAGCGATCCTCTGGGCCTCCTTGTGGATGGCCAGGATGGCCTCGCGCTCCCTATCGGCGTCCGGCAGGGTGGACTTGAACTGGTCATGGGCTGAGATCAGGCCCTAGGGGAGGAGCTGGAGTGAGGGGGCGGCCCAGCCCCACAGAGGCTCTTGGGAAGATGGGGGGCCGGGGGGTGCGAACCTCAATCTCCTCGATGGTATGGACGATGAACATGTCCTGGAGGTCCTCCATGGCGCTCTCCATCCAGTTGTTGAAGGGGGCCGCGCGCTTGGCGTATTCCAGGTGCAGCTGGTCGATGGCCTCCAGCTGCTTCTCTGTTTTCTAGTGTGTGGGAGGGAAGGGGGCAGGGACAGAGGGAAGGCAGGTCAGTATGTGAGCAGGAGGGGTGGGGAGGGGTCCAGAGGGCCCTGAGGAGTCAGAGAACATCCTCTCCGTGGGAGGTGGGGGGAGCTCACAGGTCTGGACACTATCCACACCACCAGCCCCGGGGCAGCAGGGGCACAGAGCTCCGTGGGTGATGTCACCCCCTCCTCACCTCCAGGGCTTCCCTGCGACTATGTGTCAGAGAGCCGAGGGCGTCCCACTGGTCACAGATCTTCTGGCACCGGGTGTTGACATTGTGGGAGTCGTAGTAATCCAGCTCGCTGCGGGCCGGGCAGAGAGCAATGAGACTCGGCAAGGGCAAGTGGCTAGATGGATTGGACCCATCTACCCCCAAGGTTCCCAGGCCAGGGTGTTGGGGCAGTCAACATTCCAGGATATCAGCAACCAATCACTAATTGGTCAATCAAATCACAGCTTGGTTCTGGCCCATGGGACCCCCAGGGTAGAAGGGAAGGGGTGATAACAGAGCTGGTTAACAGGTGATAACCAGGGGTGAGAAGGGAAGCGGCTTCCTCCTGCTCACCCATCCCTGACTCATTCTGCCACTATCAGCTAAGAGTGTGGCCCTTCAACCAGGCCTTGGGGCCTGAGGAGGGGTAGGGGGCAGGGAACGACTCTGGGGAGGAACAGGACATGGGGAGCAGGCGAGCCAGCCACAGACAGCGGACAGGGGCTGAGGCTGTGCTCCACAGTAGGGCTGGGGGCCTGGGCTCCATTCCCATCTCAACCACTCCCTTGCTGTGTGACCCTGGGCAAACCTCTTGGCCTCTCTGTGCCTCGGTTCCCTCAGTTACACAGTTGCTGTGGGGATTAAATGAGCTGGTACACATAAAGCCCTGAGAGCTCAGTGAGTTTTTGCTATCGCCATTAATCAGTGCTCAGCAGGGCTGCCCATCCGGCTCATCCTGGACGGTCCACAGGCCTCTGTAATTCCCCCTCAGCAGAAAAGACAGGACCCGGACAGCCCTCCCTTCCGTTCCTTCAGGGCTACCGTCCAGAGAGCTGCTTCGGGGACCGCCTGTTCCTGAGCAGAGTAATGGGTTTCACATAGCTTTGCCCAGGGCCTGAGAAGGGGGCAAGCCTAGGGTTTATTTCAAGTCTGTTTCCTACCAGCTTCCAGGGGCTCTTCCGTCACTGGGGAAGCTGCCTGTGTCCCACCCCCACACCCCCGAGGGTGCTGCATCTGTGACCTTGCTCTCCTTGGCCTGGACGTGGTGGTGGCAGGACCCCTGGAGTGCCCCAACTGTGCCAAATGCTGTGATGGCCCCACGGGACTCTTGCCTCTGGCTGAGCCAATGGGGAACCCTCAAAGCACCCGGACAGTAGTGGGTAGTGAGTCGGGGAGGAAACCAGCTCTGCCCAGCATGGGGCTCCACTGGGGCATCAGGGCTGGGCCTTGGACTCAGGAATAAACGGGCCTTGGACTCATAGGAATAAGCAGACCTTTGGGGGTGACTGTGGTGGGGTGGGGGTGTCGGTGGAAAGAGCAGTTATAGCCAAGGATCCTATTTTTGAGCAGATGGCTATTTTGGGAGCCCTGCTGCCCCTCGAGGGCCTGTGGATTTTCCATGAAGTAATGGCCTGGGCCTCCTGCTGCCTGGGCCCGCCCTGCTGCTGGCCGCTGCACTGGTGGAATAAGGCCCCATTCACCAGCGCGACCCTCAGCGTACTAATTGTGTACACAAGTTTATCTGACTGGGTGGGGAGGGGAAGGAGCCCGGCTGCCTGGAAGCTCTTACAATAAGTGTATTCTGAGCAAGAAAGGGAAGGGGCCGAGCAGAACAATAGGCTCACTGTGCAGCCTGGTTCCCTCAGGGACCTATGGCTGGGAGCAACGGAGGCTGGGGCCCATCCCATCAGGGGACCAGGGCCTACTTGGGGTGGCCAGGAGAGGTGACACCCCCAGGGACCCCTAAAGCCTGAAGAATCAAGACAAGGGGCCAGACACCTCCCTCCTGCTAGAGAATCCAAATCCTTCAGGTGTCCCACCTGGGGCTGAGACAGGATGGGCAAAAGGCCTCATCCCATAAGGCCCTTCCCTGGCTTCTGGAAGGAGGTGCAGTTGGGGCACTGGGGACCCTATTCCAGGCCTTGAGGCAGGCTGGGCCTCGGCGTGCTGCCGCCACCAGTCTGGGCAGGCTGTGGTGAGAGCCAGGTGATGATAGTGTCCTGAGCCCGCACGTACTTGAGCTCCTGGG
Organism: Homo sapiens; assembly: GCF_000001405.40. Taxonomy (NCBI): domain Eukaryota; kingdom Metazoa; phylum Chordata; class Mammalia; order Primates; family Hominidae; genus Homo; species Homo sapiens. Next base: position 38,721,675 of record NC_000019.10, on the reverse strand, counting down.
CAATGGCGGCGATCTGCTCCACGCGGTCCTGGTGCGCAGCCAGGTCGCTCTCGAAGGCCTCGTGCTTGCGAATGAGGGCTTTGATGTCCGATAGTGTGGCCGTCTCGTAGTCCCGGTGCTTCAGCATGGCTTCCTTCCCTGGTAGGAGCAGAGAGACGCTTAGACCACAGCACGGCAGCTGTGGGGCAGGAGTCTGGAGGGGCTGTCCAAGCAGAGGGAGGGAAAGAGAGACTGTGGACCCCACATCCTTCCATGCCAATGACAGTGGCATGGAAACTTCCAGAATCTTCTTCCGTACCCTCCAGGGATCTCTAAGCCCAACTGTAACCTGGATGGACCTGGATGGACACTTCAGGGTTGCTCAGCCTGAGAGAGAGATTCCATCTCAACCTGTGTGTCCTAAACTTAGCAACTTTTGTTAGTAGGAAACCATACAAATCGGGCCGTGGTAGCACGGCTTAGAAAGGTAGCACCTGTTTCTGGAGGGCTTTGATCCGGAGAAGCACCCGGGGTCAAAGCCCATGTCCCAGCAGGCTTGGGGAAGGGGAAGCATCAGAGCCAGCTTCTTCTAGGACCCTGACCCTGCACCCGCACAGGTGGTGGTCCTCTCCACGTCTAAGTGCCCCACGCTGTCCTAAGGTGTCCTGTGTGCATTGGGGCGGGCCCACCATCAGGCCCTTTAAAGGAAAGGAGGAACGCTGTTATTAGTCCCTGATCCTGGCTAATTACACATCCCAGAACCAAAGCTCAAGGAAGCCCTGCAAGCAAGTGAAGGTCTTTAGGGAACCGCAGGGAAAATGCCAGCCTGGGAAGGTGGCTGCACCCCAGCTCCTACAGGGGCCCTGCCTCAGGCACACCACCTTGGGCTTCCCCCAAGTGGTAGCGGAGATCCCCTCAGCTCTGTCCCAGCACCTGACAGCTGCCCGCCCAGTGCAGCCACCGAGGCCTCTCTGGGCCTGTGCCTTCATCTGTAAAATGGGGCCAGCCCCAGTACCTGTGTGGCATGGAACTATTCTCAAGTTTCAGTGAGGTGGTGTTCGAGCACAGCAGGCATGGAGCCAGTACCAGCCTCACCTCAGCCTCTCCCAGTCTCAACTGTCAGGCACCTACCAGACTCCCCACAGGATCGGCTCTGGCACTGATGGCCAAGAAGTGGGAGGCCTGGGAGACTCTGGCTCCACCGGCCCTGCTGCGCAGCCCTGGGGCAGGAGGCTCAGCCACAAGGCGGCCTTGCAATTCCCTTCTCCAACTGCTTTCTCCCAGGGGCAGGAACCAGAAACAGCAGGTGACATCTCCCTCTGCCTCCGCAGAGTCCTGGCAAGGGTGCACCGAGAGGATGTGGGCAGCGGACCATTGCCACAGCTATCTGGGATCCAGGCCAAGGGACAACTGGAGTGGGGACAAGGGGTCGTTCGGGGTTGGTCGTATTCCCAGGAAATCAAGTCCCTCAGAGAAGCATCCACGACGACCCTCCCGCTGCGGGCTGTGGGGGATGGTGAGGGGTGTGGAGTGAAGGTGGCCCACCCACCCCAGGGCGGAGGAGGCCGCTACGACCAGACCCTGGGGTGTGGAGGGCCTGCCTGTCCTGTTTCACGTAACTGCTACTTGAGAGGACAGAGGCTCTGAGTCTTGGGAATTAGTAGGCCAGCCTGCCTGGGGGCTCTGGCAGACGCCATGGGCAGACCCGCGTGGATGCCCAGTCAGGTAGGGGTGGGGCAGGGACGTGTGGAGGCCGCTGAACCAGCTGGGCCCTGGCCGGAGACTGAGCTGGCTTCTAAACACCTCAGGTGAAGGCTGCCCCAGAGCCCTTCCCAGGGGAGGAATGCCAGTGGGGCCACCACACCCAGCCCCTTGGCCTCAGGAAACCATCTGCAGGGCCTCATGGAGCCCTGTAGAGGGACTGAAGAGCTGATGGGTGGGCAGAAAGACCCCCAGAAGGTTCAGCCACAGGGCGACGCCCAGGCCTCCATGGATAAGGACGGCTGGAGCCACCTGAGCTGTCTGTTGAACGAATGAGTGAATCCGGGAATGGATGGAGGCCACCAACCACACAAGATGGCATCGGTGCTAACACGCTCTCCTCACATGGGTGCCTTTCTGCCAGGCAAGAGGGAAGTGCGGCACCCGGCCTGGCCAGGCCCTTCCTCCCTCACTATCCACTCTCTCACTCGCACTCTTTCCTGGTAGCAAAGGGGCTGGGCTGCTCTGAGGCTGGCAGCTGCCGCGGGAATGGCGAGCTGAGCTCATGTGAGGAGGGCACAAGCTGGGCCGTGGCCAGGGCTGCAGGCCGTGTGGAGCTGCACACTCGCATGCGGGCCAGGGTGGGGAGGGGTGAGAAAATGCACTCAGGAATGCAAGGAAGGGCTCAGCTGGGCGGAGTGGCGGCCGGAGGGCCAGGGAGACTGTGTTGGGAAGGTGGTGGCCAGAGTGGGAGAGGAGTCCTGTGAGTGGCTCTTGTGGCTCTCCCAGGCACTGGCAGCTTTCTGAAGGCTTCCAGACCCCTGGGATCTGAAATCTCAACCTTGGCATGACCCAAAAGAGGGCCAGGGACGTGATGAAATCCCACATCTGGAGCCAACGGCCAGGCAGCTGCAGGGCTGCCGAGAACAGAAAGCACAGTGGCGCTCCTGCAGGGGGAGCCAGGCCCGGGAAGGAGGCTCTGGGAAGGGATGGGAGGTGGGAGGAGCTCACAGGTGGGCCATGCTGAAGGGTGGGCCGAAGGCAGTGGGTGAGCACTGTCTGAGGGTGAGCACTGGCTGTGGTCCGGCAGCAGGCCCAGGAGGCAGGCCCTCCTCTAGCCTGAGGGACGTGCCAGTGAACATGGGCTCCCCAGCCTTCCGTCCACGCTCACAGAGGTGTGGGAGAGGGAAGCCGACTCTGAACACAGGGTGCGGGGGATGGAAGAGGCCTGCCCCACACACTCGCCCTGGATGGGGAAGACACGCAGAGGGGACAAACAGATGGGTGTAAGGTCACTTCCCTGAAGTGCTGGAGGGGGCTTGGCTGTGTTCCTGGATGACTGACAGGGTCCCACCTCTGAGGCGAGGGCAGACTGGGCAACAAAGAGGACCTGGCCCCTGAATGGTCCCTGCTTTCTGGGGCTGAAGGAATCCAAAGCAGCATTTCTTTCCTTTTTTTTTGAGACAGGGTCTTGCTCTGTCACCCAGGCTGGAGTGCAGTGGTACAATCACGGCTCACTGCAGCCTTGACCTCCCTGGCTCAATCAATCCTCCCACCTCAGCCTCCAAAGTAGCTGGGACCACAGGTGTGCACCACTATGCCTGGCTAATTTTATTATTCTAAAATTTTTTTGTATAGGCAGGGTCTCGCTATGTTGCCCAGGCTGGTCTCAAACTCTTGGGCTCAAGTGATCCTCCTGCCTTGGCCTGCCAAAGTGCTGGGATTACAGGTGTGAGCCACTGAACCTGGCTCTAAAGCAGCATTTCTGACACACACACATGCTCCCAAGCAGCAAGAAAGGGCACCTGAGAAACAGACCCAACGTGGCAGGGGGCTGTGTGTGCACACCCATGCATGCCTGAGAGACAGGAGGGGAGCACGGGAGCGGGGCTGGGCAGAGTGGGGCAGAGCTGGGCCGTACCGTCAGTCCAGGCCTCGTGGATGGAGGCCTTCTGCCGGAACTTCTCTGCCAGGTGGTCGAGCCGCTCCAGCCTGCGGATCTCATTCAGCAGCCACTCCTCGTAGCCCTTCTCAGCCTGCTCCAAGTGCTGCCAGCCATTGTTGATGTCCTGGGGCAGGGCAGGAGCAGGCAGGGCTATCACAAGGAAGTGGAGGCACCCAGGGGGATGTCTCCAAGGGATGCTGATGGGAAGGTGGCAGAACTTGGCTGGGGTCATGTCTGTGTCATGCTTTGCTATTATACCTGGATGCCTACACAGGGCCCCCCAGCACTCAGCAGGTACAATCAATTCTGGATTAACAAAATGAATGCGTGAACGGGTGAGTGCATGAATGAATGGATGAATACCATAGATGGGGAGGTGGTACCGTCCAGGGCGCACTGCCCCTCCGCTGATGAAGGGCCTCAAGCACATGGCGGTCATGCCATCATGGCAGACCACGGCTCCAAATTCACACCACTCCACACCCACACAACCCGTGGCAAGGATTTGGGATGCGTATAAAACCCTGGGTGTAAAATACAGTGAGTGAGGGCCAAAGGGGAGCACAATGCCGAGTGAAGTGCACCCCTCCCCGACCACTGCATCCGAAAGGCCATGCCATGTCCCACAGGACATCAACAACTTAGGAAAGATTACGCTGGCCAAACTGCCCACAGGCAGTTCTAGGGCTGCCTCTGCCCCTCACAGCTGCTCCCATGTGAATCCTGGTGCTCACCGAGACCATCTTGCCCTCGGAGGGCATGAAGGCGGGCCGGTTGCTGAGGCGCAGCTTGGTCTGCAGCGTGTTGAAGTTGATCTCCAGCTGGCACTTCTCCTGCACCTTGGGCGGCTTGTGCACACGCCGGTAGTCGCGGAAGTCCTCCAGCTTCTGCTGCATCTCCTGGATAGTCTTTTGGGGCACACGGTCCTCCAGCCAGGGGATGGTGCGCCGGATCCACTCCAGGAGCTGTGGGCCACAGAAGCCAGCGTGGCCTTTGTGGGGGACCCTCAGAGTGCTGACGGGCTGCCCCCCAGCTTATGGGCACATGGGATCTGGATCTTTGAGGGCCCCACCTTAGGGGGTTACCCCTGCTCCCCAGCCCAACTTCTCCACGATTCCTGCTAGAACCCCCAACCTGGAACTCTGGGAGCGTGGGCTCCCTCCCTGTCCCTGCATCACTGTACTGTTCTCTTGTTACTTCCTGTTCCTGCCTGTGCTTTTCTTTTTAAAGACAGGTTCACGCTTTGTCACCCAGGCTGGAGTGAAGTGGCATGATCATAGCAACCTCCCGGGCTGAAGCCATCCTTCCACCTCAGTCTCCCAAGTAGTTGGGACTACAGGTGCCTACCTCCGAGCCTGGCTGATTTTTATTTTAAGTTTTTATAGAGAAGGGGGTCTCAGTATACTGCCCAGGCTGGTCTTGAGCTCCTGAACTTCAAGCAATCCCACTTTAGCCTCCCAAAGTGGTGGGATGACAGGGGTGAGCCACCATGCCTGGCCCATGCCTTTGCTCTTAGTCTTTTCCCTCAGGTCTAAGAGGGGAAACCTCCACTCCCATGCCCCCGCCAAAAAGGTCCCTTTCCATGCTGTCACATGCCCCACTGCCGCTGTCTTCACTGAGCTCCATGCTGAGAGCCTGACTGCTTCTGGGCTCACTAAGTGCCTCAAGGGCAAGGCCGACAAGCCCACCTGGCTCAGTCTGGCTAGGCCAGTATGTGCACTGGGCCTGGGACATAAATTAGAAAATAAAATTGAAAAAGAAACAAACATATTCTTTTAGGAACTACTCAGATCTTTAATGGAGTGAGAAAGGGTAACAAACAGTTGGACATTCTAAAACAATTCTAGGCCAGGCACGCTGGTTCACACCTGTAATCCCAGCACTTTGGGAGGCTGAGGTGAGTGGATCACCTGAGGTCAGGAGTTCAAGATCAGCCTGACCAACATGGTGAAACCCCATCTCTACTAAAAAAAATACAAAAATTAGCTGGGCGTGGTGGTGCGCGCCTGTAATCCCAGCTACTTGGGAGGCTGAGGCAGGAGAACTGCTTGAACCTGGGAGGCAGAGGTTGCAGTGAGCCAAGGTCGTGCCATTGCACTCCAGCCTGGGTGACAAGAGTGAAACTCCATCTCAAAAAAATAATAAAACAATTCTAGAAGTACAAAATCAGTTATCTGCCAGCACGGACAAGCTGGAGAAGTGGTTCCCAAATGCCAACTTCTGGCAAAGTGAGAAATTCAAAGACAGAAATACCTCTGTGTGGATACATTGTGAGGCGTGCTGCCAGCTGCCCTTTCTTGGCAATGGCTGGGGTTCTAAGAATAACCTTTTTACCTTATCTTGGTGTTAGAAGTGCTGGTGGTAACAGATGGTAGTGTTTCTTTTTAAAACATCCGTAACTTGGCAAAATAAAAAGCTGGCCCTCTTAGGTTGGACATCCAATAGTTTTTCAAATTTTCCTGGTCTATGAGATTGCAAAATCTGGGAACCACTGGTTCTAGATGAGCAGTCAAACCACTGCTCTTTGGGAAATTTTATTTTATTTTATTTTTATTTTAATGGAGTCTTGCTCTGTCGCTAGGCTAGAGTACAGTGGCGCAATCTTGGCTCACTGCAACCTCTGCCTCCCAGGCTCAAGCGATCCTCCTGCCTCAGCCTCCCAAGTAGCTGGGACTACAGGTGTGTGCCACAACACCCGGCTAATTTTTGTATTTTCAGTAGAGACAAGGTTTCACCATGTTGGCCAGGCTGGTTTTGAACTCCAGACCTCAAGTGATCCACCTGCCTTGGCCTCCCAAAATGCTGCGATTACAGGTGTGAGCCACTGCGCCCAGCCTACGTTTATTTTTTAAATATGGAGATTTCAAAAATGAAGAGCCTCCAGAAGAGTTGTACTAACCACCCTTATTTCCAACTGAAGCATTGGGTTTGGACTCTAGAGCAGGGCTGCCTGGGTGAAGCCCAGCTCTCTGTCCCACTAGTCATGTAACAGCAGGCACGTGCCTGACCCTCCCTGGGCCTCAGTTTCCTCACTTGGAAAGGAGGATAATCCGAGTTCCCGTCTTGCTGGGCTGCTCGTTAAGCACCTGCACAGGGCCTGCTATCCTATTGGTTCCCAGGCCCCTCTCCATCCTTCTGAATCACTCTCTCCAGGGCCAGGGCACGGGAAGAGGGGCTTTCACAAAGCTCCCCAGGTGATTCTAAAGCACTGAGGTGCCCAGGAAACACTGTCCCTGAGCATCTCTGTAGGAACCCAAGCTCGGGAGCCCAGGGGCTGGCTGGCAAGGTGGCTGCCGGTCTGACCCTTAGCCTTGTGGAAGCAAACGGAGAGGTCGTGTACACACCAGCTGGCTAAATGCCATGGTCTGTGACCACGCAGCCTTTTCTAGGTCATCTCGCTGCCACACCTGCTTTCCCCCTGCAAGAGTCACAGTGACCTCTGGCTGAGGATAATGAGGTGGCCCTGACTTTCACTGGGGGAACACTCACGTCGCTGGCCAGCTTCTCGTAGTCCTCCATCAGGTGCTCGTTCTCTTGGTTGACAGCCAGCACCTTACAGATCCGGTTGGCGGCAGTTTCAGCCTGGAGGGGAGCACACAGTCAGGGCTGCCTGGGGGCTGGCCACCCTCCCTCCTGACGGGCACGTCCCTTGAAAGCAGCTGGTCCATGGCCCACGGAACTCCTCACAGAGGGGAAGGAGAGGAAGCACAGCTCCAGTGAGATGGTGCCCTGTCCCAATAGGCCTTGTTGGCATCCTCACTGCTGACTGCAAAATGCCCCTGGGTCCAGAAAGCCCAGACCCTGGAGGCACCGAGGAGGGTTGGGGAGCCCTCCCACTGCTGCTCGCAAACCCTCTAGTGCCCCACACAGAGGAGGGTGAGGCTGGACGGGTCGGCTGCGTTGGACCTAAGACTGCGGAGGAGTCTCTCCCGGTGGGAAGGTGAAAGGATGGGAAGCCGAGAGCTGGAGAGCTGGGGGCAACAGAGCAGGGGCGCCCGGGTCCCGGAGGAGCCTAGTGGTCCGTGCACAGGAGCACACTCAGGCCTGTCCACTCTCCTGCCTTGGAGGCAATGTTAATAGGAGCTCCAGAGGACAGAAGTCACCATCCGTGGGGCAGAAAAGTGCTGGGGCTTTGGAGGGTGAGAGTGGTGGACATAGTCCCTGGGCCTGAACTACAGGAGAGCGTCCTGCCCTGTCCTGCTAGGGGGCAGTGAACAGTGTAGAGGAGGCAGGGGGTGCACACGGGGAGAGAGAGACCAGGTACCTTTCAGGAAGCACAGAAAGGGTCCAAGAGGAGGAGTTGAAACGGCAACAGAACAGGAACAGAAAGAGTGAGGAGGGTCTACAGAGTGATGGGGAAGGAAAATGGAGAGGCTTGGCCAACGGCTCAGAGCCAGTGCTGCAGGCAGCGACGCCCAGCCTCTCCCCTCCACACATGGCACCTGGAGACAGGCGGGGAGGCGGCAGCCGGTGCTCGTGTGAGCGCACACACGCACGTGCACACCCCGCGCCATGCTGCGGGACACACACCCAGGGCCCCAGGCGGTGCTCCTCAGAGATGAGGTCCAAGAGGTTCCTCAGCCAATGAACATGGGCCCCAGGCCAGTGTGGAAAACACAGCCAGGGCTGCAGCTTGTGGGGGTCACAGAGGTCAGTCCCTGACTCCTAACTTGGCAGAGACAACTGGCACCCGAAACTCAAGTCCTCTCTGTGAGCACGGGGCTGCCGCAAGGCAAGGGAATCATGTTTCACCGCTGAGTTCCCGCATCCAGCTTGGGGCTCAGTGCACTGGCGGTGTTCAGGGTTGCTGAATGAGTGAGTGAATAAAGGAACGAGGCGGGAACGCTTCGGTGACTAGAAATAAATGATCTCAGGACAGAATGGGCACACTGGCGCTAGACCTGGGGTTCACTCTGCGTTTATAAAACATGAACCCCAGAGAGCACTCTTGCAAGAGCTTGGACTGGGTCTCTGGGGAAACGAGGCAGCAGGAGCAGCACCACGGGGCTGTCCTGAGGAGCACACAGGGACCCAGCACTTTCCTTTCTGACCAGCCAGCGCCCTGCAGCCGGGCCTCCACTACCCCCTCAGAGAGGGGCCAGTGACAAGCCTCCAGGCCCAGTGCCTCAGCACCCACCCATACTGTCCTGGGCTTGCCTGCCAGTCCCTGCTCCCCCAAAATCCCTCAGAGCCTCCAGACTGGAGTTCAGCCCTAAGCACAGGGGAGCAGTGTGGGTAGAAAGAAAAGCAATCTGGTGAGGCCATGTGGTGGGCAGGGGGCTGGTTCGGGGCCCGTAGGGGTGAGTCCAATGGCAAACATGCTGTTAGTTGGGGTCTGTGGTGACGAATCGTCCATTGCTGCTGGTCCCTGCCCACCCTCCCGCGGGAGTGTGGGTCAGGGGTCCTCCCTCCACCCTCCTGGCCCGTGCCCTCTAGCAGAACACTCCAAACACAAGCTCCAATCGCATGCTGAGGAGGTGAAGAGGCCTTTCTGGCCCGAGGCTGGGAAGAACCACACTCCCCACCACTGTGGCTCCCTGGCAGCTGCCTAAATGGCAGCTGCCGTGCCAGGCACTGTGCTAAGCCCTTTGCCTGCAGGAGCTCGTTTCACGCCCAGAACAATCCTGTGAGACCGAACTACAGCGATGCCCATTTCACAGGTGGGGAAGCTGAGGTCAAGTGACCCACCCAAGGTCACAGTACCAAGAGGTGGCAGAGTGGGGCCAGGCCAGACTGACGGTAGGTAATGCACCTGCTAGTTGGGAGGCTCAAAGCAGGGGTCCACAGAAGGTACGGCCCCCCCCTTCTAGTTTTAGGAATAGCTGTTTCCCTAAACTTCAATTCCTCCTCTCTCAAATGGGGCTAACTGCGCCTAGCCCTCCTGGGGGTGTGCACAGGGACCCTCTGGAAGCCTGTGCATGTGAAGGCCTTGGAGGGTGCCTAGCGTGTAGTACATGTTCAGTAAACAAGAATCGATTCTGCCTCCTCCTCTGAACCTGTGCCAACTGCTGACACTTCAAAGCAGGCATCGGGAATGCTGCCTGAGATACTTCAGAGACCACAAGGCAAGCGGGGGGAGCAGTGCTTGGGCCTCTGCGTGAACGCTGAGGGCCCGGCAGGAGCTGTGAGGCAGCATGAGGTCAGCTGGGCCCAGGAGGGCGGCCACTGCCACGCAAGCTCTGTGGGCTCTGCCTGGCCTCTGGAGGGCTGGGACCGTGAGTGCAGGTTGGGCTGCACATGCTGAGCCTTTCCTGGCAGGAAGGAGCTGCAAAACGGGTAAAGCCCAGTGCTCCCCACGAAGGGCTTGGCAGGGGCAGGCAGGCAGCCCTGGTGCAGATGATGGACAGGGCGAGTGGGAACGCCGGGCAGTCAAATCCCAGCTCTGCCATTGACTGTAATGCAGGGCTTCAGTTTCCCCGCCTGAGAGCCTAGGATGCCACCACCCACCTCCCAGGGTGGGCTGTGTTCAAACAGAGGTCTGTGACTCCTCAGCACAGGCCCAGCACCGGCCAGGCGGGAAACCTGCCCCAGGGGACCTTCCGAGTCAGAGGCCGGCAGGGTCAGTCTGTGTGGTGTGGCGGCCCACGGCCTGGCCAGGGCTCCAACCACAGATGGCCAGCGGTGATGCAAGGGCGGTGGTGAAGGCAGGTCTGCAGCCCCAGCAGCGAGGTGTGCCTGGCCCAGCTCACCTTCTGAGCCCCCGAGAAAGCGTGGTAGAAGCAGGACACGTAAGTCATGATGGCCTTCTCATCTGGCCTCAGAGTGCCCACAATATCTGCACAGAGAGAGAGAGAAAGAGAGAGAGAGGCAGGAGAGAGTGAAAGACGCAGGGAGGGCGGCCGGGCCGGCCTGAGGCTCATGCAGGAGGAAGAGCACTTGCTCTGGACTGGAAGCCAGCCCCAGGCCTGCGTGGACATGCCTTGCGGGGTTTTGTGGAGTCCGAATAGGGTGCATTCCTTTTCTAACCGGCCTGGGCTGGAGACAGACTAGCTGTGGGCCCTATAAAGGCAGCTTTGTTTTGGGTTGGAGGAGTCAGTTGCTAAATGATCTGTCTGAAAATGTGAGTGAGCAGCTCCCACCACGGAGTAAGACCCTAAGGGGCTCCCATGGCCCTCAGAGTGGAACATGAATTTCTTATCCCACACCACAAGGGTCTTGTTGGGCCTGACCCATCACTGCGTGTCACTCACTCCTCTCTAGCTGGTCCCTGAATACGCCAAGCTTCTTCCTGTCTCAGGGCCTTCGTAGTGCTTCACCCTCTGCCTGGAACACCTGTGCCCCAGCCTGCATCTAGCAGCTCCTGCTGCAAGTACCTGCTCACTTCACCCCTCCACATTGACAGCACCAGCTGAAGGTCACCCCAGCCATCTCTGTCCCCCATCTGGCCCCATTTTCTCTATTCCACTCCTGTGACAGGCCTGCTGTATGTTTCTCCCACTAGCATGGAAGTGCCCTGAGAACAGGGACCTTGTCTGACTCAGTCACCAGGGCATCCTCAATGCCTGGAAAAGCCTGGCACAGATGAGGTACCCAATAGGTGTGTGAGCTAAGGCTGAGGGGGCAGCAACGCCAGGGAGCTGGGGGTGGCTTCCAGTTGGAGAGAGGCCACTGCCGTCTGCAAGAGAAATGAGGTGAGCACGGGAGGCGAGAGGCAGCGGCGGCATTGCGCGGTGGCGGCGAGGAGGGCCTGCCTGGCCCTGCTCGGTACCTTCTGCGCTCCTGAAAAGGCATGGTAGAAGCTGGACACATAGGTCATTATGGCCTTCTCGTCGGGCCGGGCCGTGTTCACGATGTCTGCAAGTGAACAACAAGGGTTAAACTGCCCGAGTAGGGCGGGGGGTGGAGGCGTCACTCACTGGGATCCACGGGCTCCCAAGGCCACGGCCTTGGGGGAGAGGGACCTGCAGAGTGACGCGTGACTTGGGTGGGCTCAGCCACACCCTCAGCCCCTCCCTCTCCCATGGGTCTGGAAAGGACAAGGCTGTGGGAAGCGGATTAAAATGAGGCCACTTCCTCTCTCTGAGAATGGCCTCAAGGAGCAGCAGGACAGTCAACTCCAAGGGCCACCAGAGGCCAGAGACACAGGTCCCAGCTGGGGCAGTGCATGGCTAGGAAATGGGGCAGTGCATGGCTGGGAAATGGAGCAAAGCCGGAAAAGGAAAAAACAAAACACTCCACTTTGTCGGGCTCCATACTCCATGCCTGCTGCAGGTAGGGAGGGAGAGGCCAGGGTTGCTCGCAGGAAGCCTGAAGCACCCCTCCTCAGCCACCTTGCCCTTCCTGGGCCCTGAGGAGATGCACCCTCAGGAGAGTTGATCCTTCAGCTCCCCCTCCCCATACGCTTCTTCATCCCTGAAGGCATCTGGCCAGCCCAGGCTACCCTTGCTCTGTCTCCCAGGGCGACATGGCTGTCCCCAGTTCACCCAGAATCATTCAGCCCTTCTTGCTGGCTCTGCCAGCTCCCCAAGGTGACCCAAAGCTCTGATGTGCCCACAGCCCCTTGCCCGAGGCCAGCCCTGGACAGAAAAGGCCATCAGGAAGCACAGTGGTGGCTGAACAGAAGAGATGACTTACCCTCTGCATCCAGCATCTTGGGGATGTCGAGGTATTTCTCAGCCACTTCGAAGGCATTGTTCAGGTTGGTGACAGGGTCGTCCTAGAAGGAGGCAAGTGGGGACAACAAGAACTCCGTCAGGGCAGGGTGCAGGAGCAGGAGGGAGGCAGGGCTGGCCCAGAGGGAGAGACCCGGGAGGGCGAGGGTTGGGGGTTTCTTCAGGCAGTTCTCAGCCACGTGTGATGTGTGAGCGGGAGGGCACCGCCTGGATAAATTCAATTCCCACTCACAGGAGTGCCTCGTGAAATCTTTGTGGGGCAAACCAGGGCTTTTTCTCCAGAAAAATGCAGGTGTACTCTTTTCATACAATTTCCAGCCACCCACAGACCCTAGCTTAAGCCCCTTGCCCTAAAACCTGGTTTTCACATTGACTGGAAGATGTGGGCCAGGCCTGAGAGAGCACTGGGGACTGGGTAAGGGGAGCAAACCGAGAGGTCCCAGGTCCCAACCACCCTAAAGTGTCCCCCAGCCCCCTCACAGGCTCCCCACTGCTTACAGGACTAAAGCCCACTGCACTCCAACTCTCCCTGGCCGGGGCCCAGCTCTCTTGCTCACTGTGGCTGGAACGGGCTGGGTGCCATCTGGTGCCTCCCCCAGGAAGCCCTCCTCTGGCTCTAAGCTGCCTCTTCTTCCGGGACCTTTCCTGGCTCCTGCTCGCTCGGGGTACACTAGCCTCCTCCGCAGCACTGATCTGACCCCATGCCCTGCCACCCCATTCAGCCTGAGCACATGTACACGGCCTGGTGTGGTGCTTTGCTTTGGACACAATTTTTGTCCTGCCTTCCCCCACGAGGCTGGCAGCTTCTGGTGGCCAGGGCCTGGATCCATACAGGCTTTGTACAGGCAAATGACAGCAGGACCCTGCATGGGCAACATGGGCTTGTGGTGATGGTTTGGAATTCCTTGCCCTCTGCCCCTTTGGGCAGAGGAGGTTCTAGAATCCAGAAGATTGAGGAAGGGGAGTTATAAAGCATGGCTGGCCAGGCCCTTAAATAACCCCGGGTTGGTTGCAGTGCCATGGAGGGAGACTGGACAGTCCACGAGGGGAATAAGGGAGGTGAGAGTCAGCCACCGAGCCAGGGGTTGCGGAGAGCCTGCACAAGGCTCTCCCAGGCTGCCCATCTGCGTGCAGAACCCAGATCTGGAGGCTGGCGATGGAAGGGCATGGGGATGGTGACCCGGAGTTAGGGGGTCAGACAGGGCACGTCTGTGGGCCATCAAGGGGAGCTGGAGACACTCACCTTCCTCAGCTTGTCATACTCAATCAGCTCTGGTCTGTGCCGGTGGATCAGGGCATTGAAGGCAAGACCATCCTTCCAGCTGGGGAAGGAAAGGCAAAGGTTATAGGAGGGCCCGCTCACTGTCATGAGAGTGCCGTATGGCCCTGTGCACCCACAGCAGTGACTAATTCCCATTCACTGCAGTCTGGCCTGTGCCAGGCACTGCATGGAGACAGTGTGGCAGAGAGGCTGCAAGCATGACCTCTGGGGCCAGGCAGTCTGTGATCAAATCCTGACTCTTCTGCCTACTGACAGTGTGACCTCGGGTAAGCCAGGCTATCTCGGTTTCCACATCTGTATGATGGGGATAGTGACATACCTGCTACATAGGGCTGTTGTGCGGATTAAATGAGTAAATGCTTGGATCAGTGCCTGACTCCTGACAACTGCTTTATAACTGCTAGCACCTTCCATGGGAGGCCGCCCTGAACCAGACAGGCCGCTTCGGGGGAGGTGGCCACTGCAGGATGCTGGTGTTTGTGCTGTGTGGCCTCCACACCCTGGCGGACCTGACTTACAGGAAGGCCAGTCCGTGGGCTGGCTAAATGCCAGGATTTCACTTGGCATGCTGGTCTCTGGAGGAAAGAGACCTTCCCCAAGGCCACAAGTTGGTCAGTTACAAGCTATATGGGTCACATTCTCCTCCCTGAGACCCTCTAAGGGTTGGTTCCCTCTGAGGTCAAGCTCGATGTCACCTCCTCAGAAAGGCCACCCAGGGAACTTTCTTCATCTGACTTCCCTGTCTTTGTGCAGCACTTCTCACTGAAGTTATGCTGCAGGATTACTGGCCGCTGTGCTAACAGCTGGTCCCCGCGCTGTGGTGTAAACTTCCCACAAATGGGAACTTTGTTTGGGTGCCACTGTATCTCCACTAACGGCATGCAGCGGGCATGCTAGATACTTACTAGTTGAAGAAAATGAATGGAAACTATAGAAAGATTCAGTCAGTTAGTGGCAGGAAAAAAAAGAAGACACACAGAGAAGAGTGACCAAGGGAGGGACCACATGCTATCAGGGTGAGCACGATGGGAAAAGCCCTCTGTACCCAGCAAGGGTCCCAGAGAGCCTGAGGCCGCTGCAAACCCCATGAGGCCCTGCTCTTCATTCCTGTGCGGGCCATCCAGGAGACTCAGAGGGTGGAGCCACAAGGCAAACCGGATCTGACCTCAGGACCGCCCCCAGAGCCAGTGCTCCCAACCACCAGGCAGGCCTGCCTCTTGCCGCCCCCTGGACCTCATGCGGCAGTGCCCATGCTCGCCTCAGCTACGGGGATGGTGGACATGTCTCATCTCCCGCTCACCCTGAGGGAAGCAGGTTCATGGTGGAGCTGAGGCTTGTTCATCTTAGCAGCCACAGAGTACATTTTTCCCCAACACTAAATTTACTAGCAATTCTAAAAACAATTCACTCCTGAGCTGTCAAAATAAAGGAAGAGGCCAGAGGCAGGCAGTGGCTCACATCTGTAGTCCCAGCACTTTGGGAGGCCGGGGTAGGAGGACTGCTTGAGCTCAGGAGTTCAAGTCCAGCCTGGGCAACATAGGGAGACCCTGTTCCTACTAAAAATAAAAATTAAAAATTAGCCAGGTGTGGCTGCATGCACCTGCAGTCCCAGCTACTTGGGAGGCTGAGACAGGAGGATCACTTGAGCCTAGGCCAAGGCAGCAGGGATGAGTGATCACACCACTGCCCTCCAGTCTGGGTGACAGCACAAGACCCTGTCTCAAAAATGAAAAGCTTTATTGTTGCTTCTGAGAGTCACCTTGCCTGGGGACGAAGAACGTTCTATTAGGCCGGCGAGAGGGCTGACCTTACTGCCTTCAGCCAGGATGGCTGGGAAACTGCCTCCTCTTCCTCAGAGAGGACCAGGTGACCTTCCCATGGGCTTGTAGGGCCCGTGGCCAGGGAGGGGCTGACTGAGGGCTGGCATCTCACAGACCACGACAAAAACACAGCAAACAGGGCAGGTGGGAGGAAGGATCTCAGGTTCCTAGAGGAAAGGAGAGGATGACCAGGACTGGCGCTTACCTGATGTGGAAGTTCTGCACATTGACGTTCTTATACGGGGCTGTCTTTCTCTGGCACCAGAGAAGGAGCCCTTCCTTGGCCGAGGTCTCTGCAAAACACACAAAGACAGTGAGCACTGGCTCAAAAATAAACCCTCAGAACTCAGCCCAAGTTGGATGGGACTTTCGGCTCAGGCCTGGGGTCAAACGAAACCCAAGGGGAGAGGATATCTGTCCTAACAACAGCAGCAGTGATAGCAGCGGGACAGCCACTCCCATTCCGGATGCAGACGGATGCTGCCAGGCCCAACTGCCAGGACACACGGCCCTGCTTAATCCTCACGGCCCCGAGGAGAGTCGCTTGACCAGGGCTGCCCCAGGAGGTGGTGGTGTCAGGGCCTGAATCTGTGCCATGTGCCTGGCCACCAAGCCTGTGCCTTTCACCACCAGAACACACTGCAGACAGGCCCTTGATACCGGCCTTGGCCTCTTTTGAACAAGGTGAAATACCAGCTGTAGAGAGGCCTAGGGGGCCCTTCTGTTCCCCGTGGATAGCTCGGCTGTCCTCACAGACCGGGAGCCCTTCGAGGGCAGGAAGCACATCTCTCCCAGTCATCACTGCGACCTGGCACCTGGGAGCCCCTGCACGCTAGCCCAGGTGGCTCTGCCCATCCTGTGTGCACACAGGTGCTTGCAGGGAAGCGAAATTGTCCATTCCTGGACGGCCTGAGCTCATAACGGGTCCATGGGGGCCAAGTTTCAAGGATGGGGATGTCAAGCAGACAGAGAACCAGGCCCAGGCCCAACTCTCTCACTAGTCTGTTCTGGGACTTGGGTTCCTGGACTGTAAAACGGGCCCAGCCATCCTAGCCCATCTCATGAGGGTGGCGTGAGGGTCCACTGAGATGAGGCTGTGAGAGCAAAGGCACTCGGAAGGCACTGGAGCCAAGAGGCAGGCAGCTGGGAGGAGCCTCCCTTCACCTGCCACCCACTGACTACCCCTGCAAGGGCCAGGCCCTGTGAGTGACCCCAAGGAAACAGGAAGAGGCTTGAAGCATGAAGATCACACTTCAGCTCTCCTCTAACCCGCCCTGACTCAGGTGGGAAGCGGGGGCAGTACAGGTGGCTGTCACCTTCCACGGAGATGTCCTGGATGGCGAACCTAAGGATGATGGTCCAGATCATTCCCAGGGTCATCTTTGCGTTGCCGTCCACAATCTCTGCACACAGGGAAGGGGGCAGAGGGCAGAAGGTCGTTAAAACCAGAGTGAGGCTCCTCCGCCCAACCTGAAGGTGGCCTTCCAGCCCCATCTAGAGAAAGGCTCCAAACCACCCCCTGGTTGCATCTCCCAGGCCTGTCCTCCTCCACCTCCCTCAGGAGAAAATGCAGGGAACAGTCTCTAGGCAGCACTGTCCCAGAGCCTCCTGCTGCTGAGCGCCTGCAGGCTTCTGGCCACAAGGGTCCCTGGCCCCGCAGCCAGCTCCTTCTCCTGACCCAACTCAAAAAACCGCTCCTCCAAGAGGCTGGTCCCAGGCGTGTGGCCTCTGTTCACACCTCTCTCAACTCTCAGTGCTCTGTACATTTCTGCCGTAATCTGCGTACCTCCTGACTACAGGGGGGCACCCCGGGCCCCCACTCTCAGGGCAAAGGTGGTCTTTTTCATCTCGCAGTCAGCAAATGTGCACTACATTATTGTTTATTGTGAATCTGTCCACTTCCTTCCAATCCTACTGCCGACACTCTCCACCAAGCCACTGTCATCTCCAGAGCTCAATGCGGCTGCCTCCTATGTACCCTTCCCGCCCATAATCCACATCGACACAGCAGCGAGCATGGTTGGTTTCCTTCTTTTGAGACAGGGTCTGGCTGGCTGGAGTGCAATGGTGTAGTCATAGCTCACTGCAGCCTTGACTGCCTGGGCTCAAGCAATCCTTCTGCCTCAGTCTCCCGAGTAGCTGGGACCACAGACGCATGCCACAACATCTTGCTAGTTTTTAAACTTTTTGTAGAGGCTGGGTCTTATTATGTTACCCAAGCTGGTCTCAAACTCCTGCTCAAGTGATCTTCCTGCCTTGGCCTCCCAAAGTGCTGGGATTGCAGGTGTGAGCCACCATGCCTGGCCCACAGGGAAAGGGCTTGCCCTGAAGGCCCAGGCCCTGCCATCCTGCTGGAATTCTCTAGCTGCATCCTCTGGGCAAGCCAGGCTCTTTCTTGCTTTGATACGCTCTGTCCACTCACAAAGCACGCCCCTAGCCTGCGACCCTCAACTGGCTGGTCCTTCTCATCGTGTAAGCTTCTGCTTGTGTCACCTCTCGTGGTGGCTTCCCTGACTGCCCGTCCCAAGGAGCTCCCCAACCCGCCACCCAGTTCCTCTCCCTGGCCCCTGTGCTGCCCCAAGGCATCACTAGTGAAATCACATGTTGGTCGGGCTGTTTACTTGTTCACTGTCTGCCTGCCCTCGTGAGGGCGGGGCTGCTCTGACCACCACTGGATCCAGTGCCTGGAAGGCCAGTGAGGAACAAGCATGGCTGCTGTGTTGTCAGGAAGGGGAGAGCACGGGCCTGAGGCCAGACTGCACGCTTTCTGAACTAACCTAAAAACAAACATTTGCGGCCGGCTGTGGTGGCTCACGCCTGTTTAGTCCCAGCAATTTGGGAGGCTGAGGCAGGTGTGGATCGCCTGAGGTCAGGAGTTCGAGACCAGCCCGGCCAAGATGGTGAAGCCCCGTCTCTACTAAAAACACAAAATTAGCCTGGCGTGGTGGCGGGTGCTTGTAATCCCAGCTACTCTGGAGGCTGAGGCAGGAGAATTGCTTGAGCCCGGGAGGCAGAGGTTGCAGTGAGCTGAGATTGCACCATTGCACTCCAGCCTAGGTGACAAGAGTGAGATTCCATCTCAAAAAAAAAAAAAAAAAAATTGCTGAAACTTCTCAAAAGAAGGGCTTGGACCACACCTTCTTCAGCCTCAGTAACTTAAGAGAAAAATCATCTCTGCAAGGCCCAGGACAGCTGTGTGTCTGCGGCTGGGTGAGAGAAGGCAGTGCCTCATCCCAGAGTCCATCAGCCAGCCGTGCCTAGGGCAGTCCTCCCAACTTGTCAACACGCCATATGCAAGGGGCATGATGGAGTGGCTTCCAAAGAAGACAGAGGGGCGCCACTGCTGCAAGCACTCTCGGGGAAGGGCTGGGCACAGGGGTGAGTTCCAAAGCTAACTGCAGAGCTGGAGGCCCAGGACACCACAGGAGACCCTGCTCACTGACCTCTGAGCAGAATACTCCAGGGCAGGCTTGCTTGGAAGCAGGTGGAGAGGTCACAGAGAAGATGGGGCTCACCTTCCCCCGGGGACACACCCAGAGGAAGGGGGTGTCCATGAGCCACAGCTTTCGGGTTTTGAGAGGAGGAAATATGCTCATTCTGCTGCCCAGAGACAGGGGAGGGACCCAGTGTCCACCCTGTCCTAGGGTTCAGAGCCCCAGACCCAGAAACTGAGCAGCACCACCTGCCCCTTAGTGCAGCGAGGCAGCTCGAGCCTCAGGAAATCTATTCTGTGCACCTCCTGAGGGCCGGGCCTGCAGAGCTGGGCAAGGCCGCAGCTCCCCGGCTCAGCAAGTACAGGTGCAGCTGGTAACGGAGGGCTTATGGAGTTCCGGTGAGGAGAGGAGGATGGCGTTTCTCATGACACATCCACCAGCTGCTTCTCTGACCTGCAGCTGTGCCTCCGGCCCCTCTCATCACCCCCACGGGAAGCCAATGCTCCCGCGAATGCCCAATCATGTGGAAGGACAGGGGGACAGGGTGGGGCGGGGTTCTCAGGTGCCTTGAGCCCCAGGAACGCCTCCATTAGGCTTTGTTCCAAGGCCCCACAGTCACAGGGATTGGGAGTGAACCAATTTGGGCATGAACAGAGAACATTTTTAGACCAAGTTTTTCTCCAAATGAAAACTGATGACTGACATGGGTCTCTCCTCTAACCCCTTCTGTATTTACAGACTAGCATTTGAGCAAAATAAATGCAGCTGTGAGAAGCAGAAGGCTGGAACAGAGCCTGGAGGAAAGACCCATGCAAGGACAGAAAATCTCAGGGCCTGACTGAATTTTTGGGTTGTGATTTTTTTAAACAAACACCAACCACCTCGACTGTGGCATGCAAGGCTTGGCACCCCTCATCGCAGAGGTCCTGGGCCGGGGCAGAGCCTTGGAACTCAGCACACACATTCTGGCCCGGAGTCTTGGCCAAACTCTCAGAGCCCTGTCATTAACGGCAATTAGTTTACTTTGTTTTTCTAGAAGCTGGGACAACATGGATGTCAGGGTGAAGAAATCTTACTCTGACTAATGAGTGGACTGCGAGCTCATGCTGCTGGGGCTCCATCAGGCCTCGCCTGTCTCTAAAAGCGCCTGGGAGCTCAACCCAGGGGCCCCTGCTGAGAGCCTGCTGCTCTAGTGAGGGCCTGCAGGTAGTGGACTGTGGTCCTGGTTATCTACGTGGGGCCCAGGAGGATCCTGGGGTGGTCAGAGGCAAAATTCTCCAAGCCCATGCACACAGGGCAAAGTCTAGGCACTGACCTTTGGCCGTGCACTCCCTGTCCCAATGCCTGACATGGGGCCTCCAGTCCTTCTCTGATACCGGGCAGGGCATAATGAGAAAGGTGTTCCTGGTACAGAGAGAGGCCATGGCACATGTTTGTCACTGTCTGCTGAGCCTGGCACAAGGAGAACCAGTGAGGGCGACCTGAGTCCGAGTCAAAACCATTCCTCCCCCTGCAGAAGCCGTCGCCCCCGTGGTTGGGTGGGTTGCACTTCCTAGATTTGGACTGCGCCCACCGGATTTTTCCAAGGGTTTGGGGGAGCTTGTGGGCCCAGCATCATATCAAGAGCAGTTGTTGTGATCACTGCTGAGTATGTACTGGGGCTCTGAGTGCCCCAAGCGCCCTGCCACCAACAAAACTTCTCTTCAGGATGCAGATGTTGTGCTTCAGAGCCTAAAGGTCAGAAACCGAGCAGGACCCTCGCTGCCCCACCTCCAGCTCACCTTCTGCCCCGATGGAGACCAGCTTGACGCCTTTGCTGGCAATAAAGTCCAGCGCTTTGTTCACATTGTTGATTTTGTGCACTCTCATCTTCCCCCGCTCCGGCTTAGGTAACCGCTCCCCTGAGAAGTGCACAAAGAGAAAAGAGGGGGCGAGACAGAGAGAGAGAAAGGGAGAGAGGGCGAGAGGGAGAGAGGCTTTAGAGTCTCCTCTGTTCTCCAAAAGCAGGTTCCTCTGCTGGCCCACCAGGCCACTCTGGCCCCACCCATCAGACCACCGTGCAGCTATTAAGGGGTGCCCTCTCCTCCCCAGGAGCAATGGGACAGCTGGGTGGGCAGGGTCTCTGGGGACCGCTGTGGCAGAGCACCTGTGCCAGGGCTCGGCCGCACTGCGTGGCTGGGAGTCTCACCTGATATGACCTCCAGGAGCAGCATGAGCTTGAGCCCGTCTCGGAAGTCCTCATCAATGTTCTCGATCTGTGTGCCTGCCTTCCGCAGGTGGGAGTTGCACCATGCCGTGAAGGTCTGGGGAAGCAGAACAAAGGACAGTGCGCAGAGTCAGCCTGGCTGTCGGGGCTCTCTCCACACACCTGCAGGGCCGCAGCTCTGACCTCAGGAGAACCGCAGCTGCCACGGAGCACTCGCCGACACACACCGTACATGGCCGATACACACATTGTTTCTGATCCTTACAGTGACCCCGGGAGGCAGATGTGAGGAAACTGAGGCTCGGGGTGGTTAATGACCCATCACAAGACCATCCAGGCGGTAAGTGGCAGAGCTTGGATTTGAACCCAGGTCTGTCAATTTTGGCAACATGTGCTTTTTCCACACCCCCAAGCTGCCTCAAGGGAGACCAGTACGCACACCAGACAAAAGCGCCTCAGCCCGCCGCCGGCTCACTCAGTCACACAAACATGACTGAGCACCAGGCTCGGTGGTGTGGAATGAACAGGTCGGGCTCCTGCCCTCATGGGGCTTGTTTTCTTGATGAAGGCCAGCCCTTCATCTGCCAGCTAGACCCAAAGGCCCCAGCTGGACCCTGGCTTCCGTGACCCGTGGCTGCTCTCCTCAGGCAGGAGCTCAGGCTGCTACGTTCCAATCACGTGCACAGATACAACCCAGAACAGGAAAGTGGCAGGAAAAGAAAAGCTCCCATAAATGCAGGATTTCCTCGAGTCTCTCTTTGAGCTTTGGGCAGCCCAAGAGCAAGCCCTCCCAGGAAAGGCCAGGAACACAGACCCTCTGAGCCCTGCACACACGCCTGTGTCGCCTGGCTTCCTGCAAGCAAGATGCCCCCGTCCCTCTGTCTCCTGGAGAACATGCCATGCCCTATCCTTCCTATTCTTTTTTTTCCTTTTTTTTTTTTTGAGAAGGAGTCTCGCTCTGTCACCCAGGCTGGAGTGCTGTGGCGCAATCTCAGCTCACTGCAATCTCTACCTCCTGGGTTCAAGCGATTCTCATGCCTCAGCCTCCTGAGTAGCTGGGACTACGGGTGTATGCCAACATGCCCATCTAATTTTTGTCTTTTTAGTAGAGATGGGGTTTTACCATGTTGGCCAGGCTGGTCTTGAACTCCTGGCCTCAAGTGATCTACCCGCCTCGGTCTCCCAAACTGCTGGGATTACAGGCGTGAGCCACCACACCCAGCCCTATCCTTCCTATTTTTAAGACTCAGTGCAGCTTAGAGGAGGCTGGAAGGCAAGTGGGAGGCAGGCCCCCTCACCGGGGTCAGGCAGCCGCATCTAAGGAGAATGTTTCTGATGATCAACTGGAAGGGATGGAGGGTACTAAACAAGAAGCCGAAGTCCCTGACCCTAACAGACCAACGATGCTGACAGGGCATGGGTACACCCAAGCACAGGGCACGCAGCCTCCTGGTGGTGCCCGGCTACTCAGCCCCCTGCAAGCTGGGGCATGCTCATAGACATCAGGGCCACAGAAGATCTCAGATCAGTTAACACCAACACGCCCAGGCGCCTTCAGGGAAACCAGCCCACGCACCCTCCTGCAACAGGACCTGGGAAAAACCCCAAGTGTCTGCTTCTTATAGGAACCCCTGTACCCCACCCCCTCCATCTGCAGGGGCCAGTGTAGAAGCAAGCAGACAGCCAGGGACACACAAGAGCACATTCCACGCCCCGGGTGCAGGCGGAGGCCATGCGGAGGACAAGGGGCTTCTACGGGGGCTCTGACCAAGCACCATGTGTTTTGACAACTGTCGCCAGCCCTGCTCATTCAGGGAGACTCGACACAAAGCCCCCTCCCAGACAAAGCAGCTGCCTAATTAATACGCCATACCAGTGTGGACCCAGCATGGGGCTTCCTTCCAAATCCGAAAGGGGGCAAGAGTGGACAGCTAGACCATCCCCCACCACCACCTCTCACCATGGAGAATTCCTCTACCTGGGAGACAGAGACCCCTCCTGGTGGCACAACGCTGTTCCCCCACTAAAGATACCTCCGCCCCGCCATGTAGCCAACCCTGGGCACCCCTCAAAAGTCAGGCCAAATGCCGTGCCTGGAGGGTACCCGCACCATGGCCTCCCTGACCCGGTTCTGCCTCAGACAGCCTCCTCCCTGCAGACCACATCACGCCCTTGCTCTCTGGTCTCTAACAGTTCTTGTCTCCAACAGTTCTTGTCTCCCTCCCTCCCACGGCTATGAACTCCTTGAGGGGAGGGGAGCCAAGGCAGGTTCTCACTGCGGAGAGTACTAACTCACCTTCCCAGCCTCCCCCATACAATACTGAATTCAGAGAGCCCAGGGCGGGAACCATGCTTACACCACTCATGTGGGCACGTCACCTAACCTTCCTAACTTCCATTTCCTCCTCTGCAACGTGGGGATGAAGACCCCACCTAGGCCACGGGCAGTGTGAGGACTCAAGATGGCCATGCCTGCAGCGTGCATGGCAATGCTCAGGAAGTGGCAGCTCTCTGGATGGCCCTGTGCCTCCCAGCATCTCCTCCCTCCCTGCCCTGGTCTCAGGAGTCCTGCCCACCCCCTCCACAGTGTGCCTGCTCTGTCCCCGGCCCACCCTCAGCACCTCTCCCGTAGCAACCCCCAGTCACTTTTAGTCTTATTGGATGTTGCATGCACATGAGCTTTCTCTCCTACCATGTGCGAGCTCCAGGGGTTGGGAAGTACGGCGCCTGCACCTTTACAGCCCCAGAGCACTGCCAGCCTTGATGGCAGGCAGCAAGCAGGCGTGGAGCCCAGGAGCCCAGCAGCCCTGCAGAGCAAAGGGCAGCAGCAAATGGGCTGGGAAGGAAGTGGCCACGGATGCTAGGCCTCTACTCTCACATGTGCCTGAGAGCAGGCACTGCTGGGCAGCAAAGTAGCCAAGACACATCCCACAGCCTGAGGACAAAAGAGGGCTGTTCCCCGAGGGCAAGGCCCCGTGCTCTGGTGTTGCCAGGCCCAGACCTAGGCACCTGGGCTGCAGGGAGGGCCACGCACGCGTGCAAACAGCACCCCTCACAGCCTTGGCCTGTGTGGGCTGCTCCTGCAGGCTCTGCAGGGGCACAGACCTGGGTTTGGGTTTGAATACCTGCCCCTTGGCTTACTCATTCCATGTTTTCAACCAAGTGACTTTACCTACTTAAGTCTGTTTCCTTCCCTGTAAGATGGATTTATCAGAATCTACCTCCTGCAGTGTGCTCTAAGAATTAAACTAGGGAAAATACATTTAAAGCATGTGACAGGCTCCTTGGCATAAAGTAAGAGCCAGATGAATCACACGCATGTGTGTGCATGTACACACGCACATAAGCACGTGCTGAGATCCAGTCTCTTCTCTGCAAAGGCTCTCAGACCACCCACTGGTATGCAGGGAAAATGGGATGGCAGGAGACCCTCTGCGGATGGCCCCACCCCACCCTGTGGAGGCTGTGAACAAACCTCGCCGCTTGGGTTCTGGCCACCTGTCCTCAGAGGGGCTGCTGCCCTACCCGCCCTCCATACGTACATCCCACCTGTGCTCATCTTCTCTGGGTAGTAAACAAGAGCTCTGGCTTGGGCATCACACAGGTGCGGATTCACATCTTGCTTCTGCCACTGAGGCCTCAGGCAAGCAATAAGCCTCAGTTTCCTCACTGATAAACAGGACAGTAACCGAGAGGTTAAGATAGGGATTAAACACAAGGACACATGTCAATCACTCCGTGCTGTGTTAAATGCATGTCAAAGGAAGGTTTGCTCTGAAAGCAATGGTAACTCTTCCGTGTACTCTGTCTTCCTGACTGACACAGGCAAAGCCCCAAGCACAGGTGCTCAGGGAGGATGCCCACTCGCCTGGCCTGGATGACGCAGAAGGGAACTCCCACCCAGATCCGGACCTGACACAGGCTTGGGGAACCCCACTGATGCACTCCTGTTCTCACCCCATGTCTTGCTTTGCCCTGTTTTGTCCTCCTGGAAGATGAGGGGCATCTATTGACATCAGAGGTTCACAAAGCCCTCAGCTCTGGTGAGGAGAGCCTGCACTCACAAGGCCACCCTTGGGAACAGGTCGACCATGACGGCCACTTCTCCATGCGGAGAGACTGGTGAGTAGGAGCTGGAGTTCGAATGGGACATTAAAAATTCATCGCTTCTTCTACTTGGTTACAAAAATAACACTCTGCTTCCATCCTTCCTCTCCCTACCCGGTTTAGACTACGCTGCGTGGGGTGGATGGTGTGGAGAGGTGGTTTCTATAGATGGGGGCCCTATGCGCCCACCACGCCGCCCTCCACCATGCAAAATTCTCAGAATGTGGGCAGCCGACCTCATGATGCCCCAGGCCACCATGGGTCCGTACATATTCATTCTCTGGACAAGCATATGCTGGGGGTCAGCAGAGGGCCAGGCCCTGTGCTGAATCCATAACAGTGAGCAAAAGCAGACACTCTCATGAGGCTCCAGGTCTGATCTCATTAATCAAGCGATCAGTCCACTCCAGAAATAACGCCCTTAGGAAAAGTGGTAATAATAACAGCAATAACTGCAGCAGACACTTCCATAGAGTCTACTAGGGGCGGGCACTGCTCGAGGCACTTGGTCACTTACTAATTCTGTCACCCTCGTAATCATCTCTGGAGGGAGGTGCTAGTACTGCCTCCATTTTGCAGATGAGGAAACGGAGGGCCTGAGAGGTGAAGTGGCTTGCTCCCATCAGTCACACACCTAGAAAGTTACAGAGCTGGGTTTAAAGCCAGGTGCTGGGCTCCTGGGGCCGAGTTTGTGTCACCTCCCCTGGGATGGGAGCTGAAGAGTGCGGTCAGCATGGTGGCGGGGTGGGGGGGCACCAAGCGACTGGTGAGGCAGACACAGAAAGGTGTCCTTGAAGAAGTCATTCTCAAACTCTGAGCTGAAGGATGAGGAGTTAATAAGATAAAAATGAGGGAGACCTTCCAGATACTGGGAAGAGCATGTGCCAAAGCCCTCCTGCAGAAGGGACAGAGCCCACTCCGAGAAGGAAGGGAGTAAAGAAGTGAGGCTGGCATGCTGGCCTCACAAAGCCATTAAACGGTCATGCTGTCCCTGCCATGCAGGGAAAGAGCCGAAGGGGACAAGGGTCAATGTGTGATGGCCAGGAATAAAGCAGGGTGAAGAGCCCCTGAGAGAAACTTCCTCCCCCTGGCAGGAAGAGGAAGGCAGAGGTGCCCTGCCGGCACGCCAAAGAAGAAATGCAAACTCAAGGTTTCTATTTCATTTGGGAGGAACCAGAGCTGCCAGCCCTCTGTGGGAGGAGGGAAAGGCAAAAAGCATCGAGCTCTCCTGGGCTTCATGATCGCGGTCATCTTCCAGGGGCAGCAGCGACTCTGACTGTCCAGAACGTGGCAGTGGCCATGCCCTCAGGACCGCAACTAAGAGGCATGCACCTGCCTCACAAATACTGACTTGGAGCCCTATTATGTACTGGACACAGGAGGAAGCAAAACAGTTATCATTTACATTCTGGCCAGCCAGGCATGGTGGCACACACCATGTAATCCCAGCACTTTAGGAGGCCGAGGCGGGAGGATTGCTTTAGCACAGGAGTTTGAGATCAGCCTAGGCAACATGGCAAAACCCCATCTCTACAAAAACTACAAAAATTAGCCAGGCGTGGTACTGAGCGCCTGTAGTCCCAGCTACTCGAGAGGCTGAGGTGGGAAGACAGCTTGTGCCTGAGAGGCAGAGGTTGCAGTAAGCTGAGATTGTGTTAGTGCACTCCAGCCTCGGTGACAGAGCCAGACCCTGTCTCAACCCGCCCCCCCGCAAAATTACATTCAGCACGGGGGTGCGGGGGGCATGACATATTAAAGGTAATTATGCTATAACGGCTAATTGCTAGTTCTTACTATTTACACATTAGCAACTCTTTAAAACCTCCAACCCCATGATCACATGCGATATATCTCCATTTGATGAGGAAACTGAGGCAGGGAGAGGTTCAGTGACTTGCTTAATGTCACACAGACACAGATGATACATACAAACACGGGGTGGGCATTCATTCCACGATGTCTGAGTAGAATGGGAGGTGCTGGCCAGTGAGGGAGAGACAGCAGAGTCAGGTCAAGAAGCCCCCAGCCAGGGCCGGGCGCAGTGGCTCGCACCTGTAATCCCAGCACTTTGGGAGGCCGAGGCGGGCGGATCACTTGAGGTCAGGAGTTCAAGACCAGCCTGGCCAACATGGTGAAACCTCGTCTCTACTAAAAATACAAAAATTACCTGGGCGTGGTGGCGGGCTCCTATAAACCCAGCTACTCGGGAAGCTGAGACAGGAGAATCGCTTGAACCTGGGAGGTAGAGGTTGCAGTGAGCCAAGATCGCGCCACTGCACTCCAGCCTGGGAGACAGAGTAAGACTCGGTTTCAAAAAAAAAAAAAGAAGGCCCCAGCCCACCCTTGGTCCCCAAGCTAGAGGTAAACTCAGAGAACAAGGCAGGCAGGCAGAGCAACGCCCCAGCAGATCACCCGCTTCGCAAAAGGTGGCCCCGCTCCTCCCAGCCTGTCCCTGGCCCTCCTGTGAAGGCAGCCTGCACCCAGCCCTTGACCTATCTAGGGAGGAAGGAAGGATGTGGACTCATCTGTCTTTGAGAACACATGTGAACCAAACCACAGAGAGGAGGCTTCAGAGCTTGCCCCTGCACACGGGCAGCCTATTAAAGAGGCTTCTCTGGTTGCTAAAATAGCACAGGGTGTGAGTGCGGGGAAGGGGGGTGGAAGAACAGAGAAAGGCAAGCTTGTCAGTTGAGTTGGGATCCACTGTCACCCCTCCGTGTGCCAAGGCCCATGGTGACCCAGCTAAGGCGGGCTTCAGGGGGCCCCAAGAGCAGTTTCTGCTTTGTCACTGTGGGCTGCAGGAGGGAGACGGAGACCTAGCATCTCTGGTCATAAAGTCCTTCCTGCGTCACAGGGACCCCTCCCAGCCGCCAGGATGTGGGGCGGTAGGTGAATGAATGATGGATATTGTTCAGGAGGTGACCTAAGCACCCAGGAATGTGGCAGCAGTGGGCTTTAATGAGCCATTCATCAATGATTCCCTCCCTCAACCCGAAGAGGCAAAGCCCTCTCTACTCTGGGGCGCTGATTAAGAAACAAACATTCGGCAGACACAGGGCAACCGAGTGGTTCCAGTGGGCAGAGCGATGGTGAGCTGGAGGGAAGAAAGGGCCTTGGTGGGATGCGGCTGACCCAGCTGAACAAACTCGCCTTCTCTTTTCTTCCTGCCTTCCTGTTACAAAACATGTTCTCAGAACTGAAGGGGGTGGAGGGAAATGGCTGTTGGAAGCTGGAATTCCACTAAGCCCAGAATAAAGGGAGTCTCTTGCAAAGTCGCTTTGGGCCTAGAAATAGGCTCGAGCGATCCCTCAGGAGGGGTGAGCATGCCGGCTCTGCACTGTGTAGCACATGATCCAGACTGGATCGCAGGCTTCACTCTCCCCACCCACCAGGCTGATGCTCACATGTGGATTCCACGGACCCCACGCTTGACAAGATTTTAGAAAAAAACGTTTGCTGCCTCATGCCGCAACCCTCTTCTGCCGTGTACACTGCCCACCCGCCTAGCAGGATATCACCCAGGAGGACCAGCCTGCATGCATTTTGCCCAGGCTCAGGGTTGACTGCAACTGGCCACAGCCAGCCCCAACCCCAGGTACCCGGAGGCCAGACGGAGCTCCCTAGCACCCTGGGAGTTTTCAAACCTTGGCTCTGAAATACCGTGTAGGGTTTGTCGCTCCGCTGGGGCATCAGTTGCTTTGAGGGGGAGGGCGCCGTCCCACCTCCTGAACTTCCACCTTGCCTGCTGTGGCCTCTGACGCTGCCCATGGTTCCTGCTTCCATGGGTCCTAGGGAAGGGTGTCCAGGGCTTGGACACAGGGGAGGTACAGCTATTTATTCCTGGGTAGGCTTATCACCTGGGTAGGCCTTCTTATCACCCATCTGGCAGGCTATTGCCAGACCTCAGGCAAGGCCTAGCCCCACTGGGGCATCTTTTCAGTTCCTGAAAGCAGAAACGGCTCCCCAGCCCATGGGCTTCATCACCAACTATAAAGGCGCTTTCAGGGCCAGACGGCTAAGCCTTCTGGAATCTGGGTTACCAGCGGCACAGGCAGAGATGCTCGCCCTGGCAAGGGGGCCCGTGGAGCCTCTGGCCTGTGAGACTGCACACCTGAGCACTTTTTGAAGATCCACTGCCACCAGATTCTGAAGGAGATAAAAGCCAGGAAGCAGGTTGAAAGAACAGAAAACGAGCAGGTCACAATAACACAGCCACAAATTAGATGGGTGCAGCAACGTGGGACGCAGACAGCCCTACTGCCCAGGCAATCAGGGCTAGCACTGCGGCAGTTCAGCGACACACGGGGCAGCCTGTCCAGGACCCAACCCCAGCCAGGGGCAAAGCAAGTGCACTGTGTGTGCCTGTTACATGACGACATAACCTAATTTGAAAGCAATTACAGTGAAATATGGAATGCGTCTTATGTCCTGGCCTGAAGTTGCCTTATTCGGAGTTTTCTCAGCCTGCATGAAAAAGCTCTGACTTCGCAGTTGGAGAAGAGGTATAAATACTGCTGAGTGGGGTAGCGAGCATTCCAAAGGTCCTGCGTGTCCACCCAGAAACCAGCTCTTTGCACCCGGCCCCCTCCCTGCAGCCAGTGTTCCAGTCTTGGACAATCCCCTTTGAGGTGCCAGAAAGCGTGCGTGTTGCTGCTGCAAAGGACGGATTTTGTTTGTTTGTTTGTTTTGAGACAGAGTCTCGCTGTGTCGCCAGGTTGGAGTGCGGTGGCATGATCTCGGCTCACTGCAGCCTCCACCTCCCGGGTTCAAGTGATTCTCCTGCCTCAGCCTCCCGAGTAGCTGGCATTACAGGCACCCACCATCACACCCGGCTAATTTTTATATTTTCAGTAGAGACGGGTTTCTGCCATGTTGGCCAGGCTGGTCTCGAACTCCTGATCTCAGGTAATCCACCCGCCTCAGCCTCCCAAAGTGCTGGGATTACAGGCGTGAGCCACCGCGCCAGGCCAAAGGATGGATTTTGGAGTGCTGTCTCCTCCTCATGAGAAATACTGGTCTAAGACTTTCGTCTAGCTCTTTATAGAGCTGGTTTTGTCTCATCACTCAGGACTTGCCTCAAATGTCAGCAACCCAGGAGGCCTTCCTGGACTCTGTCATCTCCCCTAGGCTATCACTCCACTCTGCGTTGTTGGGTTTTTTTTTTTGTTTTTTTTGTTTTTTTTTTTTTGAGACGGAGTTTCACTTTTGTTGCCCAGGCTGGAGTGCAATGGCATGATCTCAGCTCAACGCAACTTCTGCCTCCTGAGTTCAAGCTATTCTCTGGCCTCAGCCTCCCGAGTAGCTGGGATTACAGGCCTGGCTAATTTTTTATTTTTAGTAGAGACGGAGTTTCTCCATGTTGGTCAGGCTAGTCTCGAACTCCCAACCTCAGGTGATCCGCCCACCTCGGCCTCCCAAAGTGCTGGAATTACAGGCGTGAGCCAACACACCCGGCCTCACACTGCATTGTTTTACTCACTGCACTTTTCATCATCAAAAACTATGTTCTTTGTTCATAACCAGTCTCCCTCCCAAGTGCAGCATAAGCTCCCCAGAGGAGGGTTCTGTTTGCTGTGGGAACCCACTGCCTGGACTGGTACCTTTCACATAGCAGGTACTCAACAAATCTAGGAGTGAGTGGAATCAGGTTGCGGCATCTCGCATCCAGCTTTTCTTTCTCTCCCTCTCTTTCATGTACTCTTTAAATATGTACATAATTTGGAGAATCAATTTTTAAAAATTGAAATGTAATTCACATAACATACCAAAAAATTCACCCTTTTACATAAAATTCAGGGAGTTTTAGTATATTCACAAGATCGTGCAACAATCACCACTAATTCCAGAACAAGGCTAGGCAAGGTGGCTCACGCCTGTAATCCCAGCACTTTGGGAGGCCAAGGCGGGCAGATCACGAGGTCAGGAGTTCAAGACCAGCCTGGCTGTTACCGGTGGGTCTTTGTTCTTAGAGCTCCCAAGTTGGTAGTGGCTGCTCCCAAGATGGCAGCAAGCCTTTTGTTCTCTGACCTAACATTCTTGGCCTCACGGATTCCAAGGAATTGAACCTTGGGCCATGCAGTGAGTGTTATAGCTCTATTAGAAGCCGTGGGTCATGGAAGAGAACCATGGAACCCAGCGACTAGTGTTTAGCTCGATTAGGACAAACTCGAGCACTGAGCCGCACAGGAACAATGGCGAGCCTCTAGCCCGAATGAGCAGCAATGGGCGCCTCGCTGGATCAGAAATGCAGCAGACACCCTGCTGGATCCGGAGGGGTGGAAGTCAACAGTGGGTCTGTGATGGCGGTGAACAGCAGTGAAGGATGGTGAGCGAAAGCTCAGCTCAAGCCAAAACAAACGTGGACCAGAAGAGTGTGCAGTTGCAAGATTTAATAGAGTGAAAACAGAGCTTCCATACAGTGGGAGGGGAACCAAAGGGGGTGGCCCACTCCCGCCTCAAATGCCTGGGGTTTATATCCCAATCATTGTCCCTCCTCCTGTGCTCTCAGATGATAGATGATTTGACTATTTCTTTACCTCCTGCTTTTAACCTAATTGGTATTTTAATGAGCCCTCTTTACTGCCTGATTGGTCAGGTGTGAGCTGAGTTACAAGCCCGGTGTTTAAAGGTGGGTGCGATCACCTTCCCCAGCTAGGCTTAGCAATTCTTAGTCGGCCTAGGAAATCCAGCTAGTCCTGTCTCTCATGGCCAACATGGTGAAACCTCGTCTCTAACTAATAATACAAAAAGTAGCCGGGCATGGTGGCGCACGCCTGTAGTTCCAGCTACTCAGGAGACTGAGGCAGGAGAATCGCTTGAACCCGGGAGGCAAAGGTTGCAATGAGCCAAGATCGCGCCACTGCACTCCAGCCTGGGCAACAGAGCGAGACTCCATCTCAAAGAAAAAGAAAAAAAAAATTAAAAATTAACTGGGTATGGTGACTCTTGCCTGTAGTCCCAGCTACTCAGAAGGCTGAGGTGGGAGGAACACTTAAGCCTGGGAATTCGAGGCTACAGTGAGCTATGACAGCGCCACTGCACTCTAGCCTGGGCGACAGTGAGACCTTATCTCAAAACAACAAAACAAAACAAAAAACCAAAAATACAAGGAACATGTCTACCACCGCAAAACTGGTACAGTTACTCTCCAACCCCACTTCCCTCCTACCCAGCCCCCAGCCCCTGGCAACCACTAACCTACCTTTCTTTCGTCTCTTGCAATTTACCTATTCTGGGCATTTCATATAAGTGGAACCATATGGTATATGATCTTTGAGTTTGGCTTCTCCTTAGCATGTTTTCAAGGTTCAGCCATGTTGTAGCATGTACCAGTACTTCGTTCCTGTCTGAATAACATTCCATTGTATGGATATACCACATTTTATTTATCAATTCATTGGCTGATGGGCATTATTTGTGTTGCTTCTATCTTTTGGATATTAGCACCACCGTGAATATTCATGTACAAGTTTTATGTGGACATGTTTTCAACTGCCTTGGGCATATACCTAGGAGTAAAATTGCTGAGTCATATGATACCTCTTATATTTAAAAATTTGAGGAACTTGGCTGGGCGTGGTGGCTCATGCCTGTAATTCCAACACTTTGGGAGGCTGAGACAAGACCAGCCTGGGTGACATGGTGAAACCCCGTCTCTACTAAAAATACAAAACATGTTTAAATTTTGAGGAACTGCCAGACTGTTTTCCCAAGAAGCTGCACCACATTACACTTTGACCAGCAATGTGAGGGTTCTGATTTCTCCCATCCTAGTCAATACTTATTATCTGACTTTCTGATTATAGCCATCATGGTGGGTGTGCAGTGGTATCTCATTGTGGTTTTCTGTTTTTTTTTGTTTTAGGGTTGGGGTCTTACTCTGTTGCCCAGGCTGGAGTACAGTGGTGTCATCATAGCTCACTGCAGCCTTGAACTCCTGGGCTCAAGCAATCTGCCCACCTCAGCCTCCCAGGAATATGCTACTACACCTGGCCAATTTCTCATTTTTATTATTATTTAGAGACAGGGTCTCACCCTGTTGCCCAGGCTGGAGTGCAATGGCGTGATCTCGGCTCAATGCAACCTCTCCCACCCAGGTTCAAGCGATTCTCCCACCTCAGCCTCCCCACTAGCTGGGACAACAGGCGCCCACCACCATGTCCAGCTAATTTTTGTGGGTTTTTTTTTTTTTTTTTTTTTGGTAGAGACAAGGTTTCATTCACCATGTTTGCCAGGCTGGTCTCAAACTCCTGACCTCAGGTGATCCACTCGCCTCGGCCTCCCAAAGTGCTAGGATTACAGGCATGAG
Organism: Homo sapiens; assembly: GCF_000001405.40. Taxonomy (NCBI): domain Eukaryota; kingdom Metazoa; phylum Chordata; class Mammalia; order Primates; family Hominidae; genus Homo; species Homo sapiens. Next base: position 38,688,281 of record NC_000019.10, on the reverse strand, counting down.
CCACCATACCCGGCCTAATTTTTTATTTTAATTCTCTGTAGAGGCAGGGTCTCACTATGATGCCCAGGCTGGTCTCCAATTCGTGGCCCCAAGCCATCCTCCCACTTCTACCTCCAAAAATGTTGGAATTATGGACATGAGCCACCAGGCCCAACCACGTTATGGTTTTGATTTGCCCTAATTAGTAATGACATTGAACACCTTTTCATGTGCTTATTGACCATTTGTAGTGGTTATGGTTTTGATTTGCCCTAATTAGTAATGACATCGAACACCTTTTCATGTGCTTATTGACCATTTGTAGATCTTCTTTGGAGAAGTGTCTATTTGAATCCTTTGCCCATTTTTAACTGGTGTGTCTTTTTACTGTTGAATTTAAGAGTCCTTTATACATTTTGGACAGTAGACCCTTATCAGATATACAATTTGTAAATATTCTGCGGGTTGTCCTTTTACTTTAATAGTGTCCTTTGAAGCAAAAAGTTTCCAGTTTTGAAACAGTCTGATTTATCTATTTTTCTTCGGTTGTGTTTCTGCTGTCATATCTAATAACCATTGCCTAACCCAAGGTCATGAGATTTACACTTGTGTTTTCTTCTAAGAGTTTTACAGTTTTAGCTCTTACATTTAGGTATCTGATCCGTTTGGAGTTAATTTTTGTATATGGTGTGAGGTAAAGGTTCAACTTCATTCTTTGCAGATGGGTATCTATTAATAGTTGTTCCTGCACTATTTGTTGAAAACACTATTCTTTCCCCCATTGAATGGTCCTGCACCCTTGTTGAAAATCAATTGACAATAGATGTATGGGACCTGGGAGCTTTTTAAAAATACCTGAATTTCACCACAGGCAAAATGAGACAGATTCCCTCAAGGTGGGCCCTGGGCAATGACATTTGACAAAGTCCACCTAGTGAGTCTAACATGAAGTGAGGGCTGAGAGCGAACAATCTAATCCAACCCCCTTGTTCCATAAATGAAAGATCTGAGGTCTCAGTAGAACCAGAGGGGCTGGGTGCAGGGGCTCACGCCTGTAATCCCAGCACTTTGGGGGGGCTGAGGCAGGTGGATCATTTGAGGTCAGGAGTTCAAGACCAGCCGTCTTGAACTATTAGTAGAGACCAGCCGTCTCTACTAATAATACAGAAAAATTAGCCAGACGTGGTGGCACACGCCTGTAATCCCAGATACTCAGGAGGCTGAGGCAAGAGAATCGCTTGAGCCCAGGAGGCGGAGGCTGCAGTGAGCCGAGATTGTGCCACTGTACTCCAGCCTGGGCAACAGAGTGAGACTCTGTCTCAAAAAAAAAAAAAAAAGAGACTCTGCCACCAGATTTGTTAGACTGGAATGGATGCTTGGAGCTAAAAGAAACCCCAGGGTAAAGGGGGATAGGCGGCCCGGGGTAGGAGCTGCTCCCATCTGAGCCTGCCTCTGTTCTCAAACAGACTTCCGGAGCCATCCCACACATGGGAAACCAACCAACCAACCAACCAACCAACCCAAACCACTCAGATTATACGTCAAAGAACTGGGTTCTCCCCAAGGGGAAGAGCCTGCACTCCCCACACAGAGTCCAGGAAGAGATAGGTCTCAACCCAAGGCAGGTGGGGCCCACAGAGCGGGAGGCAGTGCTCAGCCCTCCAGGCAGAGCTTCTCACCAGGAGGAGGAGATGGTGAGGCCTACCTTGAAATAACTACCTTTAACAGAGGAAACTTACACTCCCAAAAGGCAGTTTTAAAATTAGGGCAGCAGCAGAGGCTGGGGCCTCCTCTGGCCCCATCTAGCATTTTGCTATGAAATGATCAGGCACACGGGGCCCTTCACCTGGAGAACAGGGAGGGTGAGCTACAAACACCCCATTTACTTTCAATGCTTACAGCTAAGCTCAGGTTTCAGGGTGGGGGTGGGGGACTACAGATCATCTGGTTTAAACTTTGATCTTTCAAAAAGATAGCCAAGTAAGCCAATTCTGGCCTTGAGACAGTGTGGCCTGGAATCTTAGCGAGTGCCTAAGGGGCCCAGTCTTTAGAATTAACGTTTTAGTCTGGACAAATCCGCCCAGGGATTTGTTCATCCAGACAAGAGGCCTTTGGCATTTGGGGAGAAAAGGTCAGACAGGGCACTGATGGGATTGTTATTTAGGCAAGTGCTACACACCCGTCCTGAGCTAGTGGGACCCCGGGAATTCCCCAGTAGATCTTGCCAGGTGCAGGAACTGCCACAGGAAAGGGGTGTCTGGAAGCAGGGCAAACACTCCTGTTTCTCCCTCTGTTCAATCTCTCCAGCAGATGGCTTGTTTTTTTGCTAGTATTCAAATGATCCGTAAACTGGGCCCTGCTGGTGGAAGGGTGAATATGCGAGGCCCTGGAGTAATCTTTAATCGTGGTAAGGGTTTTGTCTTTGACAACTGAAACTCCTGCTTGGTGATCCTTTTCCTTTTTCCTGTTTTGAGAGGCTCTGATTCAACAGTCCACCCGGCCAAGTCAGGGCCATCCTATTCCAGTGAAAGCAGAGAGGGGTGTCTCAGGGTGGGCATCCCAGCTAGGGTGGAGCTGGCTTGGTCTGGAAATCTGTGATCTTGACCATGTACAGCCCCCACAGACTTGGGCTTGTTTCATGCATACTCGGTCCCTGCGGGCTTCCTACTCTCTGAACCCAGGGTACGAAGATCCCTTTCAGAAGCAGAGTGAGTTTGGAGCACTGAGAGGATTAGGGGCCTTTATCCGCATAATTGAGTCCCCTCGATCCAGAGGTTGGGTGCTCACCAGCCTGCCTGCCCTTTGCTGAGGCCACAGGGCTCCTCTCCAGGCCTGCACCTCACAGAGGCTCCGTGAGCACTGGATGAGGGGGTGAATGAATCCCTGAGTCCATCTGGGAGGTGACTCCAACCAGAAATTTCAGGCTTGGAGTTTGAAGTTTGCCAGCAGGCAACTAATTCGTGGTGTTAAGAGTTACCTAAACTTGCCCTTAGCCTCCTGTGAGTGGGTGTTGGCTCCCAAGCACTAGGATGGTGTAGGGTACACAATTTGGGTGGGTTGGCCAAGCACGGTGGCTCACACCTGTAATCCTAGCACTTTGGGAGGCCAAGGTGGGTGGATCACGAGGTCAGGAGTTCGAGACCATCCCGGTCAACATGGTGAAACCCTATCTCTACTAAAAATACAAAAATTAGCTGGGCTTGGTGGCATGTGCCTGTAATCACAGCTACTTGGGAGTCTGAGGCAGGAGAATCGCTTGAACCCAGGAGGCAGAGGTTGCAGTGAGCTGAGATCACGCCACTGCCTTCCACCCTGGCTAAAGAGCGAGATTCCGTCTCAAACAAACAAACAAACAAACAAAAAGCCATTTGGGTGGGTTAAGAAATCACTCTGGATTTGGGGGTCTCTTTTTTTTTCCCTTGACAATATTCAGTCCATCTCAGATTCCTTGGATGCATGAGACAGACAACATTAGCAGTGTCTTGGGAGGATTTAAAAAAAGAAAAACCTGACCATGACCACAGAGAGAGAAAGAAGAGAAAAGAAAAGAAGAGATCAAAATAGGATTCTATAGCCAAAGAGTAATTATAGGATCGGGAGGAACCAGTAGAGACTGAAACCTCTGACTCATAATTGCTCCATTAAAAATGGTGAAACATCTGCCCTGGCCGAGGAACAGGGCTACACTCTCACCCTGGCTCGCCCCACCTACAAGCCTTCCTGGGGCTGGCATGAAGGGGTGGCTGTCTCCAGGAGCGGTGTGGGTATGACGTCAAAGGACAAAGGGGCCCCTGCTGCTCTCAGGGGCAGATCTGACTCCTGGCCCCAAAACAAGGGAGGAGTGGTTTGTCCTGCAGGGGGTGGGGGACCAGGGTGGGGCAGCACTGGGAAGGTGTGGGTTCAGTTTTCTAGGAAAGGCCTAGGTGGTCCTGAGTGCTCTCACTACACCATGGGAAGAGGACCGAGGAGGACTCTGGGTACCATGTCAACCTGCCCCATGAAAGCCACTAAGGGGCTGAGCCTGAACCAACAACAGCAAGAGGCATTTTTATGACTGGGTGGGGCATAAGGCCTACCCTACTATAATTACACAAATGACTCACATTTATTGAGCACTTAGTGTGTACCAGGGTTTGTTCTGCGTGCTCTAATTTTACAGATAAGGCTCTGAATGCTGGGGGATATACCCATGGCCACAGGGCTGTTAAGCAGCAGAGCTGGGACCCCCGCAACCCCCAAACTAAACTCAAGCCTCACCAAGTCTGCTTTCCACGTCTTGTGTTTGCTCTGTTAGGCCCTGTGTGAGCTACTTCACATGGTTCCTCTCATTTGATCTACTCTAAGGAAGACACAAAACCAAGGGCAGTCCCAGGAGGTCCTTGGCAGATTCCAGCAGCCACAGTGCAGCAGGCCCCATGCTGAGCCACTGGGTGAGTCATGGGGGAGGGCGGGCAAGTCAGGTGACCGGGTGAGAATCAGAGCTATGCTGAGGTGGCCTGGTTACCTTGACATTCCTGTGATTCTGCCAAGGTAAAAAGTAATCCAAGGAGTTTGCCTTATATGGGCATGATGACAGATTTCAACAAGACAGCATGTTAACTGACCCCATACCAAATCGGTTCCCGGACTGCACAGGCAACGCCCGATAAAGCTGCTCTGGAAATATAGGAAATAACAATTTATGATGGGCTATCACCGGTGACTCACAAAGGTGCAGCCCAACTGCCATTGTGTGTCTTTTAGAGAAGGGGGGGAAAAGTTGGTGGCCTGTGGGCCAAATGGCTGTCTCATTCTCCCTCCCACCAATGGCCTAGGAGGCCTGGCTCAGACCCCTCCTCTGTTCACGGGGCCTGGCTCAAGGAGGGCTGGAGGAAATCAATTTCAAGCTGGGGCTGAACAGCAAGTCCTGTCTGGGTTAGAGAGCCCTCACCACCTGCTTTCTCTGGAGGAGGGCGGGGGGCGAGAAAGAGGAGAGGCAGGGGCTGCACTGGGAGGGAGGCAGACCCTTTCAAGCCAGCACGGAACAAAATGGTTAGGTCTGAGGGCACTGCACTGCATGAGAACCAAAGAAACTGACTGGGCCTCACAGGATTCCAGAGTCATCCCAGCCACTCCAAACCGCTGGCACCAGATAGCCCCTCCCAGGCACTCCCCAGTCCCCCAACAAGGGGGAGACTCACTGCTCTGAGCCTCTCCCAAACTTCATTCGTTCTCATTTTAAAATGTACTAGGCATCTATCACGAGCCATACACTATCCTGAGCACTGGGATTAAACAGACATCCCTGCCCTCATGCAACTTACAGTCTAGTGGAAGAGCCAATACAGACAAAAACAAGCTAAGGAGACAGGGATGGGTACCATAACACGGAGTAATGTGACTGGGGAGGGGAGGGAATCAAGCTCAGCAGGTCAGGAAAGGCCTCTCAGTGGAGATGACATTTGAGGCTGAATAAGTAGAAAGAGCCAACCAGGGGGAGATCATTCCCAGGGAAGGTGCTAGGTGGGAACTCGGGCCTGGTGAGTGTGGCTGGAGCAGAAGGAGCTTGTAGAGGGTGGGAGCCTGAGGAGCTTCGGCTGGCAGTGTGGGTTTCATCCTAAGAAGAGGAAGCCTTTGGAGGGCCTCATGGGGGAGGAGCACAGCCAGATTTCGCGCGGAGAACGCCGCCCCAATCCCAGTGGCCGTGTGTGGACTGCAAGGTGGTGGCTTGGGTGAGGGTTCCAGCAGTGAGGCTGGAGAGAACTAAAAGGACCTGGGGTAGATTCTGAAGGCAGAGCTAACAGGACTTCTTGACCTTCATCAATGCCTCCCCTCTACAGGGCCAGGTATGGTGGCTCACACCTCTAATCTCAACACTTTGGGAGGCCAAGGCGAGAGGACTGCTTGAGGCCAGGAGTTCAATCCAGCCTGGGCAACATAGTGAGACCCTGTTTCAATTTGGAAAAAAAACAAACAAAAAAAGAGACAGGGCATGGTAGCTCACACCCGTAATCCCAGCACTTCGGGAGGCTGAGGCAGGCAGATCACTTGAGGCCAGAAGTTTGAGACCAGCCTGGGCAAGATGCAAGATCCCATCTTTATTAAAAATAAATAAACAAAATTTAAAAAGAAAAAAGAAAAGCAGTTGCTTTGTTGGAAAATATCCTCTTTGCTTTAAATCTGAAATCCTCCAGGCCAGGAGCGGTGGCTCACGCCTGTAATCCCAACACTTTGGGAGGCTGAGGTGGGTGGATCACTTGAGGCCAGGAGCTTGATACCAGCCTGGTCAACATGGCAAAACCCCGTCTCTACTAAAAATACAAAAATTAGCCAGGTGTGGTGGTAGGCCCCTGTGGTCCCAGCTACTCAGGAGGCTGAAGCACGAGAATCCCTTGAACCCAGGAGGCGGAGGCTGCAGTAAGCCGAGATGGCGCTACTGCACTCCAGCCTGACCAACAGAGCAAGACTCCATCTCACCCAAAAAACAAAAAAAAAGATTGAAAGTTGAAACCTGCCTTCAGGTAGCATCCCATGTATCAGGAAAACTGAGATTCAGGACAAGGAGAGAGAATCACAACCAAGGGTCTGGGGGAGACCCTGACAGTGCTGCCCTGGAGGAGTGCACAGCTCGGTCAGAGAGGGACACTGGCGAGCCAGTCGCTACAGGGAGGTGTGATCTGAGGACAGCAAAGGTCAGGTGACACCTGATCTGGGCCTTGAAAGGAGAGCGCGATTGCGATCAGTGGTGACCTGGAGAGAAGGTTGTTCTGCAGAGTGGGAACACCAAGGGCAAGAAAGACAAAAGTACCACAGATGTTTGGGGACCCCAGGAGAAGTGGCAGGGATGGTGTCAGCCGGGGCCAGAAGGTGGAGAGACTGAAGAGCTCAGAACCTGCTCTCTGGGCAGTGGGGGGTGGAGATCTCCCAGAGTAACCTGACTAGATACCAGTCTCAGAAAGGTAGGGTCTAGGGAGCCTCAATCCAAACCAGGAGACTGGAGAAGGCCAGTCAGGAGGCTGCTGAGGGAGACATGGGCACAGATGACGACAAGAGCCAACGTTGGAGCATTTCCTGTGCATCAGATACCATCTTCACAGAGTGGTTAAGTCATCTGTCCAAAGCCACACAAGCTCAGGCAGCCAGCAGCAGCACTGTGAGTTTAGAATCTGCTTTTTTTTTTTTTTTTTTTTTTTTCTAGAGATTGGAGTCTCACTCTGTCACCCAGGCTAGAGTACAGTGGCGCAATCTCAGCTCACTGCAACCTCCACCTCCCGGGTTCAAGTAATTCTCCTGCCTCAGCCTCCTGAGTAGCTGGGATTACAGGCACATACCACCACATCCAGCTAAGTTTTGTATTTTTAGTAGAGACGGGGTTTCACCATGTTGGCCAGGCTGGTCTCGAACTCCTGACCTCAGGTGATCTACCCGCCTTGGCCTCCCAAAGTGCTGGGATTACAGGTGTGAGCCACCGCACCCGGCCAAGACTCTGCACTTTTAAACCCTCACTATATGGTCCTGAGTAAGGACAATGGTAGGAATAAAGAGAAGGAGGAAGGTGAGGGTTCTAAGAGATATTCAAGGGAAAGAAATCAAACTTGGTGCCTGTTACAGGATGAGAAGTCAAAAGCTGACTCCAAGGTTTCTGACTCGGATGGCTGACAAATGGGCAATGCCAAGCCCAAGAAGTGGGACTTGAAAATGAGTTTGGTCTCAGACACGCTGAGACTGAAGTACGTACTGCACAAGCAGTGGGCATCAGGCAACGTCAGTCTAAAGTTCAGCAAACAGGTCATTTGCTCACGTGGGCATTCATTCAGTCACTCATTCAACTACTTCCTGAGGCCGGGCGCAGTGGCTCATGCCTGTCTGTAATCCCAGCAATCTGGGAGCCAAAGGCGGCCAGATCACTTGCAGTCAGGACTTCGAGACCAGCCTGGCCAAATGGTGAAACCCCATCTCTACTAAAAATACAAAAATTACCCAGACGTGCTTGCTTGAACCCAGGAGGTGGAGGTTGCAGTGAGCCAAGATTGTGCCACTGCACTCTAGCCTGGGCGACTGAGTGAGACTCTGACTTTAAAAAAAAAAAAAAAAAAAAAAAAAAAAAAAAACTTCCTGAGCTCCAGCTATGGACAGGTGTGGTGCTGGGGATACACGGACAAATACAAGGTTGCTCCATCAAAGACCTCAGCGTCTGATAGGGGAGAGAGATGCATCAGTAAATAACTGCGATAGAGCGTGGTGAGTGAGTCAGGACTACAGGCATGGGCATCATCCCCACAGATGGGGTACTTAAGGCTGAGGGGAGGGGGTAAGTTCCTTCAGGGAAAAAGGACATTGTGAAATGCCCATGTGTAAGCAGTGGACAGAGGGAGAGAATTTAGCCATAGGAGATGAGGAAGAAGAGTCAGAGAAACAGAGAGACTGTGATGTCAAGGAAGCCAAAGGGAGTTTTTGTTTTTTTCTTAAGACATGGTCAGAAGCATTAAATATAACAGTATGTGGTTATGTTTAAAAATACATACATTGGCCGGGTGCGGTGGCTCACACTTGTAATCCCAGCATTTTGGGAGGCTAAGGTGGCAGAATCGCTTGAGGCCAGGAGTTCTGAGACCAGCCTGGGCAACAAAGCAAGCCCAGGAGTTCAGAGGCCGCAGTGAGCTATGATCTCACCACTGTACTCCAGCCTGGGTGACAGGGCGAGACCCTGTCTCTAAAAAAATACACACACACACACACACACACACACACACACGCACACCCAAATCTATTTGAGCACGTATGGGTAATGTCTGGGGGGAGTGTGTTGGGAGACACTGATGAAACAAGTCTGGCAAAATGCTGATAATCACTGATGCAGGTGACAGGTACAAAGGAGTCCCACCACTTTTGCATATGGTCTGTGTGTGTGGGTTATGTATCATATATTGCAGAGGTTGAGGGGAGTGAGGTGGGGACCAGCACCTGTATCCCCAGCTCCTGACACAGTGCCGGGCACACTGGAGGTGCATGGTACACCATGGTAAGTGATGCGCAGATGCCCTCGGGGATGGAAACCAGGCAGTCTCTGGAGACAGAAGACTCAGTGGACTTGTGGGGCTGAGAAGTATTCGGGAAATAAGAAAATGGAATCCACAAGGAAAGGCTTACACATAAACTGCGCCCAGGCCAATAGCCAAGCACGTGTCTTTTTCCCAGGATGTAACCCAGCTTGGAGGCCATACAGCACCATTCTGTTTTCCTACAGGAGAAAGACTGGATTGCTCCAAGGTAAAAGCTGAACTTTCCCACTCCCACACTCCAGTTTCAAATTCCCACTAAGTTCCCTGTGTTTTCCTTCTCTCATTATCCTGCAAAGGCCGCTGGGCAAAGCAAAGCTGGGCCCCTTTCAAAGGCATATCAGAGCACACCCCACTACCATCAGATAAACAAGCCACCTCTTTCTTGCTTTTCTCCTCTCCTGTGGAACAAGGTTGCATTTAAAAGGAGAAACAGTCCCGGGTTTTGTCTCCGAACAGAGCGAGGTCCCAGGGGCAAGGACTTGGGGTAACACACAGTGGCTGATTCCACGGGATTGGTCACCACTGACAGCGAAGAAGGTGTGGAGGGACACAGGAGACAAAGCCCAAGCCCAAGCCAGACAGCAGAGAGAAAAAGGGTGGCTGTGTCGCCCTGGGTCCCATGGCCCGGAGAGAGCCAGGGAGCTATCAGATTCTGCTCAACCACACTGCGTATCCTCTATCTTTCTCTAGATTTTCCATGGTACTGACTTCTCTGCCGATGCCCCATAAATAACAATGGCCACCAAAGACAGCCTAGACTTCCCTTCCTTCCCTGGTATTGCAGGTCTCGAGGCTCAGCCCAATAAATGGAGACGAGTGGGCTGTCCCAGAACACAGCACCATAGTAAACCCAGCTGCAGGAAGGTGGCCAGCCAGTCAAACCACAGGGCTGTGTTCTTAGGTCTTTAGCTATCCCTAGAAACACTTTACTGTCGCTTTCACGATGTAAGTTAATTTTACCTGCAGGTAGCAATTTCTGTATAAAAAGGAAGTCTCAAAAAGGAAAAAACAAAAAGGTCTACAGCGTTTTAGCCACACGTATCATTTTTAAGGGCAAGGGCCTTCTCTTTGTCTTACTCACCTCTGTGTCCCTGCTGCCCGGACACAGGTCAATCCTAGCTCAGTAAACATGAGCACAAAATAGGATGAATTATCCTGTGCTAACGATGATTTTCCCACCTCTCCATGGGACAGTGATGTCTCCCTCTTCTGCCTACTTGCAAAGCATCCTGTTTGGCCAGGCGCGGTGGCTCACACCTGTAATCCCAGCACTTTGGGAGGCTGAGACAGGCAGATGACTTGAGGCCAGGAGTTTGAGACCAGCCTGGCCAACATGGTGAAACATTGTCTCTACCAAAAATACAAAAATTAGCCGGGTATGGTGGTGTGCACCTGTAATCCCAGCTACTTGGGAGGCTGAGGCAGGAGAATCACTTCAACCCGGGAGGTAGGGGTTGCACCCACTGCACTCCAGCCTGGGCAACACAGCGAGACTCCGTCTCAAAAAAGAAAAAGAAAAAAAAGAAAAGCATCGCATCCTGTTTGTGTTTCATATCTAGCAGGGACTGATGCAGAACTCAGGACAGCTGGCTGAACACTGGGCCTAGAAGTGTCCCAGGTGAGGACTTCTTATGACCTTCCAGAGCACACTTTTAGATGGGATGCAATGAGCCTGGCAGGGGTGAGTGGGGCCTGGGCGGTCATGATACCCTTGTCCTCAGAGGATGGACCATGGGTGATCCCTCTACTCCTAAAGCCAAGCAGAAAGACAGAATGGATCTGCCACTCATCCATCCAGCCACTTGTTTGAGTGTCTCGACAAGTGATGTCTCCATCTTCTGCCCACTTGAAAAGCATCCTGTTTGTGTTGTGGCAGATCCATTCTGTCTGTTTGGCTATCTATTCATTCAATACATATTTATTTAGTGCACACTTACATTTGCCTTGACAATGTCCCACATGGTAGGGACACAGTGGTGAACAAAATAGATTCTCTCTCTGCTCTCGTGACCCTCGAGAGGGAGAGCCAAGGATGGTTGGAGTTAAAAGGAGAAGTAGAGGTGATGGACATGCTCCTAACCTAGGCTGGAGGTGTCAGGTGCGACGGCCCTACAAATAGTGAAGCATAAACTGCCATCTGAAGAATGAGGAGGAGGTAGGTGGCGAGCTGAGGCGAAAGGGGCAGAGGCAAGGGCCCCGTGTGAAGTCCCTCAGGAGGCAGGAATGAGCATGGAGCAGAGAGGCAGCTGGCATGCGCCCGGAGCACAGAGAGGAGAAAACAGATCCTGCAGGGCCTTGGGGACTTGCAGGTTTGATCCTGAGGGCAAGGGACACTGATCAAGATGTCAAGCAGGATGTTCTTTGGCCCCTATGTGAAGAATAGATGGGAGTGAGTGGGGGGATGCAGGGAAACCCGCCAGGAGCTGTTGCTCGAACTTGGCATCAGCACCTGGGCCACTCTAGTTCTCCACTGGTGCTCCAGGAGCTAGAGCACCTGGTCATGCTCTTACAAAGGGACAATGAGGCTGCTTCAGGAGAAGCTGTGGGACCTCAGGGCTTCCTGAGATGAAAAGCTCCTACTCAGGCCTTTCCGGGCCTGTCTGTGGTAGAGAGCAGAAAGGCAGCCTGTTTACCTTCCACATCCGGCCCCAGAGGCCCTGCCCGGGTGGGAGGTTTCCCAGAGGGAAGGACACATGTGGTGTTCTGCAGGATGCAAAAGACCTCTGTAAGCCTCCTCCCGTGCACTCTGAGGCCCCCTGGCCTCCCTCAGCCACGTCTCCAGCCCAGTCGCAGGACACTGCTATACAACACACTCGTCTCTACTGGCTCATATTCCTTATCCAGCAATACCAAGAGTCAGCCCCTAAACCACAAAGGTTCCATCCACCACTCTGTGTCTGAGATAATCGGGGATGAGTAAGAGATTGCTGCTTCTTTCCAGGAATCTTACTTCCAGGACCCCTTAAATGCTCAATGCTTACTTATCTAGCAGTTGGCTTTCTGGAACTCAGGATAAATTTTCAAAGAACCGCTGGCTTCAAATGCAGACACCATAAGACATCTCTATGGCATTAGTTCTTTGGCTGAAGTTTCCTAGTTGAATAAAGATTCCCAGATGCCTCGTCCCTCAACTAATAACTCCCATATGGGACTCCAGATCCCACAGAACAAGACCCTATAAAGGCTCCATCCCGCTGCATCCTGACAGCCCTGTGGTAGTCAGATTATTGGCCCCATTTTGTAAAAGAGAAAATGGAGACTTCCTTGCCCAAGGTCCCACAGTAAGTAGCAGGGCCAGGCTGAGAATCTGAGTCCATGGCTTCACAGCTTACGTTTGGGAGAAGCCAAGTCTACAGCCTTCCAACACAGGCGAGAGCTGCGGGCAGCCTCTCAGCACCCAACAACACACTGGGGCCCTCTGCTTGGCCTGGCTGGGTATGGCAGGAGCCCCAGGAACCTCCGTACCCAGGCCTTGTGCTCTATGAGGCCTCTCAGTTGGGTAAGGAGAAGCTGGGCCCACCCAGCTGACCTTTCATCAGGAAACCTTGTGGTAGAGGCTGAAACCTCTGCTCAGCACCTCACCAGCCAAAGTGCACATGATAGCAACATGGACTTGAGCCTGATAGGTGGAGGCTTCCACAGCCAGCGATCAAGAACGCGGCTCAAGATGTTCACAAAGATCCTCCCTCTTGAAAGAAATTTCTGGGCTTATTAAAAAGCAACAAAGTCACCAGGGGCAGCGGCTCACGCCTGTAATCCTAACACTTTGGGAGACCAAGGTGGAGGATCACTTGAGCCCAGGAGCTCAAGACCAGCCTGGGCAACATGGTGAGACCTCACCTCTACAAAAAAAATCAAAAAATAAGGCAGGAGAATCACTTGAGCCCAGGAGGTTAAGGCTGCAATGAGCCATGATTGTACCACTGTGATCCCACTTGGGTGACAGAGCAAGACCCTGCCTCAAAAATGCAACAAAACCAAGAAAGCAACACCCAAGCCAGGTTGGCTGTACTCTCCCATATGCTTTCCAGGCCAGGATTAATTCTTCGGCTGGTTTCAGACCTCCGATTTCAAAAATATCTAGTTTGTGCTTGTCTACAAAGGAATGTGCCTGGGCATCTCCCACCAGCAACACAGAAAACAACTCCTACTGCTATCACCTGTTCTTTGAGATCAAGCCATATATAGGCAGACTGAGCCCAGAGGTTTGGCCACAGAGCTAATTCAACTCTCCAACTCCACACGGCTGTTTAGACAGCTTCCCCCAGATACGTCATTCAGCCACATGCTTGTCTCCAATCTCAGATGCCTGGATGAAGGTGAAACACCCAAGGACTCGTACAACTCTGGGCTACTGAATCAGCGATATCACGAGTTCTCTCCTTTCGCCATACCCTATTCTCCAAGACCTGAATGGTAGGCACACTGATGTCACCATATGCCTGAATTCCAAGAGGCACTGTGGGCCCTGAGTCTTAATACCAGGGACACGAAGTCAGAGGTAAAGAGAATCGATACTCGGCCCTAATGTTAGAGAAATAACCTAAAAAGGGAAGAGTCTGGTTGGATTCTCAGTTCTGTCTTTTACTGACTGAGGGGCCTGGGGCAAGTCACGTCACCTCTCTGAACTTTAGTTCTCTCATCTGTAAGGGTAGGGATAAAAATGCTGGGACTGACGTAAAGTGAAGCTGAAGAAAGAGACGGAATGGTGCTATCTGCTTTAATGAGCTGTGTTAGGGATCTGTCCCAGCATCGAAACAGATATGCTCCACGGCATTCCACTCGGCTGGGAAGTTCTTTTTTCACTGTTGTACACCCAGTACCTAAAACAGTGACTAGCACGCAATAAATATTTGTAGAATCAAAGCTCTCATTGCAGCTAGAATAAAATCCAAGATCCTCGCTACCGGCACATTCTGGCTGCTGTCACCCCTCTGACTTCAACTCACACTGCTCTCCCCACTGTCTTGGTCTCATTTTATTTCTCTCTTCCCACAACCCTGGGTCCTCCTGCCTAGAACAGTGTTCCCTTCTCTGAGGTTGGCTCTAACTCTCCCTCCAGGCCTCACTTCACTGTCATCATCTTGGAAAGTCTCCCCTGACAGCTCCCACACAATCTATTGCAAGTCCCCCACTGTCCCCTCTTAAAGGACTCTGGTCTTTTCCTTCATAAAAATAATCACACCGGGCGCAGTGGCTCACGCCTGTAATCCCAGCACTTTGGGAGGCCGAGGCGGGTAGATCACAAGGTCAGGAGTTCAAGACCAGCCTGGCCAAGATGGTGAAATCCCATCTCTACTAAAAATACAAAAATTAGCCGGACGTGGTGGCAGGCACCTGTAATCCCAGCTACTCAGGAGGCTGAGGCAGAGAATTGCTTGAACCTGGGAGGCAGAGGTTGCAGTGAGCTGAGATCACGCTACTGCACTCCAGCCTGGGTGATAGAGACTCCATCACAAAAAAAAAAAAAAAAAAAATTATACATATATAAATATATATATATAAAAATATATATAAATATATAAATATATATAAGTATATATAAATATATAAATATATAAATATATATAATATATATAAATATATAAATATATATAATATATATAAATATATAAATATATATAAATATATATGAATATATATAAATATAAATGAATATATATGAATATATATAAATATATATGAATATATATAAATATATATAAGTATATATAAATATATATAAGTATATATGAATATATATAAATATATATTCATATATATAAATATATATGAATATATATATAAATATATATAAATATATATGAATATATATATATAAAAAATAAAACCACAATTTGGAACACTCTATGTATGTCTTGGGTTTTCATTGTTGGTATTTTTTAATGCCTATTGTCCCCGACTAGGCTGTGTGCTCCATGAGGACAAGAAGAAGGACTATTCTGTTCACATCTCATTACTCAGCACCTTGTTTACGGCACATAGTGGGTATAAATAAATGCTCAATAAATGATGAATAGGCCGGGTGTGGTGGCTCATGCCTGTAATCCTAGCACTTTGGGAGGCTGAGGTGGGGGGATCACCTGAGGTCAGGGGCTTGAGACCAGCCTGGCCAACATGATAAAACCCTGTCTCTATTAAAAACACAAAAACTGGCCAGGCATGGTGGTGCATGCATGTAATCTCAGCTAATTGGGAAGCTGAGGCAGAAGAATCGCTTGAACCCAGGAGGCAGAGGTTGTAGTGAGCCAAGATTGTGCCACTGCACTCCAGCCTTGGAGACAGAGTGAGACTGTCTCCAAAAAAAAAAAAAAAAAAGAATGGATGGCCAACCCCATCATCTCCATCAATCATGCTGAGATGATCAATCACTTAAAAATGGTTACAGGGGCCGGGCATGGTGGCTCACGCCTGTAATCCCAACACTTTGGGAGGCCAAGGCAGGTGGATCACTTGAGTTCAGGAGTTTGAGACCAGCCTGACCAACATGGAGAAACCCCGTCTCTACTAAAAATACAAAATTAGCCGGGTGTGGTGGCACATGCCTGTTATCCCAGCTACTCAGGAGGCTGAGGCAGGAGAATTGCTTGAACCCGGGAGACAGAGGTTGCGGTGAGCCGAGATCGTGCCATTACACTCCAGCCTGGGCAACAAGAGCGAAACTCCATCTCAAAACAAACAAACAAACAAACAAAGAACATAGATCAAATAATAGAACCTTGGCAGGGTGTGGTAGCTCACACCTGTAATCCCAACACTTTGGGAAGCCAAGGCGAGTGGGTCACTTGAGGTCAGGAGTTCAAGACCAGCCTGGCCAACATGGAGAAACCACGTCTCTACTAAAAATACAAAAATTAGCCAGGTGTGGTGGCATGCATCTGTGGTCCCAGCTACTCAGGAGGCTGAGGCAGGAGAATTGCTTGAACCTGGGAGGTGGAGGTTGCAGTAAGCCGATATCACGCCACTGTACTCCAGCCTAGGCGACAGAGAAAGACTCCGTCTCAAAAAAAAAAAAAAAAAAAAGAACCACATGTAAGAAATACTGCTGTGTGGGCCATACGTCTGGCAGGAAAGCCCACTATGAGAACTCCCGCCATGTTCGTCCCTACCCTAATGTACCTTAGGTGGCACACCCAGGGAGAGCGAGAAACTCTCTCATCCTAATCGCTGTAGTATAGCAGAATAACATGACAGGCCAGCAGGACAATGAAGTCTACGCTGCCCAGCTCTTTTTCTGGGTGGAAAGCCCTCTTTCCCTCACAGAATTTCCATCCATGGAGAGCAGTGAGCAATGCAAAGCATTACAACCATTTTTCTTCCAGCTATTTCTAGGCACACAAATAACATCTAAGGACTCAAGGCCAGCCTGAGAAACAATTGAGCCAGGAAATACTCAAGCCAGTGCAGAGGTAACAGAGCCTAAAAAAGTTAAAAGCAGAGGGCGATGCCTTCATGGCGAGCTTCCTGGCTTTTCCCAGACAGACTGCCTGCTCCAAATGCGAAGTTTGATAAGGACTGTGGGGCTAGTACTCCAATCACAGGGACTCAATTAGAGTTTAGGAAAAAATGGCCTGAAGTTTTCAGGGATAAGTGTCCAAATTTGTTTCCAAGTCAACAAATTCATTGCACATCTACTATATCCCATTTTCCTGAAATCCATCAACTCTCCTATCAATAAGAAACGCTGCATTCAGGCTTTTCCATTTACAAAGATCTCAGGATGGATCTCTGTCACAAAACCTGGACTGCCAGTATCTTCCCAAAGTCAAATTTAAGAGATCAATCCTAAAGAAACTATTTCTGTCCATCTGCCACATGGGTACAAATTCTGAACTGGCAGTTCATTTATTAATAGAAAGCTGGCATTGTTCACCAGGTTATTGTGCGTGCAGAATGGCTGCCTCTGTAGAAAAGTGTTGCTTTGGGCTACCCAAAACAAACAAACAAAAAAACTTTCCACTATTTTGGTTCACAAAAACCTGAAGCCTAAAAATATGCAATATGGTGGGAGGAATTTTGAGGAGTCAACTCTTAATTATCTATGGTGATGGGAAAGGGGGAGGAGTCCGGAGGCTGGAAAACCACAGCTAAAGCAAACCCTTTTTACTACCATCCACTTCAACCACCTTTTATCAGAGCTGTCACTAAGGGGCAAAGTACAATTTTCTCGCTCCTAGTGAGAGGATTAAGCAGCAGCAATTCAGACAAGAGGAAAGGGGAGACTAGAGGAGAGGCAGAGACAGGGTCAAGACCATGCAAGGTTAGGGGTCACAAATGGGTAGCTCTTCACACCCAATAGGCCCTATTTTGTATGGCCTGCAGGTTTTTTTTTTTTTTTTTAAGTTGGAGTATTGCTCTGTCACCAGGCTGGAGTGCAATGGCGACATCTCAGCTCACTGCAACCTCCGACGCCCTGGTTCAAGGGATTCTCCTGCCTCAGCCTCCCGAGTAGCTGGGATTACAAGCACAAGCCACCACGCTCAGCTAATTTTTGTATTTTTAGTAGAGATGGGGTTTCACCATGTTGGCCAGGATGGTCTCAATCTCCTGACCTCGTGATCCACCCTCCTCAGCCTCCCAAAGTGCTGGGATTACAGGCGTGAGCCACTGTACCCGGCCAGGTTTTTAAGTTGAATGAAATGCCCCATAAAACTCTCCATTTCCAGCTTCGTGAAGTCCCAGGTCCCCATTCCCACCTGGCCACCATCAGCTAGAGCTCTGCAGTGGCCACCCCAGTCCCCACCCAGGCTACTTCCCTCCATTTTGTCACCTCACCTACCATGTGATAATCCAAGACCACAGTCCCTCAGCCCCAGGAGAAGAGAACCAGGTGCACACTCACATCCATTCTCCTCACAAGGGTCCAAATGACAGGATCACCTGCTCTGAGCAACAAGATACAGGCCGGCCTATCCTTGCTGTTCCTGAAAGGGGGCTGCATGTGGAGCTGCCCTGGCTTTGCTTCCACCTTCCTGTGACCTCCACCCCACCATGCTCTTGCACTCCCACAGATGGCCTGAAATCCCAGGTGGAAGTGGAGGGTGTTACGTGATCCCCAACTCCCTTGAGTGGAAACACCAAGTTTCCTAGAGGACCTAGGAGATGTTCTTTCCAGCCACCCTATCTGAATGGTGGGGCTGGGAGGGGCATATGGAGGAGAAAGGGGTGGCTAGGAAAATGTTAGAAATACCAGATACACTGGCTCTGGGGACCCCTGAGGAACGACCCCCTTCAGCTGCCAACACTTTCCAATTGGCGCTAAGAGTGAACAGCTATTTCCACTAAAGATCAGAAAAGGACTGAAGTTTCCATACATTGAAGACTGAGCCTTGAGATTCTTGGCTGGACTGCAATTGCCTCTCCCTCCTTCCCCCAACGCTTGCTTCCAGCTACCCAAGGAGTCTTTTGCTTGTGGAGCTAGTGAGCCAGCATTCTGAGTGACATATTCCAAAGTGTCCCCAAATAACAAAATCCCAGGGCTGCAACCATGAGGGTGTCAGCTCCGGCACTGTTACCAGCCTGTTAAAAAGTGGTGCAAACCTCACCAACTTCCTGAGGCCACGCTGGGCTCCGCTTCCTGGCAGTTACCACAAAAATGTGGCACCAAATGCAGCTACTAAAACAAGCAGCAGCTCGGGCAACCCAAGGGCCACCATCTTCCTAGGTGATGGCTAGGGATGGCTTCTGCCACCCACACCACAGTGATCTCCTCCCCAGCTACCTGTGCTCTAAGTAAAAACAGCATGCTTGCAGCTTCAAGACTAGTCCCCTACCCAGTCCCATCTACTCCAAACCAGACTGGGTCACCTATGCCTTTCCAATGTAGAAATTCTTCAGATGCCATTGACAGGGGACACCTCCAAACTCTAGTTTCCTTGGCCAGGAGATGCATCCTTCTTGCCTCCTTCTTGCCTCAATCTGTCATTCCTTTCCAGCAACATGCCCCAAGCCAGGAACTAAGAAAAAGCTGGATTTTGGCTGGGCGCGGTGACTCACGCCTGTAATCCCAGCACTTTGGGAGGCCAAGGCAGTGGATCACCTGAGGTCAGGAATTCGAGACCAATCTGGCCAACATGGTGAAACCCCGTCTCTACTAAAAATACAAAAATTAGCTGGGCACGGTGGCAGGCGTCTGTAATCCCAGCTAGTTGGGAGGCTGAGGTAGGAGAATCGCTTGAACCCAGGAGACAGAGGTTGCAGTGAGCCAAGTGCATACCACTGCATTTCAGCCTGGGCGACAGGGAGAGACTGTCTCGAAAAAAGAAAAAAAGCTGGATCCCAAGGTGACTCCTCAGCCCTGGGGAGCCTACGAAACCATACACCAAGAACCAAACACACAACTCTCCTGGAGGTCGATTTATAAGGGAGGCAGCTCTGAACACCTGAGCTCCGAGACACACAGAGCACATTGGAAAAACCCTTTTCAAACCCATGAAGGCGAAGTCAATGGGTTTACTTCAGTAAGTCAGTGAGCAGTAAAACAAGACCACATTTACATCTGCATATCGCCCTAACACTGTTCACTTCCATCATGCAATTCATTGTCCATCTTTTCTTTTTTTCTTTTTTCTTTTTTTGCGATGGAGTCTCACTCTCTTGCCAGGCTGGAGTGCAGTGGCACGACCTCGGCTCACTGCAACCTCCGCCTCTCAGGTTCAAGCAATTCCCCTGCCTCAGCCTCCTGAGTAGCTGGGACTACAGGCGCGCACCACCATGCCCAGCTAATGTTTTGTATTTTAGTAGAGACGGGGTATCACCATGTTGGCCAGGATGGTCTCAAACTCCCGACCTCGTGATCTGTGCGCCTTGGCCTCCCAAAGTGCTGGGATTACAGGAGTGAGCCACTGCGCCTGGCCCTTCATCGTCCATCTTTTCTTTAAGGACAGGGTTGGGTTGGTTTTCTTTCTTGTTGTATCTCCAAGCCTAATATGGTATCTGGGTAAATGTCAGGTGGATTGAAGAGAAAGAATATTAACAAATCACAGGATCTAGGATCACAGGAAACTTACATGGCTCTCCTGTTTAATCTTCAAACTTCCTTCTAAAGCTGTTAGGATGTTAGGAGGGGCACAGGAAGGGGGGCACTCTAACTGTATCCTGATCCTGCATTAGCATTTCAGAGGCCGTTGGTTCCATCAAGAAACTGGACTGTGCAAAGCATGAAATGAGACACCACATTACAACCTCATCTGAGTAATCACCCAGGGTTTATTTGTAATTCTAAGGAACAGGCACCTCCAGAGACATAACTCCTTCCTTAACCAGGCCTGGCTCTTCTGACTGCCTTCCGCCGTATAAATAGGAAGCCAGCTTGCATATTTTGCATTAATGCCTTCACGCAGGGCTGCTTTGAGTTTATTTTTGTTGCTTTCATTTTAAGACTGTGTTTATACCTCTTAGACTTCCAGCCAGAGGAAAAATGACAAGATACAAACCTTGTCCTTTTTTCAGGGACGCTCCAGACGGTTCCTGGAGGCACATGGGAAGATTAGCGACTCAGAGATGCCAAGTCACTGGCATTGGGTAGTTCTCCAAAATGGTTTTTTTTTTTTTTTGGTGGAAGAAACAGATACATCAGACTAGTCCAGCGTCTCAGTTTCCACACTTCATAACAATGGGGCACCGTGCACCTAGTGTCTAACTTACCACGCTGCCTTTGGGCCACAAATTCCATACTGTAACAGCCAATTACCCAAAACACTAAATAGGGAATGGCTCAAAAAAGGCTGTCTCTGAAAAAGCAGCAGCATTTTGATGAGCAAAAATAGTAAGAGAGGATTTTTTAAACTTAGAAAAACGAGGAAAGTTGAACCCAGCTAAGAATATTTCTGAGACACCCCCCACCCCTTGTGATTTTTCTCCCGCTAGGATTTTCCCTTGACTCGCCTCTTTAGAGACTGCTAAACACACACACACATACACACACTCATTTTTTAATCCCACCAACTCTCCTCGCCCCAAGGCCAGAGGCTTGGCGGTGACAGCTTCGAACAATGACATCACCCTAGGTTTGCCTCCTTGGCAGGGTCACCAATACTGTTTGCAGTCAATTTCCTGTAAAGGCTCTTTAAGGCAGGAAACTAGTCCTGTGCCTTGAGTCCTCCCCCTGTTCTGAGCCATCGTGTCAGGTCAAAACAAAGACTTTTTGTGTTGTTGTTTTTTTCCCCTTTTAGGAAAACAAGACTTCCCTGCACTTTTAATGAGCACCTTAATTACAAGCTAAAGAATTAGATATATTTACGGATGACCTCATGCTCGCTGATAATTAGCAATTTGAAAGACCTGGCACATCCCTAGACTCAGTTCTTTCTCCTTCACCCCCTCCCCCAAGCATTCAGGTTAATTACTAAGCTTGACCTTCCAAAACAAAGTGGGTTGGGCCCAGTCAGTCCCTACCTCCCCCAGAGCTCCCCAGCACCGAGGGGCTTGTTCCTCCCTCCCACTAAGTCAAGAATGGAAACTGCCTTAGAGAGGGTTGATTAGCCTGGGATAATGATCTAGGAGGGGTGACAGATTTCTGGGGGCCCCACTCTAAGTGTTGACAAGTTTTAATTAATGCCCAGGCTAATTGAACCCTGGCACAGTCAAGGGGAAGAAAACTGCTCATCTCAGAGGCAAGAAGTGTTTGGATATGCACAGTCCCAGCCGTGATGGCGGGGAGGTGTCTCCGAGCGGGCTCCCACTGCGGACCTGTGTGTACTTCGTGTTCTCCTGGCACGTGGATCCCACAACTGGAGATGCAGCTGACTCAGGCAGTTACTTTCCATACATTTTCTTGTGCTAGAAGGGTGTCAACAGCCTGATCAGGAAAGCGCAAACCGGGTGGCCTTCCCTTAGGGTCCTGCCTCAGGCCAACAATGGGCAGCTCCTGAACAAGGCTGCACCGCCCCACCCCCAGCCCCCATCGGTTGTCACTCCGTTGTAACATTTTCCAAATTTGCTTCAGGCCTGCACCCTGTTAGGGGAGAGGCTGGGAGGCGGACATTCTCCTCATTCTTTTGCCTTATTAGGTTGTGGATTTGATTGCTTTTGGGGGGGACAGGGGCGAAGTTGAAGAATGGCATCAGGAAGTGACCCCAGGAAAGGGGGGGGCGCGGGAGGAAGGAGGAAAAGGGAATGGAGCAGCAGGCGTGAGAAGCACTGTTGGGAAGAGGCCTGGAAGGGGCAGGGCTCCTCCAAGCCCTCTAGAAAGTCCCACGTTCCAGGTCGGCAGCTGGGCACAGGCTCCTGTGCACCTCTTGGCCCCATCTGACAGCATTTCTGGGCAGTTATTTTTAGGGTTATCAGTGGGAAGCCCTTCCTGCTTCTACATCACACACCAACTGAAGAGAGGGCAGCCTGACTCCAGGCTGTGGGATGTTTCTAACTTGAGTTGGACTTTGCTTTGCGGGGAAGGGGACCCAGGGAAAGAAGGGAACCCGGGGAAAGAGCCCCCCGGCTGATAGCAAACTTAGTAACAAGTTAAATTACTCATGAAAGAACCTTCCTGGCACTGCCTATGGCACATCCCAACACAAAATTGTTCAGGGCCTGTAACTCTGAAACAAGAAGCCACCTCCCAGATAATGAGGCCCAGATGGATGCAGGGGCTGGGGAGAGGGCTGCGTTAAGTCACTTGCTCAAGTGCCCACTGCCACTTGTTGGAGGGCACTTCTTCGAAGTTGCTGGCTGGGCTCAGGACTTGGCGCTTCCTGGGGAGCACTGGAGGAAAGGGGTGTATGTTTTGGTTTCCCACTGAGCTGCGTATTTCAGCAGGCCCCTTTGAGGGGGAGACTCAAGTAGCAGATCCCACCTGGATGCAGGACCATGTGCCATTGAAATCATTTTGGGAAGCTGCATTTATTGAGCACTTACAATGTACCAGGCACCAGAGTGCTTCCTGCGCACTATCACGTCTAATCCTCAAACTGAGGATAGGATGATGCCCCTTTTCAAAGAAGGACACTGAGGCTTAACCCCCGCCACCTGCCCAGGGTCGCACAGCCAGCCGGTGGTGGAGGAGGTGGGTGTGGAGCCCAGGTCGGCCTCCCTCCATGCTCTGGCCCAGCCTTCTTGCCACTGACACCTTTCACTACCTCCTAGTTCTGGGCAGTGGGGAGTGGGGGATGTCAAAGGCACTCTCCCACAGGAGCTTCAGTGCTCTCAACACCCCCTCCCGGGGTGCAGCTAGCTAACTGCTTGGGCCCAGGGACAGCCTGTGGTACTGCGAATCCCAGTGACATCTGAGCTGCCTCCTATCTTGGTGGGTAGGCTGGGTGCTATCAGCTAACCACCAGCTGAGCAGGTGGCTCCTCCCAGCCCCTGGGACCATGCAGGAAACTCTCTGATCCTGAATAGCCTTTAACTTCCCCAGAAAAAACTCTCCCAAAGTGGGAGTGAAGCAATACATGCCTCAAATACAAGTAATGAGCTCTAGGTTCTCTTCTCAAAACATGTCCACCTCCTTATCATCTATGCCTTTCAAAAAAGAGGAAGGCAGCATCTCATAAGGACTGCTGGGCAGGGCCTCCCCGGAAGTCTTAACCAGGTGGAAAAGGAAATAGGAACCGGCTGTGCTAATATCCCCCAGCCCTCTCCTTCATGGCACTGCAGTGCTCCCGTGCCCAGGCTGCAGGGACGGGCTCAATCCAGCAACACTCACCACCCTCGCTATCTCCACTGAATCCTTCTATGGTAAACCTACTGATGCTAGGCAGTCTAATCCTTTAGGATGGAGGCTGGAGTTCTCCTGGATGATTTCTGCCCCTACCTTACTTGCACGAACTGAGCTATATTACAGCTGTCATGTGTTATCTGAAGTGGGGAGAAACACATCTGAAACCACACAAAGAGGCAAGCGCCGCTACCCTAACCTTATCCCACAGTGGGACCAGAATGCAACTCGGTTTGTCGGTGTGGGGAAGGCAATATCAAGGACACTGCGGTATTTAAGTCACACATTTGGCCATGAGCATCTGAATGAGTTTAAAAAAAAAAACACAACACTGGAGTATTTCCTGGGATGGGAACGCTAAGTTCCACAAGCAGCACTAAGGCAGTTATTTAAAGAAAAGAATAGCACCTGGAAGCGTAGCTTGGCAGGCAGGAATAAACTGAAGGCAGCACACTCCTAGGCCACCCGCGTTGCAGGGCAACAGAGGAGCTGTGGCAACCCAGCCTCGCCAGCAGACTGGGAGCCGATCCCACTTCTCAATACAGGGCGGCCGTTCCGGCTGCGCGTGGTCATCTGGGCGGCAGTGTGCAGCACCACACGCCCTGAGGGGCTGAGACACAGGGCTTGGGGAGACCCTTGGACATGAGAAGGGAGTCTCTCCATTCTTTTTGTCGAAACCTGTGCTAATTCTGAAGAGGCCATCAGCAGGCTGAAAACATATGCCTCAGAAGGCACCCCCTCCCACCTGGGGAGAAGAGTCTGGCCCACTCACGATATCTGTGACAGTGACAGGACGCATGAATGGATACGGACCCAGAACGACAGGTCTGGCTATCACAGGTTCTAAGACATGGCCAAGATGAGCATGGTACCTCATCCTTCAAACCAGCAGCTCCCCGAAGACGATGCTCATGGGGACAGGAACTGGTAGCGCTACTCCAAAGAGGCAGCTAAGAAATGTTCGATTGCACGCCGGACCCCCTAATACTTGCCCTCGGCAACCTGCCCGCAGCGGGGGCAAAGGCCCGCCCCTCCTGCACACTCACCTCCTTTATGAAAGTTTCCATGACTGACCCCACCTGCCCTGATTCACCCCTTTCCTCTCCCGGGACACAGCTAGAGTGCTGTGAGCTTGTCGGTGTGCCGTTTAGTGTCCTTCTGAGGTCTCATGTGGCCTTGCTCTCTCCCCAGCTACACCGCGAGCTCTTTGAGAGCACGGACCAGGTCTCCGGTTTCTCTCATACCCCTAAAGGCTCGGCACAGAGCTCTGCTCTGAAGAGGGGCCCAGCGAGGGCTGCTGTCTGGCCATGGCGGTCATATTTCTACCTGAGTGCTGGACTCTGGGGCCCAAGAAGCCCCAACTCATGTTACACAAGAAGCCGGTTGGCTATAAAATGTGGCCGGGCGCAGTGGCTCACACCCGTAATCCCAGCACTTTGGGAGGCTGAGGCGGGTGGATCACCTGAGGTCAGCAGTTCACAACCAGCCCGGCCAACATGATGAAACCCCGTCTCTACTAAAAATACAAAAAACTAGCTAGGCGTGGTGGCCGGCACCTGTAATCCCAGCTACTTGGGAGGCTGAAGCAGAAGAATCACTTGAACCCAGGAGGCGGAAGTTGCAGTGAGCCAAGATTGTGACATTGCACTCCACTCCTGAACAACAAGAGGGAAACTCTGTCTTTAAAAAAAAAAAAAAACAGACCCACTTTGCTCAGCAGCCCCTAATTCTGTTACCCAAGTGGTGACTGCTGGAGTCTTTCAAAGGACCTTTTATGTCTTTATAGTGTGATAGAAAGAGGCAGCTCCCCCTCCAAGACAGACTTTCCTATCTGCAGCAGCTTGGAGCAGGTTCAGCTCAGCATAAATGCATAATAAGCCACCCACCATGGAAACTTACAGCTGTGTCCCAAACGTGGGGTAGGACTCAACCTAATCCGACACATTTTCCATGTGCCATGCACCTCTTCCCACTCTGAATTGATTTTATAAAGTGGAAGTTTTGTTTTTGTATTTAAGGGGATAAGAATAAACACACACACACTTATCTCCCCTCCTATACAGCTACTTAAAAGATTTAACAAGTTCACATGGCTATGCTGCCAGGAGAATGGAAACCTCGCCATCTTCTTTCCAGCTGAAGCAGCTGGGCTGGCTGCACCATCACAGGCCACCATAATCATTTGCTCCGTTATACTCTACCCACGGGGCGATTTTTGTTGTCAAATCATCAGTGCTAAGGCTGAGAGAATCCCAGCCCATGTTCACTCTAGACAACCCATGAAGGTAACTTCTTGCTGGGTGCTGTGTGTTCAGAGGCAGGAGTGTCTATCAATAGCCCAGAGCTCCCTGTTGCTGTTCCTCCCTCCTTGAGTAAAAGCCACATAACTCGTTTGACAAGCTCTGCCTTCAAATGGGGAGTTGTGGGTCCAATGAAACCTACTGAAACCTGTCATATTCCTGGACTGGTTTCCAGTGAGGTACAGAAAGCTAAGCACCTCAGACTGAATCAGCCTGTATGCCTGTCTCTTTCTCTGAACTAGAACCACCCTCACTCCAACTGACCAAAGGAAACAAGGAGGAAATACTAAGTGAAAGAGGGATTTATAGAGAAGGAAAGGACCTAGGAGAAAAGCCAGTTTAAAAATCAGGCTGCCAGGCCGGGCGCGGTGGCTCACGCCTGTAATCCCAGCACTTTGGGAAGCCGAGGCGGGCGGATAACGAGGTCAGGAGATCAAGACCATCCTGGTTAACACGGTGAAACCCCGTCTCTACAAAAAATACAAAAAATTAGCCGGGCATGGTGGCGGGCGCCTGTAGTCCCAGCTACTCGGGAGGCTGAGGCAGGAGAATGGCGTGAACCTGGGAGGTGGAGCTTGCAGTGAGCCGAGATTGTGCCACTGCACTCCAGCCTGGGCAACAGAGTGAGACTCCGTCTCAAAATAAATAAATAAATAAAAATAAATCAGGCTGCCATCTTCTACAATACTTATTGGAAAAAAAATCAGGCTTCCTGGCTTCCAACTTCAAAGAAGGAGACTCAACATTTTACAAAAGATGCTTTGTAAAGCAAGTGGCATCCCACCAGGTAGAAATGGCCTCTTGATGGGACCAAAGGAGGCTGGAACTTGTTCATGTTGTAAAAGTTAAGCTCCCTAAGAGAGCCACACTACAAAGCCATTATGAGTAGTACACAGTGCCATAAAACTCCAGATTCAAAGTTACCAACGCTTTAATCAAATACACGTGCCGACTGCCGAAATCATCACAGAGATAACTGCAGCTTTTGTTTGGCTGATTCATGTTCTGCCGTCTTGGGGTTCCCACTTTAGAAGTCAGTTCTGGTTTGGCCTGTCCAGGAGGCCTGGGAGGAAAGGGTAGGAGCGCCAGAGTCCTGGAAGCATGAGGTTCCTGACCTACTGGCATCTAAGAGGGACTGAGTTTGCAGGCGCAAGTTGAATGTAGACTCATCAGCACTTCTAACAACACAGCTCTAAGCAATCTGGCTGTGCCCATCTCTTCCACGGGCTCCGCTCTGACCACTCGGGCCTTTCTGCTCCTCGGGGGCCCCCTTGCTTGGTTTTCTCTGTTGGAAGCGCGTTCCTCTGGTGCTCTCTTGGTTCTCTCTTTCTCATCCGTTAAGGAACAGCTGAAATGCCACCTCTTTGAGACCTTCCTCTCCATCTGAAGTACCTGCACTGCACACTCCTCCCCTCACCACCCGCTCGCAAAGCCATTCCCAATCACTAGACTTCAGTGTAGTGTAGAAATAACAGCATAAACTTGAAAGCCTCAACTTCTACATTCAAATCCTGGCACTGTCACAGGGGCAAGTGGCTTAAAGGCCCATGGATCCATTTCTGCATGTAAGGGTAACAACACCTGCTTCACAAGATTATACAAGTGAGTCCATGGGTCGGGCATGGTGGCTCGCGCCTGTAATCCCAGCACTTGGGGTGGCTGAGGCGGGTGGGTCACCTGAGGTTGGGAGTTCAAGGCCAGCCTGACCAACAAGGAGAAACCCCGTCTCTACTAAAAATACAAAAATTAGCCAGGCATGGTGGCACGTGCCTGTAATCCCAGCTACTCGGGAGGCTGAGGCAGGAGAATTGCTTGAACCCAGGAGACGGAGGTTGCAGTGAGCCAAGAACACGCCATTGCACTCCAGCCTGGGCAACAAGAGCGAAACTCAGTCTCAAAGGAAAGAAAAAAAAACAAAAACCAGTCAGTCCATGGGAAGCACTTAGAATAGTGTCTAGCACAAGGTAAAATGCTAGCTGTTATTTAATTTATTGCACATAATCCTATCTGAAGTTACCTTGTTCATTATCTATATGCATGCTGTCTCCCCCACCAGCCTGTGATAGATCAAGAACGTGTAGAAATAAGGCTGGGGGCGGTGGCCCATGCCTGTAATCCCAGCACTCTGGGAGGCCAAAGCGGGTGGATGACCTGAGGTCAGGAGTTGGAGACCAGCCTGGCCAACATGGCAAAACCCTGTCTCTACTAAAAATACAAAAATTAGCCGGACATGATGGCCACGCCTGTAGTCCCAGCTATTTGGAAGGCTGAGGCAGGAGAATAATAGCTTGAATCTGGGAGACAGAGGCTGCAGTGAGCTGAGATCCTGCCACTGCACTCCAGCCTGGGCAACAGAGCAAGACTCCAACTCAAAAAAAAAAAAAAAAGATCATATAGAAATAAGATGGAGGAAGTTTTGCATTTGATCATCTGATTTCCTTGGTAGCCACAACCAATCCCAAATAAGGGGGCACACTCCCCAAAGACCCTCACTGCCCATACTCTGACATAATTGAACCCACAGAGCTTGAGCTGCTGCTCAGAAGTCTCATGTTTAAACTATGCTTGGAATGTCTGATAGGAACATGCATTTATTTTTAGGCAAGAAAGTTGTCTCCTAAGCTAACCCTGTGGCCCCAGAGCAGGCCGTATTTGGCAAGAACTGCTTTGTGCTTGTTTATTAAAGAGGCCCAAAACTTTCTCAACTCTAAGGTAGCTGCTAAGAGAACTCGGTGCGCTGTGAGTCTTATATTTTTATGGTCAAAGTTTGCTTCCTGTGAATCTCTGAGGTGTTTCTACAAGGCTAATAGGAGTCAAGTGTCACCCCTTACCTTCCACAGCTTCAAGCCACAATCTATTAACCAATCATCCCTCAATTGGCTCACAGCTCTCAATGGATTCAATTCTATCCTATGGCTTGTGCCTCATCAGTGTTAATGAAAGTTACAAAGGGGCTGGGCGCGGTGGCTCATACCTGTAATCCCAGCACTTTGGGAGGCCTAGGTGGGCATTACGAGGTCAAGGGTTCAAGACCAGCCTGGCCAACATGGTGAAACTCCGTCTCTCCTAAAAAATACCAAAACTAGCTGGGCGTGGAATGCATGCCTGTAGTCCCAGCTACTCGGGAGCCTAAGGCAGGAGAATCACTTGAACCCAGGATGCGGAGGTTGCAATGAGCCGAGATTGCACCACTACACTCCAGCCTGGGTGACAGAGTAAGACTCCGTCTCAAAAAAAAAAAAAGAAAAGAAAAGAAGAAAAAAAAGTTACAAAGGGAAAGGGAAAATTAGTTCAAAAAATGGCCAAGAAGGCCCTCCCCTAACCGGTCTAGGTATTTCATCTCACCCCACCATGAGACACAGTGTCGGGTGATTATAGCCGACATTCTTGAAAAAGACATTTAGAGACAGCCCTTTCTGTTTTACACAGACAAGTCCTACCACAGTCTTGGCAGTGTAGCTCAAACGATCCAAAAAAAAAAGTAACTGCCTCACAATCCTGGTGATGTTTACCGTCTGGATACCTTCCAGGACTTGAATATCTGAATCATGACTGGTTCGTAGACAGCCTGTAAGAAGGGTCGATTCATCTGACTGCCCTTGAACCGGCCTGGCAAGTTGGCTCTTCCAGACATTTTGAATTTTGAAACTGACTGTATTTCATAGGCCAGAACTGGAAGATCACAGAAGTCTTCAAATCTCTGACCCTTCCAAATGCAAGGCATACCAGTAACAGCCAAAGAAGCACTTTGTGAAAGTGTTTAATATTTTCATCCAATATATAGTTTAAGGCAAGGTACTCATTTTCTTAAAGAAAAGCAGGGAGTGACAGAGAGAAAAGGATTTGCTGTTAGATTTGGATTAGGGAGGATGTGGATTTAAAAAAAAAGTTACTTGTGCTTGGGATTTGTGGGAAATTTAGAGTTCTTTTTAATTTATCAGTGTTTGTGGAAGTAGGCAAAAGATACAGGCATATTTTGTCCTATTATTAAGAAGTCACATAGCTGAGATTCCAGTTCCAAACTCCTAGAGAAAAAAAGCACTCTTCTAGGCTACAAAGCCAGCAGCGGATTTCATGGAGTGCTCTCCTTTTTCTTCTCCCTCTCTCATGCACAAATGCACACTCCTCATCAACACAATCAACTGGCCCAACTCCTGCCCCGAGGACAGAGGGCCTTCATCCCCTACCTGGCAAGGCTGCTGTGCCTGTAGGTATTTTCCTGTGATACCAAGTGGCAGGATCTTTTTTTCTGCCCGGGGCCTAACACTCCACCATTAGCACTGCCTCTGGTATGAGGGCACTCCCCAAAACAGTAAGTAAGCAACTTGGTTTCCATGGTGATAGCAACTAAATACCTTTTACTCACACCCAGATGGAGATTGATCATAGAATAGTAATTTGTTAACCGTTACACATACTGAGGCCTTGATGACACCAACTGAAGTCAGCTTCCACCACTGCCCTTGGCCTTGGTAAAAGAAGGCCTGTCATTTTGCTAAGGCAGGCTGTAGACCCACAGTCCTCTTATTGTGACGTCCCCCTCAGGCAACTTCCCAGCATGTCCAGATGCCGAACCACCTGCGAGCTTCCTTCCAAGATGCCTCTCCTAACCTCAAACTGGCCTTCACCACCGAAACGAAGTGTGTATTTAAAAAAGGAAAAGAAAGAAAGAAAAAAGAAATGCATCTATTTCACTTCCTGCAGTCCCCTCAATCTGTATAGCTGTAATTAAGACATTATTAGAACTGGAATCAGTCATTACTACTCAGGAGGTAAGATATTAAAACTCTTTATCTTGGGCTTTTTGCAGATTAAAAGCCTGGGCAACATAGTGAGACCCAGTCTTTACAAAAAATTTAAAAATTAGTTCGGGCACAGTGGCTCATGCCTGTAACCCCAGCACTTTGTTGGGCCAAGGTGGGTGGATCGCTTAAGGTCAGGAGCTCAAGACCAGCCTGGCCAACATGGTGAAACCCTGTCTCTACTAAAAATACAAAAATTAGCTGGGCGTCGTGGCGCGCGCCTGTAATCCCAGCTACTTGGGAAGCTGAGGCAGGAGAATCACTTGAACCGGGGAGGCAGAGGTTGCAGTGAGCTGAGATCGTGCTACTGCACTCCAGCCTGGGTGACAGAGTGAGACTCCATCTCAAAAAAAAAAAAAATTAAAATTAGCTGGCCATGGTGGTGCACACATAATCCCAGCTACTAGGGAGGCTGAGGCTGAAAGATCCCTTGAGCCCAAGAGTTCAAGGCTGCAGTGAGTTATGATTAGGCCACTGCACTCCAGCCTGGGTGACAGTGAAACCCTGTCTCTAAAAAATCAAAACAGAACAAAAACCAAATGTGTTCCCTTCAGACATGGAAAACACAAAGTGGGGTATACTGCCTGCCTTCTGTGCTTCCTCTGATCCACCTAGACTGTGGCTTCCACCCACTCTCAAAAGACATCAGGGAGGGGAAAAGATGAAAAGAAAAACCCACTAGAAAGCTAGTGACAGACATCACTCAGCCCCACACCTTTGGGGGGGAAACTTTAAAAAACATAAAACAAACCACAAAGTCTTCTTTATTCCTGCCTGAAGCTGAAGACACAAATGCTATTGTATTGCTGGTGTTCTAGCATCCCATTCAATCATTGCAACACCATCCACGATATTTCCCAAGATGACTTCATTGTGTTCTGCAGGGTAGTAACTGCCGCTTCCAACTACTTCTGCCCCATGTGGATAGTTCCACTGGAAGACAAAGAATCTGTTCTGCTCTGATATTTGGAAGAAAAACATTTAAATAAGCCTTGTTAACTCAGCAGGAGGGCACTGCTTTCCTTTCAAAATGTAGGGTTCAAATCCGATGAAGGGGTGGCAGTGTGCTTTCTTCGTGGGAGGGGCCCAACTCTAAGAAGAAAACTGGAGCCTTAAGAGAAAAAGTTGGCTGGGCGTGGTGACTCACACCTGTAATCCCAAGACTTTGGGAGGCTGAGACCAGACTGGGCAACACAGCAAAACCCCATCTCTACAAAAACACAAAAATCAGTCAGGCGTGGTGGTGTGCACCTCTAGTCCCAGCTACTTGGGAAGCTGAGGTGGGGGGATGGCTTGAGCCCGAGGTCAAAGCTTCAGTGAGCCAAGATTGTTCCACTGCACTCCAGCCTTGGTAAAAAGAGTGACACCCTGTCTCAAAAAAAAGGAACAAAGGCAAGAAAAACGAAGAAAGAAAAAAGTTGTGTGAGGAACAAATGATAAACCCACATTTCTTACAGCTAGCCCTCTGTATCCATGGGTTCTCTATCTGTGAATTCAACCAACAATGGATCGAAAATACTGGAAGAAAAAAAATGAATGGTTGCATCTGCACTGAACATGTACATATTTTTGTCATTATTTCCTAAACAGCACAGTGTAACAACCATTTACGTAGCATTTAGCATTAGGTTATAAGTAATCTAGAGATGATTTAAAGTATTCAGGAGGATGTGCATAGTTAAAATGCAAATTACACATCGTTTTATCTTACATAAGGAACTTGAGCATCTGTGGATTTTGGTATATAAGGGGGTTCCTGGAACCAATCCCCCACAGATACTGAGAAATGACTGTATTTTCAATGTGTCCTGGTTTCTTACAAAACCTCAAAAGCACTAACACTTGAAACTGAAGATGAATCAAGCATCATCCAGTCATGAGCCATATGTTCGAGTCTAGTATGGCCGGATGACACACAGAGCCAAGAGGGGCTGTGTGCTCCTGGACAAGGTGCTGCCCTGCCCACCTCGACCAGATGAGATCAAGTTTTTTTCCCAAGTGTGACATACACACATGGAAAATTTTAAGGGTTATCTACACCTTACATTACACCCTGAATCACATTGAGAAAGTTATTTCCTTTGATTCTCTTGTAAACCTGATGACTTCAAAGAGAAAGTCTCTGCTTGGTGCTGGTGGGTCTTTAACACCTCACCAACACTTGCCAATCCCTTTCTAACAAAGGGAGCAGGCCTCAAGCCTGGGGGGCCTTCAGCCCGAGTGGTAACCACCTGGAAACAACACTGTTTTGTTTTCAATGTGTTTATTTTTGCAGTTTCCTTCTATTATATTTATGGCCAGGGGAGCTGGGTTTTCCAGTTGCCATACTCTTGTCAGTTTTCCTTTCAAAACTTAATTTAAAATGCAAACTGATTCAAAGGAAATTATTATGTGTCTATAAAAGTGGTTATGGAAAATCACAAATGGCTGCAGTTTACGAAGGAAGGGGATAAGCACAGGGGGACTGCTCTGGCTGGGGAGCCTCACTCCTGGGGGAGGGGGAGAGAATGGAACTCATCCCAGGAAGGAAGGAGCCAGCACAACAACAGGTGGCAAACAGCAAATCCCACGTAAACTCACTCCACTCGCCTTCAGATAACACTTGCATAAATCACAACCAAGAAAAAGGCCACTGACCTCTTCCAGAGTAAACGCTGTTCAAACTAAAGGGAAGGCAGGCAAATTACACCAATCAGCTTCTAAGACTTTCCACGGACATTCCAAGTTAATGCCTCTCTTGTTTATGGAGAAAGGGGAGGGGAGGGACGTGAAAAAACACAACCAAAAAAAGGCACAACACCAAGACAAATGCCTCGGGGATTTTTATAATCCCAGGGAAACTGCTACTTGGATAAAACTTCCCATGCACTGATGTAAGGATGCTCTTGCCAGTTAAATATATGCAAAGATTTAACTCCTTTTCTTTTTCTTTTTTTTTTTTTTTTGAGACGGAGCCTTACTCTGTCGTCCAGGCTGGAGTGCAGTGGCGTGATCTCAGCTGACTGCAACCTCCACCTTCCAGGTTTGAGTGATTATCCTGCCTCAGCCTCCCCAGTAGCTGGGATTACAGGGGTGCACCACCGTGCCCGGCTAATTTTTTGCATTTTAGTAGAGATGGGGTTTCACCATGTTCGCCAGGCTGGTCTTGAAGTCCTGACCTCACGTGATCCACCTACCTCGACCTCCCAAAGTGCTGGGATTACAGGCGTGAGCCACCACACCCGGCGATTTCACTTTCTGGAGGAGGCGGGATCCTTCCCTGGGTCAGGTGGTTAATTTCTCCCCTTCATAAGATCCTTCTTTAAAC
Organism: Homo sapiens; assembly: GCF_000001405.40. Classification (NCBI taxonomy): domain Eukaryota; kingdom Metazoa; phylum Chordata; class Mammalia; order Primates; family Hominidae; genus Homo; species Homo sapiens. The sequence continues at coordinate 38,654,199 of NC_000019.10, read as the reverse complement.
AGAGGCTGGAATTTAAAATGATTCTGTTTCTCTTTGATTCATTGAAAGTTACACTCCTTGATGCCTGGGATACCGAGTAAAATGTAACTCATAGACCTTCTTGAAGAAAAGTTAAGTGATACCTGGGCCACTTTCAGACACTTTATAACAAATTCTGGCGCCTAGGCTGCCAACACTGTAAAACTAAGTTTCCTTGTAACTTGCTTTGATGTTTCCAAGTTTAAACCCATTCTAAAGAAGACTAATGAGCTCTCAAACTACCCAGTGATAGAAAGACTTCTTTCAAATCTCCACGGATGACAGTATTTGTATCTGCTCAAGTAGAAGCTTCCGTCTCTCTTGTAACAGGTCAGTGCTTCAGTTACCACTGCCATTGAATTACCCACTTGCTATCACTTGCCTCTTATTTCCATAAAAAAAGAAACGGAGGAAAAAACTGTTTAAGTTTTACCTTGTTTAAAAGTAACACGAGTGCTTTTGTTATTCTGTAAACTAAATACATAAATGAAGGCAAAGGAAGGAAACTGAGGGAAGGGAACAAAATGTGAGTGATGAAAACACGGAGTTCATTAAATGAAGGAATAAAGATAAAGCCGGGGAAAACACTGCTCTAGGATATACTAAGGCAAGGGAAGAGATAAACATGTTGATATTTCAGCTATTCAGAAAACCTGAACGAGCAAGTGATACTAGAGCAAACAGCTGTTCACTAATTATATTTGCCCTTCCCTTCTGCCCTTCAAAAAAGTAAAAGCAGCAGCAAGGGAATCTTTTTTTTTTTTTTTTAAAGAACAACCCTAAGGTCTGGTCAAAGGCTTGTACAATTCCCAGCACAACATAAATCAGTGTAGCAAAAACGGAAAGTGTTCATCTCAACGGTTTCAAATTCCTTGGGCCTTCCCAAATCAATTCTTTTTTGGCTCCATTCTGTTTGCTAACTAGCACTGGCAGATAACTTGTGCTACACTCAGTTCACTCTGAAAAAGGGCGCTGTCTGGCCAAAGTCTGCCATGACTGGAGCATATGTTGAAACAGCAGAACTCCCCACCCAGGAGGCTTAGACTTAAAACTTGTCCCCGCTCCCCTCTGTCATCTGATTTTTTTTTTTTTTTTTGAGATGGAGTCTTGTTCTGTCACTCAGGCTGGAGTGCAGTAGCGCGATCTTGGCTCACTGCAACCTCCACCTCTCAGGTTCAAGCGATTCTCCTGCCTCAGCCTCCCAAGTAGCTGGGATTACAGGCACCTGCCACCATGCCCAGTTAATTTTTGTATTATTGGTAGAGACGGGGTTTCACCATGTTGGCCAGGCTGGTCTCGAACTCCTGACCTCAGGTGATCTGCCCACCTCAGCCTCCCAAAGTGCTGGGATTACAGGCGCGAGCCACTGCGCCCGGCCATAAGACCACATTTTAACTGACCTCCCTGACTGTGTCAGAGCTTAATAGCACCAGCACTACTTGGATATTCACACACCACCCTGCTTCCTCCAACACTTTCCACTGAACTTTCCCCCCCACAAGGCAGCCCACTTGGGGCCAAGCAGTCGGCTGCCGTTAAATGGAGGCTTTTAGCACCAGTTCCAACTGGAGGGTGAGTCAGCTCCCTGCCACCAAAGTAGCCTCCCTGTTGGTCTTAGAAGCCGGAACCAGGGAGGGTGTTTCAAAAGGCAGAGGGCAATCCTGGGCCCACACCCTGGATTGTTTAGGATTAGGTGAGTGGCAGGTGCCACTCCAGGGCACCAGCCAGATCTCAACTCTTAGCCAGGTGAGTGTAAGTGACCCTGCAGTCCCAGGCCATCTTCCCATACCCCACCTTTTCTTCAGTCATTAGAAGAGTCAAGTTCTAAAATACATTCTGGAGAGGATGAGGGGAGAGAACAGAGTGCTAGCAGCTGAGTGGCCTCCCCTATCCCTCTTACAAGAGGGCAAACAGAGTATACTTGCCTCTCACACATATTTACACAGTCTTTTTTCTAGATAACAGTTGAGTTTGAGTTTGGTTCCTTTTTTTTTGTCAAGTGTGTTACTCAATTTTGAAAACTGTTAGTCCTAGCCAGATCCTAAGAGGCAAGCAATTAGAGTAATGGAACAAAGTAACAGATGGCTACTTTGGGGCCTCCATTATCAGCCTTTAAAAAGAAAAAAAGATCTACTTCAAGAAAAACAAGGCAGGGCACAGTGGCTCACGCCTGTAATCCCAGCACTTTGGGAGGCCGAGGCAGGCGGATCACTTGGGGTCAGGAGTTTCAGACCAGCCTGGCCAACATGGTGAAACTCTCTGTCTCTACTAAAAACACAAAAATTAGCCAGGCACGGTAGCACACGCCTGTAGTCCCAGCTACTCAGGAGGCTGAGGCAGGAGAATTCCTTGAACCTGGAAGAGGTTGTGGTGAGCCAAGATCACACCACTGCACTCCAGCCTGGTGACAGAGTGAGGCTCTGTCTCAAAAAAAACAAAACAAAACAAAACAAAAAAAACAAATACAAAAAACAAACAAAAACTTTCAAATAGTTAACTCATACCTAATACAGCCACATGGGCAACAAGAGCAAAACTCCGTCTCCAAAAAAAAAGCCAACGGTCAGGGTTGAAACATTGAGGCCCCTGAAATAGTGATGTTTCAATGAACACGAAAACTTAGCAAGTGAGTCATTTCTTCTTGCTGTAATGAGATTTGGCATAACCTTCAAGAGATCTCACCCTTCCAGGACAACAGAGGGTGATGAGGTTACCCAGGCCACTTTTAGAAATTGGGAGAGGGAACTGTGGCCCAGAACTGTAATTGCTCAAGAATTTGCTCAAAGACCAGAACAATGCTTCTCCATCCCGCCAGGAGAACACTCATGGCCCTCTCATGTAAAAACCGTTGCATAACCTACTTACGGGTTACAGGGGTCCCTAGAAGTCAGAGCAAAGGGCTTCCAAGCAGAAGTGAGACACACGTCCCCTCTGATTTGGGCCAACTCTTGCTTAATTCCTAGAAGAATTCAATTCTACCCACTTTGAGGGCCTACAGCTGTTCTGGATGCATATTTTTTTGGAGTATGCATGTACAGAACCCCCAGGACTGTCATTCTTCCCGTGCCCAGTGGCTCAGCCTTGGAGAGGCAAGAAGGGCAATCTGTCATTCACTAAAGCAACACTGCAATGTAGAAAAAACCCAGCCAGTCTGGGTGCAGTGGCTCACTCCTGTAATCCCAGCACTTTGGGAGACCGAGGCGGGCGGATCTCCTGGGGTCGGGAGTTTGAGACCAGCCCGACCAACATGGAGAAACCCCGTCTCTACTAAAAATACAAAAAGCCAGGCGTGGTGGCGCATGCCCGTATTCCCAGCTACTCGGGAGGCTGAGGCAGGAGAATCGCTTGAACCCGGGAGACGGAGGTTGCGGTGAGCCAAGATCACGCCCGGGCAACAAGAGCAAAACTCCGTCTCCAAAAACAAACAAACAAACAAACAAACAACCCAGCCAGCCTGGGAGTGCAGGGATGTTTCTTAGTAGGAAGGTAGAGAGCCACACAGATTGGTGTATTCCTTTCCATTACTCCTTCCCCCATTTCAAAAAGAATCCCTACCCCATAACAGGAAAGGGCACAGAGGTGAAGCAGTAGTTTCCCCCACAGAGCAGCTAAGGGTAAATATTTGCTGGAGGAGGTGTAAAGCAGGAGGTACTAGAATCTGGCTCTGGCTGAGACACGAAAGCAGATGGTATTAGCGGACTCTGTGAGCCACCCTTTTCCCTCAAACCTGCCCGGCCCCAGAGGAAGGGAGCTGGGAGGTAAGAGAATGACACATGGCAGCAAGGCCTGGAGGTTCTGGGGAGTCCTGGTTTCCACCCAGGGCCTGAATGGTGCCCCAGCCTCACCCTGTAGGCAAGGGACACTATAACCACGAACAAAGCCCACACCCTAACTCTCGGGAGGGAGTGAAACCCGGCTCGCAAAAGGAGTCACTTGAGGAGTGGCAGAAGACAGGAAGGGAGAGAAAAGGAAGGTCCCCCCACCCTTATCACCTGAGAAAAAAGGGGGAGGGGTTTATTTTCTCCAGCACCTTCAGCTGCAGAAGACAAAGCCTAGACATTCTCAAAACCACCACTGTGGCCCCTGCTCCCTCCCAACTTTCCAGGTCTCTTGGCAACCTTTTCCAACCTGGCACTGCCTCAGGCAATAAATTATTGTTGAGACTCCAGAACAGATCTCACCTTCCCCTCAAAAAGTGAATTTATGCCAACTATCGCAACCTGTCCATCCTGCAGTAGGTGGGGCCACGGATAAGGACACCCCTCCCACCAAGCCACTGCCATGCCCCTCAGTTACTACGGATGAGGAAATTCAAGCAACGCTGGTAATGGACCCAAGGTTATGCCCGGCCCCACCTCAGGCTGCCTTGGAACAGCTGCTCCTTCCACCCTTCCCACCCTTTCCCCTCCAGCCTGGGCTAGGCTGCCTGTGCCAAGCTCCTGGCCACCAACTCGCGCCCTCGAGAGGCTTCCAGTCACTCCCCACTCTGCCAGGTCACCACTCAAAGCCCTGTAGCCTGTTCCTGAAAAATCTCCACCAAACTCACTCTCCCAAACCTTCAGAGCCCTGTCCAAAGTCCCAACTCTACACACATCCCTCTTTATTAACAGAATCACCGCAGGGAACCCTCGGATCCCTTTGCATTTTGCAGATAACAAAACTGCCCGGAGAGTTCAAGGGTCTTGTCCAAGGCCACAGAGCGAATCAGTAACAAATCTGGAAAGAAAATCCAGATCTCCAGATCCCACGAAATGCTTCCAACTTCAAGTACCTCCCACCCATTTCACGCACAAAACTTCTGAACAACCCCTTCCCCCCACACACACCCACTCACCACGCTCCTTTCTTTAGCTCTTCCTGCACACACTCAGAGCTCCCCCCTCAACCACACTGGATTTATCCCCCCCCCACAGACACTGACACCTCGCTCGGGGATCCCACTCCACTTCTGATCACCTTTTCACTGCTGTGGGGCCCTACCAAGTTGCCCCCCCCGCCCCCCAAAAAAACAGTGCCACCTGAACACAGTCTCTGCTTCAGGATCCCTTCACCTACCTCCGGTCTCTCCAAAAAAGACACAATTCTTCCTGGACACTCTCAACGCTTCCTCCCCAAACTCATTCTGCCTGCACGACACACACACGCTCTCCAGTCCCGGGACTGCACCTCCAGGAGCCAGCACCCCCTCCTCAAATTCCTTTCTCAGTCTATCCATTACGCATTCCCTTTCTAATGAGACTTTCATTTTCCTAAACGAACCTCTCTCCCATTATCCACCATTCCAGCTCACCCTCCCTCCCACCGATCTCACCTTCTCCCTCTACACTTCCTCATTCTCTCCAACGCTTTAGCTTTTCAGCTTCCCATCAATTCTTTAGAAATCCCTCCCCAAATTATCCCCACTCTCCGTATCCCCTCTACTTCGGCTTCTCCATCCCTCATCAATTCCTCTTATTATTCCTCCTATCTCTTAATCTTCTCCCCTTTGGAACAGGGCACCACAAATAAATCTCACCCCCTTCAAAAACGTCTGATTCACGGGCCCCTTAACTTCTTCCTTCCGCACCCCACCCTCCTCAGACCCCCAGTCCTGGCACCTCTACCCTCCTCACACCCTAAGCCCATGTCTTTTCATGCTCAATTCTACCCTTAGCCCCTGTTTTCATCTTCCCAGCCTCCCTAGTCTTCCCACCCGTCTTCAGACCCCACAATCTCCACTCCATCCTCACACTTGATTCTTCATCCCCTTTATAACTCCCCCAACCTGAGGCTCCCCCAATTCCAATCTCCTTCAGATCTTTCTGCTCTCCAAATAACCAACCCCTCCACACTCAAGCTCCTCCTCACACTTCCCAGACCCAGAAATTCCCTTCTCAGCCTCCCCTGATTCTCCTCCCAGCACCCCCAACCCATGCTCCGACCCTTCAAGCCCGCCTCGGATCCCAGTTCCATTTCAGCCTGCCCAGTCATCTCCTCGGTTTCCCCTAATGGCACGCCCAGACCCTCCAAATCCTTCATCAGCCTTCCCGATTCCTTTTATTTGACTCCCATATTCCCCACCCAGCCGCCAATTCTCTTTTCAGATTCCCAATTCCTTCCTCTAGCTCGGCGATTCCTCCTCAGGACTCCAATTCCCTTCCCGGACCCGCCAATTCCTTCTCGGGACCCCCCCGTTCCCATCACAGACGCTCCAGTTACCTTTCAGGACCTCCCACCCCTCCCCGGGCCCCCTCAGAAAAGCCCCTCCAGCCCGTCCGGCCCGCGGGCCGCGCACCTTGCGCTGCTGCTTCTCCCAGGCCGGGTCCAGCAGCAGGTCCCGGTCCCAGTCGTCCTCCTGGGCCATGTAGTCGCCCATGCTGCCCCCGCCGCCAGCGCCATTGCCCGCGCTGCTGGGGCCGTACTGGTACGACTGGTTCGCCGCGTGGTAGTCCACCATTCCGCCGCCTCTCGCTCGCCCACCAGCCTGTCCGCTCCCGCCTCAGCTCCCGCCCCTCTGCCCGAGCCGCCGCCGCTACCGCCGCTTCAGCTGCTTCAGCCCGCCCTCCGCCCGCGCCTGCGCACTGCCCGCCGCGCCTGCGCACAGCGCCGAGGTTGCCGCCCTCCCGCGCGCGCGCGCCTGCCAAACCAGAAAAGGCACCAAGGCCGCGCTCCGGAGCTTGGCGCCTGCGCAGAGTCCCGCTTCCTGGCCGCCCGACTCAGCCCGGGGGCGAGCCGCGCCCCCTCTCCGGCGTGAACGCGCGCGTCGTTCGCGTATGGGCGGGGCCAGATCATGAATGATTCATAAGGGCAGGCCCCGCCATCGGACCTGAACCAGCTCAGGCTTGGAATGCACTGCACCGGGTTCCCATTCAGCGACACAAATTCAACAAATATTTATTGAACACCTATTCTGTGCCAGACTATGTTTTACGCAGGCACTAAAAACAGAAAAAAATCCCAACTTTCATGAAACTACCTTCTAGTAAAGGAAGCCACATACACACAAATCTACTTTTATTTTTATTATTTTTTGAGACGGAGTCTCGCTCTGTCTCCCAGGCTGGAGTGCAGTGGCGCGATCTCGGCTCACTGCAACCTCCGCCTCCCGGATTCAAGCAATTCTCCTGCCTCAGCCTCCCGAGTAGCTGGGAACACAGGCATGCTCCACCACACCCGGCTAATTTTTGTATTTTTTTAGTAGAGACGGGGTTTCACCATGTTGGCCAGGCTGGTCTTGAACTCTTGAGCTCAAGCGATCCTCCCGCCTCAGCCTCCCAAAGTGCTGGAATTACAGGCGTGAGCCACCGCGCCCAACCAACACACAAATTTTTTTTTTTGAGACGGAGTTTCGCTCTTGTTGCCCAGGCTGGAGTGCAATGGCGTGATCTGGGCTCACTGCAACCTCCGCCTCCCAGGTTCAAGCTATTCTCCTGCCTCAGCCTCCCGAGTAGCTGGGATCACAGGCATGTGCCACCACTCCTGGCTAATTTTGTATTTTTAGTAGAGACGGGGTTTCTCCATGTTGGTCAGGCTGGTCTCAAACTCCCGACCTCAGGTGATCCGCCCACCTCGGCCTCCCAAAGTGCTGGGCTTACAGGCATGAGCCACTGCGCCTGGCCTCAACACTCAAAATTTTAAAAAATATGTAGACAGGCACAGGGGCTCACACCTGTAATCCCAGCACTTTGGGAAGCTGAGGCGGGAGGATGGCTTGAGCCCAAGAGTTCAAGGCCAGCCTAGGCAACATAACAAGAACCTGTCTCTACAAGAAATGTAAAAATTCACTGGGCATGGCTGTGTGCACCTGTAGTCCCAGCTACTCAGGAGGCTGAGGAAGGGACATCACTTGAGCCCAGGAGTTCCAGTCTGCAGTGAGCTGTGATCACACCAATGCACTCCAGAAGCGAAATCCTGTCTCAAAAATATACATAAAAGTAAAAAATAGGTAGTATTGTATATTCCAAGGTGTTGAGTATTTGGAGAAAAATCAAGCATGGGCTGGAATGCAAATAAACTACTCAGGTAGGCTTCATGGAGAAGGCAGACATTTAAACAAAGGTGCGAGCCACTGCATCAGGAAGCATCTTAAATTTAAATATTCAGCCAGGCACTGGTGGCTTACTCTTGCAATCCCAGCACTCTGGGGAGTCAAGGCTGGAAGAGTGCTTGAGCCCAAGAGTTTGAGGCCAGACTGGGTAACATAACAAGATCTCATCTCTACAAAAAAATGTTTACATTAAAAATAAATGGCCGGGCGCAGTGGCTCATGCCTGTAATCCCAGCACTTTGGGAGGCCGAGGCAGGCAGATCACGAGGTCAGGAGTTAGAGGCCAGCCTGGCCAACATGGTGAAACCCCGTCTCTACTAAAAATACAAAAATTAGCCGGGCTTGGTGGCATGCACCTGTAATCCCAGCTACCCAGGGGGCTGAGGTAGGGGAATCACTGGAACTCGGGAGGCAGAGGCTGCAGTAAGCCGAGATCGCGCCACTGTACTCCAGCCTGGGCGACAGAGCAAGACTCCGTCTAAAATAAAAATAAAAATAAATAAATAAATATCCGGCCAGGTGTGGTGGCTCACGCCTGTAATCCCAGCACTTTGGGGGGCCGAAGTGGGCGGATCACCCCAGGTCAGGAGTTCAAGACCAGCCGGGCCAACGACTCCGTCTCTACTAAAAATACAAAATTAGCCAGGCATAGTGGCACATGCCTGTAATCCCAGCTACTCAGGAGGCTGAGGTAGGAGAATAGCTTGAACCTGGGAGACGGAGGTTGTGGTGAGCCAAGATTGCACCATTGTACTCCAGCTTGGGCAACAAGAGCGAAACTCCATCTCAAATAATAATAATAATAAATATCCAAAATAGAGTTCCTGATCTTCCCCCCAAGCTTGGTCATCCCATCCCACAGTCATCCCTCTTCAATTCGTGCACCTCCAGCCTTGCAGTTGCTGAGGCTACAGACCTTGCGGTCATCCTTAATGCCTCTTTGTCTTCACAACCCCATCCAGTTCTTCAGGAAATTCTGTCATTCCATCTTGAAAGAATACACAGAACCCACCCACTTCCCCCTGCCCCACTGCGCCACCCAGGTTCTGTCTACCCTCGCCTCGCCTTCCCTTGGGCCATTGCAGCAGTTCCCCACTGTCTCCCAGCTCCCCCTCCCACCCCCTTCTCTTTCCCAGGAGAAGCTGGAGGGAGCCTGTGAATGAATGACTGAGTCAGATCACATTCCTCCCTCCTCTGTTCAAACCTTCCTGTGGCTCCACGCTCAGGGTAACAGTCAAAGTCAAGGAAAGGAAGAAAGGCTGCAGAGGAGTCTGCCCTGCCCTGCCTTGCCCAGCCCAGCCCAGCCCAGCCCAGTGTTTTTTTCCTTTTTTTTTTTTTATTGGAGGTGGAGTCTCGCCCTGTCACCCAGACCAGAGTGTAGTGGCATGATCTCGGCTCACTGCAACCTCCGCATCCCGAGTTCAAGCGATTCTCCTGTCTCAGCCTCCAGAGTAGCTGGGATTACAGGCATATGCCACCATGCCCGGCTAATTTTTATATTTTTAGTAAAGAGGGGTTTTGCCATGTTGGCCAGGCTGGTCTTGAACTCCTGAGCTCAGGTGATCTGCCTGCCTCAGCCTCCCAAAGTGCAGGGATTACGGGCATGAGCCACTCTACCCGGCCAGCCCAGTGTTTTAGTTTTTTGTTTTTGGAGACAGGGTTCTCAATATTTTGCCCAAGTTGAGCTCAGACTCTTGATTCTCCTACCTCAGCCTTCTGAGTAGCTGCGACTGTGAACACGTACCACCACATCCAGCTCAGCCAAGTTTTGTTGATATTGTTCTTGGTGCTGGTGGTGGTGATGGTGTTTGACACAGCAACTCGCTATGTCACCAGGCTGAAGTACAGTGACACCGTTCCAGTTCACTGCAGCCTCAAATTCCTGGGCCCAAATGATCCTCCTGCTTTAGCCTCCCAAGTAGCTGGGACTGCAGGTGCACCCCACCACGCCTGGCTAATTTCTATTTTTTTTTGAGACGGAGTCTCACTCTGTCGCCCAGGCTGGAGTGCAGTGGCACGGTCTTGGCTCACTGCAAGCTCCGCCTCCCTGGTTCACGCCATTCTCATGCCTCAGCCTCCCAAGTAGCTGGGACTACAGGCACCTGCCACCATGCCCAGCTAATTTTTTGTATATTTAGTAGAGACGGGGTTTCACCGTATTAGCCAGGATGGTCTTGATCTCCTGACTTTGTGATCCGCCCACCTCGGCCTCCTAAAGTGCTGGGATTACAGGCGTGAGCCACTGTGCCCGGCAATTGCTAAATTTTTTGTAGAGACAAGTGGTGGGGGTGAGGGGAGTGTGTGGGGGTGGTCTCGCTAGGTTGCTTAGGCTGGCCTGGAACTCCTGGCCTCAAGTGATCCTCCTACCTCAGGGAATGCTGGGATTACAGGCTGGGATTATGTGTGAGCCACCCAAGCCCTGCCTCAACCTAGTTTATGAAACAGTTTAGAGTCAGCTAGCATGGTGGCTCACACCTGTAATCCCAGCACTTTGGGAGGCTGAGGCGGGCAGATCACTTGACACCAGGAGTTTGAGAACAGCCTGGACGACATAATGAAATCCCGTCTTTACTAAAAATACAAAAATTAGCCGGGTGTGGAGGTGCACGCCTATAATCCCAACTACTCGGGTGGCTGAGGCAGGAGAATTGCTTGAACCTGGGAGGTGGAGGTTACAATGAGCTGAGATCACGGCACTGCACTCCAGCCTGGGTGACAGAGCAAGACTGTCTCAAAAAAAAAAAAAGCCTTCGAGTACCCCCCACCTTGCTGTCCCTCAAGCACACCAGGTGCCAAACTCAGCCTCTGATGAGGCCTTTGTACTTGTGAGGTGGAGTCACGACTCCCAGGAACACTTTCCCCAGACACTGAGTCCCTAGGGCTCACAGCCCCATTTCCTATAGGTCTCTGTGGAAATACCACATCCTCAGTGAGACTTTCCCGGATCACCTGATTTAAAATATCATCCCATCGGGCATGGGATGTTCAAGGCCAGCCTGGCAAACATGGTGAAACCCTGTCTCTACAAAAAATACAAAAGATTAGCCAAGTGTGGTGTTGCATGCCAGTGGTCCCAGCTACCTGGAGGGCTGAGGCAGGAGGATCACTTGAGCCCAGGAGGTCGAGGTTGCAGTGAGCTGAGATCGCACCACTGCACTTCAGCCTGGGTGACAAAGTGAGAACCTGTCTCAAAAATATAAATAAAATAAAATATTGCCAGGTGCGGTGGCTCACGCCTGTAATCTCAGCACTTCCGGAGGCCGAGGCAGGCGGATCACAAGGTCAGGAGATCGAGACCATCCTGGCTAACATGGTAAAACCCCGTTTCTACTAAAAATACAAAAAATTAGCTGGGTGTGGTGTCACGCGCCTGTAGTCCCAGCTACTCAGGAGGCTGAGGCAGGAGAATCACTTGAACCCAGGGGGCAGAAGTTGCGGTGAGCTGAGATCGCACCACTGCACTCCAGCCTGGGCAACAGAGGGAGACTCTGTCTCAAAAAAAAAAAAAAAAAAAAAAAAAACCAACCACCATGGTTTATGGTTTCTCCAGCTATGGGAGTTGCAAGGATCCTTCTCTGCTTCTCTGCCTCTGCCAAAGGAACGCGAAGGGATGGATCCAGTGACAGCAGAGGAAGGGGACGAGGCCCAGGCAGCAGCCCGATGTCCTAGGAGATGCCAGGACCTGGCCAAAGACCCCCAGGCGTGTTGGCTGTTTCCAGAGCTGGGCTGGAGTGGGGCAGGGCAGGGCGGTCTCCTCCAGCCTGACTTGAAGAACTAGCTCAGGACTCTTATGCATGGTCTGGCCTGGGGGAAAAACTCCTCAGGGGATGGGCCATCTGCCCCTCGCTGCAGCTCCTGGTGGACTCTGAGAAACCGTCCAGACCAAGTGCTCCCAGATGGAGGCGACAGCCCCAGCCATTGAAGTTTAAATTAAAGCCTCCCTTTAATTGTCAGCCTTGAGGCTACTTCCTGGCAGCCATCTATGGGCAGTGTAGTAATAATAGCTGATGTGTCTATTGATGTCCAAGGGACCAGGAGGGGCTCTGAGAGAAGGGGTATGGCCAGTGGGCCCTACAGGCGTTTTTAGGTTTACCATTGAACCCGTGAGACCTCAGTCAGAATTTATTAAATGCTGTATCCCATTGTTAACACTACTTCAGGGAAGGCAACTAGAGAGGGTGTGTCCTCACAGGGCGGGGACATGAACAAATACTGCAATGTCTAGAGATGTCTCAGGAAGCAGCTGGAGCAGCAGCCCTGAACCCCAAGTGAGCATGACAAGCACCCACCAGGATGGAATTTGGAGACAGAACCAATTTGAGTTTCTTTTATTTTTATTTATTTATTTATTTATTTTGAGATGGAGTCTCGCTCTGTCACCCAGGCTGGAGTGCAGTGGCACAATCTTGGCTCACTGCAACCTCCACCTCCCGGGTTCAAGCAATTCTCCCACCTCAAGTGTCCTGAGTAGCTGGGATTACAGGCACGCGCCACCAGGCCTGGCTATTTTTTTTTTTTTTAAGACAGAGTTTCGCTCTTGTTGCCCAGGCTGGAGTGCAATGGCGCGATCTCGGCTCACCCCAACCTCCACCTCCCAGGCTCAAGTGATTCTCCTGCCTCAGCCTCCCGAGTAGCTGGGATTACAGGCGTGCGCCACCACGCCTGGTTAATTTTGTATTTTTAGTAGAGACGGGGTTTCTCCATGTTGGTTAGGCTGATCTTGAACTCCTGACCTCAGTTGATCCATCCGCCTCGGCCTCCCAAAGTGCTGGGATTACGGGCATGAGCCACTGCGCCCCGGCTATTTTTTAATTTATTATTTATTTATTTATTATTAGTTTTTGAGACGGAGTCTCACTCTGTTGCCCAGGCTGGAGTGCAATGGCATGATCTTGGCTCACTGCAACCTCTGCCTCCCGGGTTCAAGCGATTCTCTTGTCTCAGCCTCCCGAATAGCTGAGACTACAGGCATGCGCCACCACACACAGCTAATTTTTGTGTTTTTTAGTAGAGATGGGGTTTCACTATATTGGACAGGCTGGTCTTGAACTCCTGACCTCATGATCCGCCCACTTCAGCCTCCCAAAGTGCTGGGATTATAGGAGTGAGACACCACGCCCAGCTTATTTTTTTGAGACAAGGTCTCACTCTGTCGTCCAGGCTGAAGTGCAATGGCGTGATCTCAGCTCACTGCAACCTCCACCTCCCTGGTTCAAGCTATTCTCCTGCCTCAGCCTCCTGAGTAGCTGGGATTACAGGCACCCGCCACCAAGCCCAGCTAATTTTTGTATTTTTAGTAGAGGTGGGGTTTCACCACGTTGGCCAGGCTGGTCTCGAACTCCTGGCCTCAGATGATCCACGCGCCTTGGCCTCCAAAGTGCTGAGATTACAGGCGTGAGCCACTGCACCCACCAAGCTGTTCTAAACTCTTTGCAGGCATTAACTACTGACGTGGGTACAATTACTACTTTCCCCAGCTGTAAAACAGGTACAGAGAAGACAACTCACATACCCTGAGGCGGCTGGGCTGGGGAGTGAACTCAGGCAGTTTTTCTCCAGAGCCACCTCCTAGCTGTTCGGAGTATGAATGACCCTCTGATAGTGAAAGCAGCCCAGTGAGGCAGGATGAGATGTGGCTCCCAGAGGAGGGGAAAAAGGTCATTTCCTCTTCCCTTGCAGAGCAGCCATGGCCAATTGTGCAGGTTGTATCCTGCATAAGGGCACCTGCCAAGTGGGTAACTGGGAGTTGTCCCCACCCAGAAGGGGTGCCTTTTGCTAATGTGCCCAAGTTCATGGGTGGTAGAGGCATCCCAGTCCTTTTTATTATTATTTTTTTGAGGCAGTTTCGCTCTTGTTGCCCAGGCTGGAGTGCAATGGCGCGATCTCGGGTCACTGCAACTTCTGCCTCCCGGGTTCAAGCGATTCTCCTGCCTCACCCTCCCAAGTAGCTGGGAATACAGGCGCCCGCCACCACGCCCGGCTAATTTTGTATTTTTAGTAGAGACGGGGTTTCACCATGTTGGTCAGGCTGTTCTCAAACTCCTGACCTCAGGTGATCTGCCTACCTCGGCCTCCCAAAGTGCTGGGATTACAGGCATGAGCCACTGTGCCAGGCCTCCCAGTCCTTTTTATCCCAGTGAGCTGCAGAGGCACACTTTTGTTCAGTCCCCAGGATTTAGGCACTCCCTGGCTACTGGGGCCCTGCTGAGGTCTGGGCCCCAGGGCAAGGGGTGTCTGCTCCCACAGGCAGGGCCCTCTGAGGAATGCTGGCTGTGAGTGCACACAGGGAGGTCAGGCCGGCTGGCAGCTTGGGTACCACAGCTGCCCTCTCCAAGGCAACGCTTATGCACACCAGCATCCATCAATAAATCACCAAGGGGCAGCTGCCAGTCTACTCTAAGTAATGAACATCTATTAGGGCATTTCTTTTCCTTTTTTGGAGACAGGGTCTTGCTGTCACCTGGGCTGGTGTGCAGTGGTGCAATCATAGCTCATTGCAGCCTCAAACTCCTGGGTAGCCAGGACTACAGGCACATACCACTGTGCCTGGCTAATTTTTACTTACTTACTTTTTTTTTTTAATTTATTTTTTTGAGACGGAGTCTAGCTCTGTCGCCCAGGCTGGAGTGCAGTGGTGCGATCTCAGCTCACTGCAAGCTCCGCCTCCCGGGTTCATGCCATTCTCCTGCCTCAGCCTCCAGAGTAGCTGGGACTACAGGCGCCTGCCTAATTTTTTTGTAGTTTTAGTAGAGACGGGGTTTCACCGTGTTAGCTAGGATGGTCTCGATCTCCTGACCTCGTGATCTGCCCACTTCGGCCTCCCAAAGTGCTGGGATTACAGGCGTGAGCCACCGCGCCTGGCCAACTTACTTATTTTTGAGACAGGGTCTCACTCTGTTACCCAGGCTGGAGTGCAGTGACGCCATCTTGGCTCACTGCAACCTCTGCCTCCCAGGCTCAAGTGATCCTCCCACCTTAGCCTCCAGAGTAGCTGGGATTACATGTGTGTACCACCATGCCTGGCTATTTTCTTTTGTAGTTTTTTGTAGAGACAGGGTTTCACCATGTTGCCCAGACTCGCCTCGAACTCCTGAGGTCAAGCAATCCATCTGCCTTGGCTTCCCAGTGTTGGGATTACAGGCGTGAGCCACTGTGCCTGGCCAGGCCCAGTTAATTTTAAAACTTTTATAGGAACAGGGTCTCGCTTTGTTGACCTGGTCTCGAACTCCTGGCTTTCAGCAATCCTCCTGCTGCAGCCTCCCACTGTTGGAATTACATGCATGGACCGCCATGCCCAACCTGAGCTAATTTTTACTTTTGCGTAGAGGGATTCCAGTCATCCTCCTCCCTTAGCCTCCCAAAGTGCTGGGATTACAGGCATAAACCAGCCTCTACTGGGTCTTTTTAATTCCTGCATTCCCCCAACCCCCTAGCCCTCCAGGCAATATGCTCACAGGGGAAAAGCACTGCCTAAGGGCCACTGGGAGTGCCCCAAATTCCTCAGGTAAGAAGGGAATGAACATGTAAGGTGAGTCAGGTCTCCTGTCAGGTAACACTAACCAGGGGAGCGGCATGCGACTTGGAAAGAATGGTGTGGCTGAAGGAGCTGTCTACCTATGACACCTTGAGAGGAAAAAATATATATATACTAATTTTCTCATGAAGTCTCTCCATACAGAATAGTACTGAGGACTAGCTTGCAACCTTGGTGACAAACACTTCTGAGCCTGAAATTAACAATGGCTTATATTTTCTTTTTTGAGACAGGGTCTGTCACCCAAGCTGGAGTGCAGTGGTGTGATCACAGCTCACTGCAGCCTTGACCTCCTGGGCTCAGGTGATTTGCCGACCTCAGCCTCCTAAATAGCTGGGACTACAGACACGCGCCACCATGCCTAGCTATTTAAAATAAACTTTTTGGTCAGGCGCGGTGGCTCACGTGTGTATTCCTAGCACTTTGGGAGGTCGAAGCAGGGAGACTGCCTGAGCCCAAGAGTTCGAGACCAGCCTGGGCAACACGATGAAACCCCATCTCTACTAAAATACAAAAAAATTAGCCGGGCGTGGAGGTGTGTGCCTGTAGTCCCAGTTACTTGGGAGGCTGAGGCAGAAGAATTGCTTCAACCTGGGAGGCAAAGGTTGCAGTGAGCTGAGATCGCGCCACTGCACTCCAGCCTGGGCGACAGAGTGAGACTCTGTCTCTAAAAAAAAAAAAAAGAAAAAGAAAAAGAAAAAAAAAAAATATATATATATATATATATATATATATTGAGACGGAGTCCCACTCTGTCGCCCAGGCTGGTCTCAAACTCTGGCCAAGCAATCCTCCTGCTTTGGCCTCCTAAAGTGTTGGGATTACAGGCGTGAACCACTGCACCCGGCCTGTGGCTCACATTTTCTAAGAGCAAGGACAGGACAGGACAGGCCCCAATCTCAGGCCTTTACTGGCAAGGGCCGGAGAAACCCTCACAGGTTTCAGAAGGGTGCATTATTCTTCCCCTTCTGCAGATGAAGAAACTGAGAATTAGAGAGGCACAATCCCGGCTGGGCGCGGTGGCTCACGCCTGTAATCCCAGTACTTTGGGAGGCCGAGGCAGGCAGATTACAAGGTCAGGAGATCAAGACCATCCTGGCTAACACGGTGAAACCCTGTCTACTAAAAATACAAGAAATTGGCCGAGCATGGTGGCGGGCGCCTGTAGTCCCAGCTACTCTGGAGGCTGAGGCAGGAGAATGGCATAAACCCGGGAGGTGGAGCGTGCAGTGAGCCGAGATCGCGCGACTGCACTCCAGCCTGGGCGACAGAGCGAGACTTCGTCTAAAAAAAAAAGAGGCACAGTCCCTTGACCAAGGTCACAAAGCAAGAGCCACCATCAAGACAGAGGGAAACTTCACCTTCACTCCTCCCAGAGGTGCTCAGCCTCCACCACAGGGCTGGGCTGCCACATCCCATTCATACTCCCTCCTCCTTGCTGACTCAATGCTGCCCTCCCCACCCAAGACCTAAAAGGTCAGGAAGGTAGGGTGGGGCAAGGGAGGAAGTCGAAGCAGGGGAAAAAGGAGGCGGAAACCCCGCCATGGGGTGTGGTGTGGTGGGGGCTGGGGGTACGGTGCGGGGGCCAACCCAGAGCAGAGGCCTGCTCCTGAGCTCCCTCTGGTGGGCAAGGGGCAGAGGCAGGAAGCCAGGGAGGAGACAGTAGGGCTGAGTCAACACATCTTTATTAAACACCTGAAGTTACTGGGAGGAGGCCATGATGCTGGACACACCTGTGGGGAAGGAGAGACCAGACTGAAGGTGAGAAGGGCGGGAGACAAACCTCCAGCCACCTGCTACAGCACCCACAATTCTTTAGGGGGAGATCATAAACTCCTTCCAGGCCCCAGTTACCATCACAAAGGCAGTTTGGTGCAGTATTTTAAAAAGATGGACTCTGGAGCAAGGAGGGCTAGGTTCAAATCCCAGCTCTGCCAATTAACAGCTGGGTCACTTGGACAAGTTACTGAACATCTCTGAGCATCACCTACCTTCCTATCTTTAAGAAGCACCTACCTTATAGGATTGTAGGACCAAACGAGGTGCTTAGAACAAAGTGCCAAGGAAGTGTTGTTTGTAATTACCTACATGATAATATTTACTAGGTACTATTTGCAGGATACTCTTAAGTTTTTTTTTGAGACACAGTCTCATTCTGTTGCCCAGGCTGTAGTGCAGTGGAGCGATCTTGGCTCACTGCAACCTCCACCTTCCGGGTTCAAGTGATTCTCCTGCCTCAGCCTCCTGAGTATTTTGAACCTATCCTGTTTGACCCAGGACACAGAGCAATGGAGCCAGAACTGAGACAGAGGGAACCCTCCCGTCTACTCCCCCGGCAGGGCTGGGCTCCTACTTCCCTGAGATTCACACCTTCCTCCTCCTTTTCCTTGTTGACTCAGCACTGCCCTCTCCACCTGTGACCTAAAAGGTCAGGAAGGTGGGGTGGGGCAACAGAAGCCAAAGGGGAGAAGAAAGGAGGCCCTTTCCTCACTACAGAATCTTTTGCTGGAGTTCTCACTGAGAACCCCGACACAGCAGTCACGCGGCGTTTAGAGGTGAGATACCACGGGCTGCAAGTGCGCAGATGGCTGCCTGCTCAATGCTGTTCCCCAGTTAAGTACAAAATTAGCTGGTTTGTGTTAAGAAACCACGTTGTACCAAACACATCTTTAAAACACCTGAATCACACTCAAGCGGGTGGGGGAGACCCGGGATGAAGGCAGCAGCCCGCCTGTGCCTTTCTCCCTGGCTCCAGGACATCTGCTCAGTGCCATGATGAGCGGCAGTGAAGCAGCACCCGCTGCCGGAGTAGCCACTGCAATCTTTTTAGTTGAGCAAGCAGTTGAGCCTGTGTTAGTTACATGTGTGTAGACGATGGTCATAATGAACATTTAATGAACTGTGTGGTCACTTAGCTCTTTGCTAAGTGTTATACATGCATTCACACTTATGATGCCATGAGGTAGGTATGATACTATTTATATCATTTAGCAACTGAGGATCAAATGATGTAAGTGTAAGGACCTACACAGTGTTTATCATAGTTACTGTTGCAGTCGTCCCCATTTTTTAGATGAGAAAACTGAGGCACAAAAATGTGGAATCACCCAAACTAGAGAATCAAGATTCCTACTGTTCACCGGATTCCAAGTCTGCACATGAGGCTTGGGCACCCCAAGAATAAAAGATGGCCAACGAGACAGGCCTCAGGGACAAATAAGGGTGCAGAGACCCCCTGTGAGGCCCCGCTGGGCCCCAGGAAGTCTTGCTGAGTGCTATGGGGCAGGACACAGGGCCTAGAAGTTCCAGGGAAGATCACCCAGCTCCCCGCTATTCCTCCTGGGCGGGAGCCCCAAGACACAAGGTGAATGGAATCTGGCAGGTGCAGACTTCCCAGCCCAGAACACGAGCAGATCTACCCAGGTCCTCTGGGCCCCTGCCTCGGCCTCCCTTGAGGGGCACCCCCTTAGCCCCAAAGCCCGAGGCCGTGGGTCACCACTCACTGTCAAAGTCAATCTTCTCCACAATGTTCTTGGGTTTAATGCTCTCTTCTTGGCTACAGATGAAGATCTGCCCCGACTCGTCGGCACTCCAGCCGTATTTGCTCATCCACACCTTTAGCTGGCTGTCTGCAGGTGACAGGGGCAGCAAGGGGCTTCAGTCAGCCTGATCCCACAGTTCCAGGGGACTGAGAGGCAACAGAGTCATGGCTCAGGAAGCCAGGGCAGCCCCCCTTGCCCACTGACATCTCCTGGACAGCAGCAGCTGGCCTGGTCTCCTTGCTTCCGCCCCTGCCCTTCCACGGGTCATTCTCTGAATGGCCGCCAGAGGGAGCCTGTGAGCTCTTTCAGCCTCATCGTGGGGCTTCTGCCTTAATTTCTATTCCTCTGTTTTCTCTCCCTGGGCAAATTTTGGTTCCTAACAAGAGCAGCGTATTTATCTACCTTTTCCCACAACCTATATGAAACGGTTGCAAAATTATAACATGACCATTACCAGAAACAATACACTTTTTTTTTTTTGAGACGGAGTTTTTGCTCTTGTTGCTCAGGCTGGAGTGCAATGGCGCAATCTCGGCTCACTGCAACCTCCACCTCCCAGGTTCAAGCAATTCTCCTGCCTCAGCCTCCCGAGTAGCTGGGATTATAGGCATGCGCCACCACGCCTGGCTAATTTTGTATTTTTAGTAGAGATGGGGTTTCTCCATGTTGGTCAGGCTGGTCTCGAACTCCCGACCTCAGGTGATCCGCCCACCTTGGCCTCCCAAAGTGCTGGGATTACAGGTGTGAGCCACCGTGCCAAGTCCTGGCCAACGTGGTGAAACCCCATCTCTGCTAAAAAAAAAAAAAAAAAAAAAATTAGCTGGGCGAGGTGGCAGAGGCCTATAGTCTCAGCTATTTGGAAGGCTGAGGCAGGAGAATTGTTTGAAACCAGGAGGAGGTTGCAGTGAGCCGAGATTATGCCACTGCATTCCAGCCTGGGTGACAGAGCCAGACTCCACCTCAAAAAAAAAAAAAAAAAAAAAAAAAAAGTTAGCTTTTACTTGGCTGGATGCAGCGGCTCACGCCTGTAATCCCAGTACTTTGGGAGGCCAAGGTGGGCAGATCACTTGAGGTCAGGAGTTCAAGACCAGCCTGGCCAACATGGTCAAACTCCTTCTCTACTAAAAGTGCCCAGAGTGGAATGCAGTGGTGTGATCTTGGCTCACTGCAACCTCTGCTCCTGGGCTCAAGCGGTTCTCCTGCCTCAGCCTCCCGAATAGCTGGGATTACAGGCACATGCCAACACGTCCAGCTAATTTTTGTATTTTTAGTAGAGACGGGGTTTCCCCATGTTGGCCAGGCTGGTCTCGAACTCCTGACCTCACGTGATCTGCCTCCCTCACTGGTATGAGCCATCACACGTGGC
The DNA here is from genome assembly GCF_000001405.40 of Homo sapiens. NCBI lineage: Eukaryota > Metazoa > Chordata > Mammalia > Primates > Hominidae > Homo > Homo sapiens. Next base: position 38,633,713 of record NC_000019.10, on the reverse strand, counting down.
CTTCCTTAGTTTCTTTTTTTTTTTAGATGGAGTTTCGATCTTATCACTAGTGCAATGGTGCGATCTCAGCTCACTGCAACCTCCGCCTCCTGCGTTGAAGCAATTCTCCTGCCTCAGCCTCCCAAGTAGCTGGGATTACAGGTGCACGCCACCACACCCAGCAATTTTTTGTATTTTTAGTAGAGAGGGGGTTTTACCATGTTGGGCAGGCTGGTCTCGAACTCCTGACCACAGATGATCCGCCCACCTCGGCCTCCCAAAGTGCTGGATTACAGGCGGGAGCCACCGCACCCGGCCTTCCTTAGTTTCTTGACTTCCTTTTCTACGTTTCTTTTTACAAAAGTAAGCAAATAAGTTATTTTTTCTTTTTTTGTTCTTGGGGGGATCTTTAAAAAATATCCATCTGATCAGAGCCCTACCCTGCTCAGAGCCCTCCGGTGGCTCCTTCTCAGTCAGGGGAAAGGACAAGGTCCTCCCGAGGCCCCACATGACCTGGAAATGCCCCTCCAACCCCCAGCTCTCTACTTTCGCCCATGCTTACTCTGCTCTGGCCACATACACCCTGGCTACCCATGAACGTTACAAGTCAGGGCCCTGCTCTACTATCCTCCTCTGCACTACCTCAGGCCACGGGCCTCTCTCTACGGAGGTAAGGGCTCAGATGCCGCTGGTCTGTGAGCTGTCTTGCTTTCCTTCATGACAGGAATCACCACTGGACACCTCCATGTCGCCATGTGCTTTGCTACCTCCATGAGAATGAATTGGAGCCATCCCACTTTGTTTACTGCTGCACGCCCAGTTTAGCACACTGACACACGGTAGGCACTCAATTAATGCAAAATAAATGAGCAAATGGCATAGGATCTCCCTCAAGGCAGAGACTGTCTTATACCAAGTTCTTATTTCCTCCTTGGGCTGGGCCTTCCATGCTGACCTGATGAGACCCAGACAGGCCTGTTGGAGGAGCTGACTGAGGTCCACTGCCCTAGCCACCCCCAACCTCCCAGATGTGCACCAGGACCCAGAGGGCGTTACCCGACAGATCCCCGAGCATCTCGGCCAGCAGCCAGCGGTCAATGTGCTGGTAAGTGATACCCACAACATGGCAGATAACTGTGGAGGTCAGAGACAAAACCGGTGAGCAGCTGTCCCCCCGGACCTGGCTGCCACTCCCTACCCCTTCCCCTTGGGGAGCCCAGCCTCAGAGAGGGACTTACACTTTCGGACAGAGTCTTCAAAGCCAGTTATACCTTCCAAGAGGTCCATGTTTTCATCCAGGGCTTGCTGTGATGGGAATTGATGTTCACAATGTTTATTCTTTTAAATTATTTGCTTTTATTTTTATTTATTTATAGAGATGGGGTCTCACTACGTTGCCCAGGCTGGTCTTGAATTTCTGGGCTCAAGTGATCTTCCTGCCTCAGCCCCCCAAAGTGCTAAGATTTTGTTGCTGCTGTTGTTACATAGACGAGGTCTCACTATATTGCCCAGGCTGATCTCAAACTCCTGGGCTCAAGTGATCTGCCCACGCTGGCCTCTCAAAGCGTTGGGATTACAGGGGTGAGCCACCACTCCCAGCCTACACTGGTAATCTTACCTATCAACAACGTTCTTATCAGTAATGTGTGGGGAAAAGAAAGATCAGATTGTTACTGTGTCTGTGTAGAAAGAAGTAGACACAGGAGACTCCATTTTATTCTGTACTAAGAAAAATTCTTCTGCCTTGAGATGCTGTTAATCTGTAACCTTACCCCGTGCTCCCTGAGACATGTGCTGGGTCAACTCAGGGTTAAATGGATTAAGGGCGGTGCAGGATGTGCTTTGTTAAACAGATGCTTGAAGGCAGCATGCTCCTTGAGAGTCATCACCACTCCCTAATCTCAAGTACCCAGGGACACAAACACTGCGGAAGACCGCAGGGACCTCTGCCTAGGAAAGCCAGGTATTGTCCAAGGTTTCTCCCCATGTGATAGTCTGAAATATGGCCTCGTGGGAAGGGAAAGACCTGACAGTCCCCCAGCCCGACACCCGTAAAGGGTCTGTGCTGAGGAGGATTAGTAAAAGAGGAAGGAACGCCTCTTTGCAGTTGAGACAAGAGGAAGGCATCTGTCTCCTGCCCGTCCCTGGGCAATGGAATGTCTCGTGTAAAACCCGATTGTATGTTCCATCTACTGAGATAGGGGGAAACCGCCTTAGGGCTGGAGGTGGGACACGCGGGCAGCAATATTGCTCTTCAAGGCATTGAGATGTTTATGTGTATGCACATCAAAAGCAAAGCACTTAATTCTTTACCTTGTTTATGATGCAGAGACCTTTGTTCACGTGTTTACCTGCTGACCTTCTCTCCACTATTATCCTATGACCCTGCCACATCCCCCTCTCCGAGAAACACCCAATAATGATCAATAAATACTAAGGGAACTCAGAGGCCGGTGGGATCCTCCGTGTGCTGAACGCGGTCCCCTGGGCCCCCTTTTCTCTTTCTCTATACTTTGTCTCTATGTCTCTTTTCCAAGTCTCTCATTCCACCTAACGAGAAACACTCCCAGGTGTGGAGGGGCAACCCACCCCTTCAGTAATGTTAACAAGAATAGCAGCTACCAGGCCATGTGTGGTGGCTCACACCTATAATCCCAGCACTTTGGGAGGCTGAGGTGGGTGGATCACTTGAGGTCAGGAGTTCGAGACTACCCTGGCCAACAGGGTGAAACCCTGTCTCTACTAAAAATAAAGAAATCAGCCAGGCACAGTGGCTCATGCCTGTAATCCCAGCACTTTGGGAGGCTGAGGCGGGCGGATCACCTGAGGTCGGGAGTTCGAGACCAGCCTGACCAACATGGAGAAACCCTGACTCTACTAAAATTACAAAATTAGCAGGGCGTGGTGGCACATTCCTGTAATCCCAACTACTGAGGAGGCTGAAGCAGGAGAATCGCTTGAACCCAGGAGATGGAGGTTGTGGTGAGCCGAGATCACACCATTGCATTCCAGACTGGGCGACAGAGGGAGGCTCTGTCTCAAAACAAAACAAAACAAAAAACAACAAACAAACAAAAAACAGAAATTAGGCTGGCTGGGCGTGGTGGCTCAAACCTGTAATCCCAGCACTTGGGGAGGCTGAGACGGGCGATCGTGAGGTCAGGAGATCGAGACCATCCCGGCTAACATGGTGAAACCTCGTCTCTACTAAAAATACAAAAAATTAGCCAGGTGTGGTGGCATGTGCCTGCAGACCCAGCTACTCGGGATGCTGAGGCAGAAGAATCACTTGAACCCAGGAGGCAGAGGTTGCAGTGAGCTGAGATTGTGCCACTGAACTCCAGCCTGGGCGACAGCGCGAGACTCCATCTCAAAAAAAAAAAAAAATAAATAAATAAATAAATAATTAAACCGGGTGTGGTGGTGGATGCCTGAAATCTGTAATCCCAGCCACTTGGGAAGATGAGGCAGAAGAATCACTTGAACCTGGGAGGCAGAGGTTGCAGCGAGCCAAGATCATATCACTGCACTCTAGCCTGGGCGACAGAGCCATACTCCATTTCAGAAAAAAAAAAAAAGCAGCTACCACTTTGAGCACTGACCCCACATGCTATAGCCATTCTTCTAAGTGTAGCCATGTGATGTAAGTTATATCCATTTTAGAGATGAGGAGACCAGGGCAGCTACATGATTTTCCAAAAATCCTGGAGGTGAGGCTTGAACCTGGCAGGCAGAAACCAGAGCCCTGAGAAAGGGGGCAGACACATATTGGCTAAGTGTATTCAGCCACCTCCCCTTGCTTCTGTCTCACTCAGAGAAAAGGCCAATTTTCCTACCATAGCCCATTAGGCCACACAGAATCTGCCTGTCACCTCTGTGCCCTCACCTCCACCTACTCGCTACTCACTCACCCTGCTCCAGCCACAGGGGCTTCCCTGCTGCTCCCCAAACCCGCCAGACACCCGCCTACCTCAGGGCCTGTGTATGGAATTCTCCTCCATGGCTACCACCCTCACCTCCTTCAGATTTCTGCTCAAAGGTTAGGTCTGTGGTATAGGTTCTCTCCAACAAAAGGGAGGGAATCCCCCACATGGATGCCGGGAAGGTGTAGCCAGTGAGGTGGGCAGAAATCCAGATTTGTGGCCGGGCGTGGTGGCTCAACCTGTAATCCCAGCACTTTGGGAGGCGAGGCAGGAGGATCACTTGAGGCCAGAAGTTCAAGACCAGCCTGGTCAACATGGCGAAATCCAACCTCTACTACAAATAGAAAAATTAGCCAGGCGTGTTGGCGTGGGCCTGTTAGTCCCAGCTACTCAGGAGGCTGAAGTGCGGGGATCACTTGAGCCTGGGAGGTCAAAGCTGCAGTGAGCTGTGTTTGCATCACTGCACTGCGGCCTGGGCGACAGAGTGAGACCCTGTCTCAAAAAACAAAACAAAACAAAACAAAACAAAACAAAACAAAACAAACAAACAAAAAAAACCTGTCTATCTGTTCCATGGAATAGGTCTAAGATCTCCAACACATCTCATTTGCTAGTTTGCTAGTGAGAACAGTTGTAGAACTAGTAAACTCTATTATTTTAAGCATTTGATCATTTTCTTTGTGGGATTAACTGAAGCTAATCAATAATTTCTTACTTGAATAAAAAATAAAATGTTTAAGAATTAAAAAAAAAAGTGTGCAGTCAGCTGCACATAAAATGTCAGGGTCTGGGATAGGAACAGGTGCAATTTCTACAGTGGCTGCTTCCATTTTCTCCCGAGACAAGAAGCCAGATCATAAGTTGAGGTGAGAAGAAAGGGAGACAGATAAAGCATGAGGAAACATCCAGGAGTTGGGGAAGGAAGCAAGACCGTAGCTGCAGCTGGGGACAGGGGAGTCACATGCGACATTTTTTCTCTTTTTTTTTTTTGAGATGGAGTTTCGCTCTTTTTCAGACTGGAGTGCAATGGCATGATCTCGGCTCACCGCAATCTCCGCCTCCCAGGTTCAAGCAATTCTCCTGCCTCAGCCTCCCGAGTAGCTGGGATTACAGGCATGCGCCACCACGCCCGGCCAACTTTGTATTTTTAGTAGAGATGGGGTTTCTCCACGTTGGTCAGGCTGGTCTCGAACTCCTGACCTCAGGCGATCCATCCACCTCGGCCTCCCAAAGTGCTGGGATTACAGGTGTGAGCCACCATGCCCAGCCAGCACATGCGATTTAAGAGAAGGAAGCGGAACAGAGAAGCCTGCAGAGAAAGAGGGTTGGAGCTAATGGTCAGGCCCAAGAATGTGGGGATGGAGACCCTGTGGGGGTGAGCTGAGAAGCTAGGAGGAAGCGGTCAGAGAATGGAGATGCTGGAAACTCACAGAGGGAGGAGGGGAGCCATTATTGGTGACGGCAGTGGCTCCCAACATTGGCCAGATGTCCAAATCACCCAGGGTAACCTTTTAAAATCCCAAGGCCTAGGCTACACTGAAGCAATTACATCAGACTCTGTGAGGGAGGACCCAAGTATCAGTATTAATTTTTAAAAATGCCTCAGAGGTCCGGGCGTGGTGGCTGACACCTGTAGTCCCAGCACTTTGGAAGGCCAAGGCGGGCAGATCACTTGAGGTCAGTAGTTCGAGACCAGCCTGGCCAACATGGTGAAACCCCGTCTCTACTAAAAATACAAAAATTAGCCGGCGGGGTGGTGCATGCCTGTAGTCCCAGCTACCTGGGAGGCTGAGACAGGAAAATTGCTTGAACCCAGCAGGCAGAGGTTGCAGTGAGTTGAGATTGTGCCACTGCATTCCAGCCTGGGTGACACAGCGAGACATGGTCTCAAACAAAAAAAAAAAAAGGAAAGAAAATAAATGCCTCAGAGGTCTAATGTGCAGAGAACTGGCCTGGGGTATGATTGGAAGAGAAGGGCTGAGGTCAGGTGTAGCACAAGATAGCTGGCCAAGAGAGCAAGGGACCCAGAGGTCTGGGTGGTCAAAGGATCCTCTGTGTTACTTTCTAAGCGTCTAAGAATTAGGGCAGGAGTGGTAGAGAGCGCCAGTGAGAAGGAGCTGAATTTTTTTTTTTTTTGAGACGGAGTCTCACTCTGTCACCCAGGCTGGAGTGCAACGGCATGATCTCAGCTCACCATAACCTCTGGGTGAGGTTGAACCCACTGGGTTCAAGTGATTCTCCTGCCTCAGCCTCCCGAGCAGCTAGGATTACAGGCATGTGCCACCTCACCCAGCTAATTTTGTATTTTTAGTTAAGACAGTATTTCTCCACGTTGGTCAGGCTGGTCTCGAACTCCCGACCTCAGGTGATCCACCTGCCTCGGCCTCCCAAAGTGCTGGGATTACAGGCGTTGAGCCACCGTGGCCAGCCAGGGGCTGAATTCTTCAAGAAACAAAGAGCAGTCACCAGAGGGACTGATACCGGGCAGGAAGTGACGACACACACACTTCAAAACTGGGGGTTTCTGGCCCGGCGTGGTGGTTCACGCCTATAATCCCAGCACTTTGGGAGGCTGAGGCAGGCAGATCACCTGAGGTCAGGAATTCAAGACCAGCCTGGACAACATGGCAAAACCCCGTCTCTACTAAAAATACAAAAATTAGCCAGCGTGATGGCACATGCCTGTAACCCCAGCCACTTAGGAGGCTGAGGCACGAGAATCAGTTGAACTCGGGAGGCGGCAGTTGCAGTAAGCCAAGATCGCGCCACTGCACTCCAGCCTGGGCAAGACTGAGACTCTGTCTCAAAAATAAAACAAAATAAAATAAAAAATACATATAAAATTTAGTTGGGCATGATGGCGTGTGCCTGTAGTACTAGCTACTCGGGAGACAGGAGAATCACTTGAACCCGGGAAGCAGAGGTTGCAGTGAGCCAAGATCGTGCCACTGTACTACAGCCTAGGCAATGGCGTGAGACTCCATCTCAAAAAAACCAAAAAACAAACAAACAAAAAACAACAAAAAAGACTGAGGGTATCAGAAGAGATAGGAGCCAGGAGGTGATCTAGCCTCCCACTTAGGGGGCTGCAGAAGTGGGGGGCCAGGTTCCAGTTAGAGCAAGAAGGGCAGAGCATGTCAGACAGGTAGAAGAGACGGAGAATTTCTCTTTCTTGAGACAGGGTCTTGCTCTGTTGCCCAGGCTGGAGTGCAGTGGTGTGATCACGGCTCACTCGCAGCCTCAAGCGATCCTCCCACCTTAGCCTCCTGGGTAGCTGGGAGTACAGGCACATGCCACCACACCCAATTAATTTTCAATTTTGTAGAGATGAAGTTTCACTATGTTGCTCAGGCTGGTCTGGAACTCCTGGCCTCAAGCAATCCTCCCACCTTGGCCTCCACAAGTACTGGAATCACGGGGGTGAGTCACTACACCCAGCCACTGGAGGACTTCTGATCAACGGTGTGTACTAGAGGGCTCAGTGGAAAGATGGGAGAAAGGGGAAAGGGTCGGCCTCAGCCTGTGGGCACGGGGATGACCTGTGAGTACCTGCTCCGCGAGAGGATGATAATTCCACAAACACACACATGCAGAGCACTGGGCCCACCGCCAAAGCAGGAAGCCAGTCAGTGTGCACCGTTGTTACTTTTAGCACTCAGCTCCACATGGCCCTGCCATCTCCCCTGCCCCTGGACCCCAGGGAAGTTACCCAGAAGGCCTGGAAATGGCAGGTCTCCAGCAGGTCCCCGAGGTACAAAATCTGTCGGATTGGCCGTTCTTCTTGCTGGGAGGAGGAAGCATTAAGGAAAACTGGCCTCGGAGCGTAAGGTTGGACCCCAGATCACCCCTCCCCACCTACCTTCTTCTGGCTGCTTTCTTCCAAAGCTTCAGCTCAGAAAAACAGCTGGAAAAGGAAGCCAGCTTATTTCTCCTGCAGGTGTATGCAGGAGAAAGGATGTTGGCTGCAGGACTGTTTGTAATGGCAAAAGATGAGAAATGACATGCCAGTCCTGGTGGCTCACGCCTGTAATCCTGGCACTTTGGGAGGCCAAGGCGGGTGGATCACCTGAGGTCAGGAGTTCGACACCAGCCTGGCCAACATAGCGAAACCCCATCTCTACTAAACATACGAAAAGCAGCTGGGTGTGGTGGCACGTGCCTATAGTCCCAGCTACTTGGGAGGCTGAGGCAGGAGAATCACTTGAACCCGGGAGGAGGAGGTTGTAGTGAGCCAAGATCACGCCTTTGCACGCCAGCCTGGATGACAGAGCAAGACTCCATCTCAAAAAAAAAGAAAATATTAACAAAAAAACCCTACTATTATTACTAATAAAATAAAACCTATAGGCTGGGCACGGTGGCTCACATCTGTAATCCTATCACTTTGGGAGGCTGAGGCGGGTGGATCACCTGAGGTCAGGAGTTCGAGAGCAGCCTGGCCAACATAGCAAAACCCCGTCTCTACTAAAAATACAAAAATTAGCTGGGCGTGGTAGCATGCATGCACCTGTGGTCCCAGCTGCTCAGGAGGCTGAGACAGAATAGCTTGAACCTGGGAGGTGGAAGTTGCAGGAAGCCGAGATCACGCCACTGCACTCCAGACTGGGTGACAGAGCAAGGCTCCGTCTCAAAAAAAAAATAAAATAAATAAAATAAAACAACAACAAAAAAAAACCCACCTTAAATCATTCCTATGTCAGGCTTCCTCTACCATTCCTGAAAGACAGCACCGAGCTCTGCTTCCTTTAGCCCATGAGTGTCCTCTCTGCCTGGATCACCTTTGCCTACCCCTCCACCTAACTCGTTATGTTTTAGATGTTCCCTCCTCCAGGAGGCCCTGGTTTATAGTTTCTAGTTAAAAATACAGAAGAGTGAACAGTGGCAAAATAGGTCTTCCCTTCCCTGTCTCACAGCCATCCTTCCTGGGAGGTAACAGTCATTTCCAATTCTTGGGTACCTTTCCACCTTTCCAGACATTGTTCTATAGAATGTAAATACAGATGGCTGTGTTCATGTCCACATATTCCCCCACCCAAATGGTCAGGTGCCTACTCTGGCTCTTCTTTTTTTTTTTGAGACAGAGTCTCACTGTGTCACCCAGGGTGGAGTGCAGTGGCGCAATCTCGGCTCACTGCAACCTCCATCTCCCAGCTTCAAGTGATCCTCCTGCCTCAGCCTCCTGAGTAACTGGGACTATAGGTGTGTGCCACTGTGCCTGGCTAATTTTTTGTATTTTAATAGAGATGGGGTTTCGCCATGTTGGCCAGGCTGGTCTCGAACTCCTGACCTCAGGTGATCCACCCACCTTGACCTCTCAAAGTGCCGGGATTAGAGGCCTGAGTCATTGTGCCCGGCTGCTGTGACTCTTGTAACCCAACCCTGACCACTCCAGTCTATCACTGACTCTTCACTGGACTGCGACAACTTTGTGAAGACAGGGCCCAGGACTGTCTCAGTCACCAGTGTCCCAGCACTGTCCAGCACCTTGCCACGCTGGACCAGAGCAGGCACTTGTTGTTTGTGGATACACCCACAGACCATCTCCCTGGGAATTCATGCACCTTGACTCTGACCCCTTCCCACACACCCCCCGGCCCCAGTGCTGGAAGGATACATGTGCCTGGTCGATCATGCACTTGCACAGGGTGAAGTCTGTGTGCGGCAAGTTGGTGAGGGCCTTCAGCAGGATCTGGGCGGTGACCGTGGTCTGAAAGAAGGCTGGGTTGAACTGGTACCTAAGAAAAAGAACAAGAGACGTGGCCACAGTGGCACCTCCAAGTCCCCAATCCTCACCAGGTGCCAGGCAGCTGCTTTATTCTGGAGTTTGGGAATTGGACATGCCTGGGTTCCAATCCCAGTCCCAGTGCTTCCCAGCTGTGTAACCTTCACCTCCCTGAGCCTACCTTTCTCCTCTGTGAACAGGGACAGTTAATGCTCACAACTACCCAATGGGGCAGACACTGCTAAGTGATTTATAAACAAATGAGAACAGCAGCAGTGGTCTGGAGTAGTGGCTAAGGAACCAGAGCCAGACTGCCTCGGTTTAAACTTCCCTGCTGAGTGACCTTGGACTGCTTATTTATGACACGAGGAGCAGAGAAGAGAGAGATTAAGAGGCACTGAAAGGCTGAGGAGCAGAGAAAGGAAACTGAGGGGCTGACGGTTTCCTCCCTTGCAAAAGAGGACAACAGAAGGTGGCGGTGGGGGTGGGTAGGTGGGTGGCTCAAGCCTGTAATCCCAGCACTTTGGGAGGCCGAGATGGGCGGATCACCTGAGATCAGGAGTTCGAGACCAGCCTGGCCAACATGACAAAGCCCCGTCTCTACTAAAAATACAAAAATTAGGCTGGGTGCAGTGGCTCACGCCTGTAATCCCAGCACTTTGGGAGGCCAAGGCGGGTGGATCACCTGAGGTCAGGAGTTCGAGACCAGCCTGGCTAACATGGCAAAACCCTGTCTCTACTAAAAATACAAAAATTAGCTGGGTATGGTGGTGCGTACCTGTTGCGGGAAGTCAGGGACCCCAAACGGAGGGACCGGCTGAAGCCATGACAGAAGAACGTGGATTGTGAAGATTTTATGGACATTTATTAGTTCCCCAAATTAATACTTTTGTAATTTCTTATGCCTGTCTTTACTGCAATCTCTAAACATAAATTGTAAAGATTTCATGGACACTTATCACTTCCCCAATCAATACCCTTGTGATTTCCTATGCCTGTCTTTACTTTAATCTCTTAATCCTGTCAGTTGAGGAGGATGTATATCGTTCCAGGACCCTGTAATAATTGCGTTAACTACAAAAATTGCACAACATGTGTGTTTGAGCAATATGAAATGTGGGCACCCTGGAAAAAGAACAGGATAACAGCAATTGTTCCGGGAATGAGAGAGAGAACCTTAAACTCTGACTGCCGGTGAGCCGGGCAGAACAGAGCCATATTTCTCTTCTTTCAAAAGCAAATGGGAGAAATATCGCTGAATTCTTTTTCTCAGCATGGAACGTCCCTGAGAAAGAGAATGCGCACCTAGGGGTAGGTCTCTGAACGGGCCCCCCGGGGCGTACCTGTCTCTTATAGTCGAGATTGCAGAGGTGAAATAAACTCGTCTCCCATAGCGTTCCCAGGCTTATTAGGAAGAGGAAATTCCCGCCTAATAAATTTTGGTCAGACCGGTTGATCTCAAAACCCTGTCTCCTGATAAGATGTTATCAATGACAGTGGTGCCCAAAACTTCATTAGCAATTTTAATTTCGCTTTGATCCTGTGGTCCTGTGATCTCGCCCTGCCTCCACTTGCCTTGTGATATTCTATTACCCTGTTAAGTACTTGATGTCTGTCGCCCACACCTATTCGCACACTCCCTCCCCTTTTGAAAATCCCTAATAAAAACTTGCTGGTTTTTGTGGCTTGTGAGGCATCACGGATCCTACCAATGTGTGATGTCTCCCCCGGACGCCCAGCTTTAAAATTTCTCTCTTTTGTACTCTGTCCTTCTATTTCTCAAGCCAGCCAATGCTTAGGAATATAGAAAAGAACCTACGTGATTATCGGGGCAGGCCCCCCGATACGTACAGCTACTTAGGAGGCCGAGGCAGGAGGATTACATGAACCTGGGAGGCAAAGGATGCACTGAGTTGAGATCATGAGATCACGCCAAGGCACTCTAGCCTGGGCAAGAAGGTGAGACCCTGTCTCAAAAAAAAAAAAAAAAGGAAAGAAAGAAAGCACCCAAGTAAAATTAGCTGGGCATGGTGGTGCATGCCTGTAGTCCCAGCTATTCAGGAGGCTGAGGCGGGAGAATCACTTGAGTCCAGAAGGCTAAGGATGCAGTGAGCCATGACTGTGCCACTGTACTCCAGCCTGGGCAACAGAAGATCCTGTCTCCAAAAAAAAAAAAAAAAAAAAAAGGGCACGAAGAACCCACAATGTCCATCAAGAGCCAGAAGAGATCATTAGGACAGCCACACAAGTGACACAGTGGAGAGCTATACATCCATGACAACAAACTGCAGCCATATCAAAAACAAAACAAAAAAACAAAAAACACTGGATGGATCTCACAAACCCAGTGCTGAGTAGCAAATGGCAAATGCAGAAGAGTTTGTGCTGTATGCACTCCATCTGTATCAAGTTCAAAGCAGGGAAACCTGAGCTGAGCTGAGCCAGATGTATGCATGCATAGTAAACCATCACATAAAGCCAGGCCATGAGAGCATGGGGGAGCAGGGGAATTGGTTGGCATAGAGCATAGGGGGCAAAGAGCCTGTGGTGCTAGCAATAACTTTGCAACATAAATGGTGATTATGTAGGCTTTCATTTATAATGATTTGTTAAACTACATGTTTGCTTAATGTATTAGCCTGTACATGTGTTCTGTAATTAACCTTTATTTATTTTTGAGACAGGGTCTCACTCTGTCGCCCAAGCTGGAGTGCAGTGGTATGATCTTGGCTCACTGCAACCTCTGCCTCCCAGGCTCAAAAAATTCTCCTGCCTCAGCCTCCCAAGGAGCTGGGACTACAGCCATGCGCCACTGGGCCCAGCTAATTTTTGTAGAGACAGGGTTGTGCCATGTCACCCAAATTGGTAATTCTTTTTTTTTTTTTTTTTTTTAAAAAGAGGGGTCTCACTCTGTCCCCCAGGCTGGAGTGCAGTGGCACTATCATGGCTCACTGCACCTTAATCTTCCAGGCTTAAGCGATCCTTCCACCTCAGCCTCTCAAGTAGCTGGAACTACAGCCACACACCGCTACATTAATTTTTAAATTTTTTCGTAGGGTTGGGTCTCGCTATGTTGCCATGGATGGTCTCGAACTCTTTGGCTCAAGTGAGTCTCTCGCCTCAGCCTCCCAAAGTGCTGGGATTACAGGCATGAGCCCCTGCGGCCACCCTAATTGATTTTTTATTATTATTTTTGAGACGGAGTTTCGGTCTTGTTGCCCAGGCTGGAGTGCAATGGCGCGATCTTGGTTCACCACAATCTCCGCCTCCTGGGTTCAAGCAATTCTCCTGCCTCAGCCTCCCGAGTAGCTGGGATTACAGGCATGTGGCACCACGCCTGGCTAATTTGGTATTTTTTAGTAAAGATGGGGTTTCTCCGTGTTGGCCAGGCTGGTCTCAAACTCCCTACCTCAGGTGATCCGCCTGCCTCATCCTCCCAAAGTGCTGGGATAACAGGCGTGAGTCACCGCGCCCGGCAATTGATTTTTCAAAAACCATCCCTCCTCCTGTCCCAACTTCCTTGGCTTCCTAGTCTTGCACACCAAGAGATGCTGCATTGTTCAGGATACTACCAGCCACCCCCTTGCCCTGTACTGGGAGTGGCACCCTGCTAGTTGCTGCAATGGGAGTGTAGACAGAGAGCTAGACACTTACAGCTTCAGGACAGCCAGGTTGGCTTCCAGATCATAGGCATTTTCCTTGGCCTGCGTCTCTACATAGCGCTCCAGGGTGGCCAGGTTCTCAGGATTGTACCTAAAGGAGAATCAAGATAGGTGAGCACAGAGGAGACAGAAGCTGAGGCCAGCCACCTTATGGAGCAAGGGGCCACTGTAACCTGCTCCTCCCGCCCTTCCCCTCTAAATCTGGCACTGGCCACTTGCTCTATCCAGGTAGTGAATTATGTCCAGTATAATCTCTAGTAAAACTTATTCTTATCCCAGACCTCTCGCCTAAGCTCTAAACTCCACTGGAGCCCTGGCTCTTCCCTAGGATGCCTCCTCAACCTCTGAGCCAGTCAGTCACTGCAGCTTGTACACCTGGCCTCCTGAATGTCTCTGCTACTCACCCCTTCCTCCCCTGTTCAGGCCTCCACCCTGATCCAGCCCCATCCTCTCCTGCCTACCTCGCTGCCTACTTCCTCCATGTCCACCTGAACACTCTGGCCTTTGCTTCCCCCATTTCAGTTCTAATCTCTCCCGGCTATCGCTGTCTGCTGTCAGGTTTGTCTCCCTTATGGAAAGGGAACTCAGACCGTGAAGGCATGATCTGCCGCTGTCTGATTCGCCTGTGGTTCCCAGCATTGCCTAGCACTGACAGTTTATTTCAGTAAACGTGTGGAGAATGAATGACTTATAGAGCAGAGAAGGGAGAGATTAAGAGGCACTCAAAGGAGGCGGAGCAGAGAAGGAAACCTTAAGGCAATTTACGAAGAGACTGAGTGGTACCAAGATTCTCTCGCTTCTAGGCCTTTGCAGTGCTTTTGTTTCTTTCTTTTAGAGACGGGGTTTGGCTGTTGCCCAGGCTGGTCTCTAACTCCTGGGCTCAGGCGACCCACCTACCTCGGCCTCCCAAAGTGCTAGGATCACAGGCGTGAGCCACTACCCCCAGCTCAGTGCCGTTTCTTTAAGCATCTCCTCCTCCAGGAGGATAGAGAAACCCCACCCCGCGGCAAGCCCAGGACCCTGAACACCCCTTGCTGTCTCCGGAAAACCCTCTCCTCCGCCCCGCTTGGCCAGAGCGCTTCCTCCAACCGGGCTCAGACCTGTCGATACCCTTGAGCAACTTGCCCACGTTGGCTCTCATCTGCTCAAACATCGCCATGACTTCTGTCGCCTTCCACAACCAGGGCTGGAGGCTAACACTGACCCGGCACGGCGTCCTCAAGGACGGGAACAGGAAGAGGTGGTGGAAACGGAAACGACGTCGTTGTTGTCGCTCCAGCTCCTTGGGTGCGGTAAAGGGAAAGGCTCTAGCAGCAGCCGCCACGCTTTCCGGCTGCCACGTGACTTCTTCCTCGCAGGCGCAATTGGCGCGTGCGCATTCGCGCCACTCAAGCTGGACAGACAGCGTGAGAAAAATCTTACTGGATCCCAGTGCGCAGGCGCCTCTCGTGGCGAGGGGGCGGGGCTAAGCTTTTCCCGGGCCTCACAGACCCAGTTCCAGTGCCGGTAGCGCGGGAGCGTGCGCGCGCGAACTCACCGGGAAGCACCCGGAGCTCTGGCGGCGTGCGCGCGCGTTGTATTGCGCGCGGCCATGAGGCCACGGAGCTCTGCGGGAATGCACGCAGCAGCCTTACGTTTAGGCCATGGCCAAGTTCCGAGGGAGGTGTTCTGAGGTCCCTCTTGCCACAGGCCTGGGCGCCTGGTGCAGGATCCTGAGCTCTCCAGTTTCAAGTCTCAGCCCTTGGTCCCCAGCTCCAGGAGGAGGGTCCCACAAAGCTACTGTGCTCTGCCGGGCAGGGGCTGGGGTGAGGGCTCCTGGACTTCGCCGGATCGCGCCCCGTCTCCATTAGGTTCCGGTCTTGGAGCTGAGGGCGAGCGTCCCATTTGTACTGCCATGAATTATATATTATGTATAGGTTTTGTACACTGCAGGCCTACAAAATGCAGTTATGTGCCATGCATGTGGAGGTATATGTCCTGGGTACATCCACGTGTGTACTGTGCACACAGGTATCCAGGCAGATGCACGTCTACACGCCTGCGCAGTGCAGAGGAGGTAACCCAAGTGCATGTATGTGACAGGTGAACAGGCATGTACACTGCATAGCCATCCCTTTGCAGACCTGCCGCCTTCGGGTTGTGGCCAAACCTTCAAGCACCCAGCAGAGGTTTAGACACTACCTAGGAGACGGGGGCGGGGGTTCTAAGGCACCCCCCTCCAACCCAGTTACGATTAAGATCATTTGCATCACATTTACATCCAGCCCTGGGCCTTGGAGGTTGAGGGTGGTCCCTTGGGTCCCAAGACAAGCTGCCCCTCAGAGGCTCTCAGAGCCCAGGGGACGGGGGGGTGGAGCCCGTTGCACAGTCGTGCAGTGCAGCTGGGGCAGGAAGCGAGAGTGAGGAGGGGGGAGGCCACAGCCCGCGGAGGCAAGGCGGGTGCAGGGCTTCTGGGGACGGAGGGAGGTGCCAGAAGTTGAGCCCTGAGGCCCTGCTGGCCCCTGGGCGCAGGCCCAGCTCAGGCCCCCAGGGATGGACGTCGTGGACCCTGACATTTTCAATAGAGACCCCCGGGACCACTATGACCTGCTACAGCGGCTGGGTGGCGGCACGTATGGGGAAGTCTTTAAGGTGAGGAAGCCCCTCTGTCCCCAACACCCTACAACCAGTGACCTTTAAGGCAAGCCCTCGGCAGGGAGGAGGCTGCAAGAGGGGGTCCCAGTTCTTGACCTTGACTCAGGGATGCTGTGGAGGGACTCTGGCAAATGGAGCCTGCCTGACTGCCAACTTCCCCTTTGCAAGGCTCGAGACAAGGTGTCAGGGGACCTGGTGGCACTGAAGATGGTGAAGATGGAGCCTGGTGAGGAGGGAACATGGAGCTCCTTCCCCACATCCCCACCTTCGCCTCCTGGGACACTGGGATCACCTCCCCTGTAGCTCTCTCCCCATGCGAGCTGCCTTTTCTCTCCCGCCCTCCTCACAGATGATGATGTCTCCACCCTTCAGAAGGAAATCCTCATATTGAAAACTTGCCGGCACGCCAACATCGTGGCCTACCATGGGAGTTATCTCTGGTGATGAACCTCAGACCCACCCTGGCACCCAGCCCAGCCCCTAACCCGGAGTCCCCATTTCTTGATGGGGGTACCCTCAGTTCTTTTTTTTTCTTTTCTTTTTCTTTTTTGAGATGGAGTCTTGTTCTGTTGCCAGGCTGGAGTGCAGTGGCATGATCTCAGCTCACTGCAACCTCTGCCTCCTGGGTTCAAGCAATTCTCTGCCTCAGACTCCCGAGTAGCTGGGATTACAGGCGCTCACCACCCTGCCCGGCAAATTTTTGTATTTTTAGTAGAGATGGGGTTTCACCATCTTGGCCAGGCTGGTCTTGAACTCCTGACCTTGTGATCCACTCGCCTCGGCCTCCGAAAGTGCTGGGATTACAGGTGTGATCCACCGCGCCTGGTCTTGGCACCCTCAGTTCTAACCTTGAACTTCCATTTCTCACCATAACCCGACCTCCCATCCTGGACCCCCATTTTTGACTGGGCTAACCCTACCATGATCCTCACTCCTAAGTCCCACTTTTCTGACCAGAGCAGCCTCTAATCTAATCTCCAATCTAAAATTCCCATTTCTGACCAAGAGTACCCCAAATTGATCTCTTCATAGTAACTGAATTTGAAATCAACTCCCTTGAAACGAAGCTCTCACCATTCTGCTCTTTGGCTCACCCAGTTTCACTCTCTGCTCCTTTAATATAAACTCCTAAATTCCCTGATCCCCAAATTAATATTCCAGATGCCCCAATAATGACCTCTGCTCCCCAGAACAGGTGCCCTGGGCCCCTCTGTCCCCTCCAAATCTCCACAACCCGTGAGATCTCTGCCCTGCCTCCTAGGTTGGCGTGGGACGGCAGTGGGGTCCCGCCCAAAGGCCTAGGTTTGAGTTGACTTGCCCCGGAACTCACATTTCCTCTCTGAGCCTTAACTTCCTTGTCTGTAAAATGGGAATGAAACAACCTCACTCTGGTAGACAAGGAGAGGTGGAGTGATGAGAGCTGTTACGTTAAAGTTCTTATTGAACTAGAACAAGACAGAAGCAAACCAGGGGCTTTCCTGCAAATAATAATGTATTTACTGCTATTATTATTCTTACTCTTGAACCACTGCAGGTTGCAGAAACTCTGGATCTGCATGGAATTCTGTGGGGCTGGTTCTCTCCAGGACATCTACCAAGGTTAGAGAAAGGACAACGGGACCCAAGCACCCCTCCCTATCCCCACCCCCCAACCCCGACCCAAATTCACCTCTTCCGTCTCTGTGTGTGTATCTCACAGGAACTGTCTTTCTGGGCCATATTTCAAACTCCTGGGCTGAGCTGATCCTCTTGCCTTCAGCTGTCGAAGTGCTGAAACTACGGGCTTGAGCCACTGTGCCTGGCTTTTTTTTTTTTTTTTTTTAATATAACTGCTGGGCCTGGTGTGGTGGCTCACGCCTGTAATCCCAGCACTTTGGGAAGCCGAGGTGGGCGGATCACCTGAGGTCAGGAGTTCAAGACCAGCTTGGCCAACATGGTGAAACCCCGCCTCTACTAAAAATACAAAAAATTAGCCGGGCGTGGTGGCAGACGCCTGTAATCCCAGCTACTCGGGAGGCTGAGGCAGGAGAATCGTTTGATTCTGGGAGGCGGAAAACCTCTGATTCCTTCCAGCCCTAGACCTCAAATGTTAGAAAAGGAAGGACGTCATTGAGAAGTCCTCAGGAGGGAAACTGAGGCCCAAAGAGAGGAAGTGAATCCCACAGCTGGTCTGTCAGACCTGATGTCTGACGGCCTCTCTCTGTCTGTCTGTCTCTCTGTCTCTCTGCCTGTGTGTTGTTCTTACCTCGTTACCCTCTGGGTCTCTCTCTAAATCTGTCTGTCTCCCCATATTTTGGCCTCTGACCTCTGTCTTTGTCTTCTGTCTCATTTTTTTGTTTTTTTCAATCCTGTTCCTTTTGTATGTCTCATGTATGATCTGTCTCCGTTTCTCTGTCTCTCTCTGTCTCTGTGCCTTTCCTTATTTTGCAAAGTCACATGACGCCCCTGCTCAGAGCCCTCCTACAGCTTCCATTTCTCTCGGAGGAGAAGCCCAGACTCCTCATCAGGGTCCACCCCATGCTGGCCAATCTCACCTCCTCCCACTTTCCTCCTCCCCCTCCACTCCACCCCACCCCCTTTGCTGCTTTCCAGACCCACCAGGGACTATCCCACCTGGGGCCCTGCACTTGCTGTGGCTGGTCCCACTCAGAGTGGGAGCCCTCATGTCTTCACCCACTGTCACCTTCAGAGAGCAGCCCTGACTGACCACCTCTGTGAAATGTCATAGCTCCTCCTACGCGCACCTTTCTTGCTTTATGTTTCTTCTTGCTGTCTATCAGCGTCTGAGGAACTATATCATATTCTACTTATTTATCTTGCTTACTTTCTTTCTTTCCTTCTTTCCTTTTTTTTTTTTTTTTTTTTTTTTTTTGAGACAGAGCCTCCTTCTATTGCCCAGGCTGGAGTGCAGTGGTACGATCTCGGCTCATTGCAACCTCCACCTCCTGGGTTCAAACGATTCTCCTGCCTCAGCCTCCTGAGTACTTGGGATTACAGGCATGCACCACTATGCCTGGCTAATTTTTGTATTTTTTAGTAGAGATGGGGTTTCACCATGTTGGCCAGGCTGGTCTCGGACTCCTGACCTCAAGTGATCCACCCACCTTGGCCTCCCAAAGTGCTGGGATTATAGGCATGAGCCACTGCGCCAGGCCTATTGGCCTCTTTTATTTGCATTGCTGCCTCTTTCTGTCACTGACCACCCCACCATCTCCCCCTCCCACTGGTCCTATCCTATTTCCCCTCTCCCTATGGCACCCTCTTAGCTGGTGTGGGGGGGCAGGACTCCCCAGCCCAGGTTCCCTGGCTCCCATCCAATGCCTGGCCTGGCCGGGGTGACCTTTGCAGTGACAGGCTCCCTGTCAGAGCTCCAGATTAGCTATGTCTGCCGGGAAGTGCTCCAGGTAAGGAGAGGCCTGGGGATTCTGGGGATGGGAGGGGAGGGTGGCCCCACTCCAGCCCCCAAACACTCACTGTCCCCTTGTCCACCCTTCTCCCCAGGGACTGGCCTATTTGCACTCACAGAAGAAGATACACAGGGACATCAAGGTGGTCTGGGGGTGTAGGGGTGCTGTTGGGGGGTGGGGCCCAGGAGATGGGAGTGGCATTTCAGGGGCTCAGGGATCAGGGTAGTTTGAGCTGGCGGAGTGGGCTAGCACTGGGCTGGGGAGAGTCTCTGCAGCCTCCCATATCCCCTCTCATTCCCAGGGAGCTAACATCCTCATCAATGATGCTGGGGAGGTCAGATTGGGTGAGTAAGGCTGGGGGTTGAGCAGGGGGGCTGACTGGGGGGCCGGAAGCGCAGTGGACCCCAGATCACTATGTCTCCCTCTGCTTCCAGCTGACTTTGGCATCTCGGCCCAGATTGGGGCTACACTGGCCAGACGCCTCTCTTTCATTGGGACACCCTACTGGTGAGTGGCGCCCAGCGGGCAGCTAGGGGTGGAGTGGGGGTCAGTGGTTTTTCCTACCCTGGTTCCCCGGGATCCTCTTTCCTGGCTCCGTTCCCCTGCCTCGTCCTTTCTCCTTGGAAGATTCTTTCATTCTCTCTGGGTGTCGCTTGAGTTTTCCATTTTCCTCTCTCTTTGTGCCCTTTTCTGGCCATTGCTCTCGGTGTTTGTGTTGATTTTTATCTTGATTTCTCTGTCCCTCCATATCCATTTCTGTCTTTTTCCTCTAGCTCAGTTTGCAGTGCTCTCTGTCTCTTTGTTTCTGTCTCTCTCACTCTCTGTCTCTGCCTCTCTGTCTTTTCATTTTGTTTTGTTTTTAGAGACAGGGTCTCACTCTGTGGCCCAGGCTGGATTGCAGTGGCATAGTCACGGCTCACTGCAGCCTAGAACTCCTGGGCTCAGGAGATCCTCCCACCTCAGCCTCCCAAGTAGCTGGGACCACAGGTGTGCACCATGACACCTGGCTAATTTTTAAAATTTGTGTAGAGATGGTGTTGTTTTTTTTTTTTTTTCTTTTTCGTTCTTTTTTTTTTTCTTGAGACGGAGTTTTGCTCTGTTGCCCAGGCTGGAGTGCAGTGGCATGGTCTCAGCTCACTGCAACCTTCACCTCCCAGGTTCAAGCAATTCTCCTGCCTCAGCCACCAAGTAGCTGGGATTACAGACGCCTGCCACCACGCCCGGCTAATTTTTGTACTTTTAGTAGAGACGGGCTTTCACCATGTTGGTCAGGCTGGTCTCGAACTCCTCACCTCAGGTGATCTGTCCGCCTTGACCTCCCAAAGTGCTGGAATTACAGGCAAAAGCCACCGTGCCCAGCCGAGATAGGGTCTTGATAAGTTGCCCAGGCTGGTCTCAAACTCCTGGGCCTAAGCCATTCTCCTTGCTCAGCCTCCCAAAGTGCTGGGATTACAGGCGTGAGCCATCGCGCCCCGTCTGCATCTCTGTCTTCATCTGCCTGTGTCTGTCTTTACTCCTGTCCCTCTGTCTCTCCATCTGACTCTCTGTGTGCTGCGTCTCCCCTCAACTCCTTCTCCTTCTCTGCCCCTCCTTCCCTTCCTGTCCCCATGCCACCTCTGGCTCTCTGAGCGTGTCTGCCCCCAGGATGGCTCCGGAAGTGGCAGCTGTGGCCCTGAAGGGAGGATACAATGAGCTGTGTGACATCTGGTCCCTGGGCATCACGGCCATCGAACTGGCCGAGCTACAGCCACCGCTCTTTGATGTGCACCCTCTCAGGTAGGCAGGCGTGGGGTCCCCAGGCCCAGAGATCCTGTCTAGCCCTGGCCCAAAGCCCACCCTCAGCTTCCGCCTTCCATCCCAGGAACCTCCAATTCAGGGATCACCACTTGAGCCTACCTTTGCACGTGCTGCAGCTCTATTTTTTAAATTTAATTTAATATTTTATTTTATTTTATTTTTTATTTTTTAAGACAGAGTCTTGCTCTGTTGCCCAGGCTGGAGTGCAGTGGCACAATCTTGGCTCACTGCAACCTCCATCTCCTGGGTTCAAGCTATTTTCCTGCCTCAGCCTCCCGAGTAGCTGAGGCTGCAGGTGTGCACCACCACGCCCGGCTAATTTTTGTATTTTTAGTAGAGACGGGGTTTCAACATGTTGGCCAGGGTAGTCTCGAACTCCTGACCTCAGGTTATCTGCCCATCTTGGCTTCCGGAGGTGCTGGGATTACAGGCGTGAACCACTGCACCCAGCCTATTTATTTATTTTTATTTTTATTTATTTATTTATTTTTGAGATGGAGTCCCACTCTTGTTGCCCAGGCTGGAGTGCAGTGGCAAGATCTCAGCTCACTGCAACCTCTGCCTCCAGGGTTCAAGTGATTCTACCACCTCAACCTCCCAAGTGTGGGATTACAGGTGCACGCCACCATGCCTGGCTAATTTTTGTATGTTTTGGTAGAGACGGGGTTTCACTATGTTGACCAGGCTGGTCTTGAACTCCTGACCTCAAGTGATCCACTTGCCTTGGCCTCCCAAAATGCTGGGATTAAAGGTGTGAGCCACCACGCCCAGACATTTTTTAAATTAATTAATTAATTCTTATTATTTTTAGAGACAGGATCTGGCTCTGTCACCCAGGCTGGAGTGCAGCGGCACGATCGTAGTTCACTTCAGCCTTGAATGCCGGGGCTCAAATGATCCTCCTGCCTTAGCCTCTCACATAGCTGGTCCTACAGACCCATATTGCCACACCCAGCTATTTAAAAAAAAAATTTTTTTTTTGTCTCACTATGTTGCCCCAGCTGGTCTCCAACTCCTGGGCTCAAGCTATCCTCCCGCCTTGGCCTCCCAAAGTGTTGGGATTACGGGCGTGAACCACCACACCTGGCCTTGCCATAGCTCTATCACTTCATAAATGGCTTCCCTTAGGAGAGGCACCCTGGTGCACTGTAAAACCTGAACCTCACTTCCATGCTGTTTCTCACTTTGCCCTCTGCTGACCACAATGCTACTAGGAACCCCTCAAGCCATGAGGTCTGGCCCCCTTGAGGGTCTGAACCCCATGTCCTTTCCCTACTATTCTAGAGTTCTCTTCCTCATGACCAAGAGTGGCTACCAGCCTCCCCGACTGAAGGAAAAAGGCAAATGGTACGAGAGAGTAACAGGAGGGAGGGTGAGAGAGGGCAGGGCTGGGGCTGGGTGGCCTGATGGGAGGGTTTCTGGTCCCCTCATCCAGAACCTGGCTTCTTCTTCCCAAGGTCGGCTGCCTTCCACAACTTCATCAAAGTCACTCTGACTAAGAGTCCCAAGAAACGACCCAGCGCCACCAAGATGCTCAGTGTAACCCTCCCTTCCCCAAGATCCTCAGCCTAGGATTCCCTGGGGCCTTCCACAACTCCCGAGGACATGGATAACTTTGTTCCATGGAGTCCCCGTGGCCTTTCCAAAGTCCCTAGTGCCTCAGAATTTCCCAGGACCACCCCCGACCACCAGAGACCCTCCGGGTTATACCCCAGACCTTTCCCAAATACCCCGAGTTGCCGGAACTGACAAATTCCCAAAGGACTCAAGACTTGTCCTGAGTGTCCTCTTGAATCCCCAGGGAACCACAGTCTCTTCCAAGACAACTCTGGAATTCTCCTAGCCCCGCTCTGAGAAACCTAAATTCTTCTAATTCCTAAAAATGTCTTAGACTCCCACCGGTCGGCTGGGCATGGTGGCTCACACCTGTAATCCCAGCACTTTGGGAGGCTGAGGTAGATGGATCACTTGAGGTCAGGAGTTTGAGACCAGCCTGGCCAACATGGTGAAACCCCGTCTCTACTAAAAATACAAAAATTAGCTGAGCATAGTGGCGCACGCCTGTAATCCCAGCTACTTGGGAGGCTGAGGTTGGAGAATTGCTTAAACCCAGGAGGCGGAGGCTATAGTGAGCCAGGATCGTGCCACTGCACTCCAGTCTGAGTGACAGGGCGAGACCCTGTCTCAAAAAAAAAAAAAAAAAAAAAAAAAAAAAAATTAGCTGGGCGTGGTGGCACGAGCCTGTAATCACAGCCACTCGGGAGGCTGAGGCACGAGAATCAATTAAGCCCAGGAGGTGGAGGTTGCAGTGAGCCTGGATTGTGCCACTGCACTCCAGCCTGGGTGACAGAGTGAGACTCTGTCTTAAAACAAACAAACAAAAAAGAATACCCCAGGCCTCTGAGTTCCCTGGATTTCCCCGCCCTCTGCCTTCACTGGCACCTTCTCCCCAGCTAGATTCCTTTAGTCCAGTCCCCAAGGCCCTGTACCAGTCCTCTCTGTCCACACCAGCCCTCTCTGTCCACACCATCCCTCTGGATACGGACACCTCTTCCCTCCGCCAGCATCAACTGGTATCCCAGCCTGGGCTGAATCGAGGCCTGATCCTGGATCTTCTTGACAAACTGAAGAATCCCGGGAAAGGACCCTCCATTGGGGACATTGAGGATGAGGAGCCCGAGGTGAGAGCCTTGGCTGACAAGAGCACTGGGGACCTCTCGGTCTTTCTCAGGCTGTGCCTGCTGCCAGCAGTGCCTTCCTGCTGCCTCTCTTAGGGGGAAAACAGGGAGGGAGGATGGGGAGCTTGGTAAAAGGCTGTGTGCCCAGAGGGTTACAGGAGAGAGCAGATGGACCCCGGGCAGGGTAGGAGGCTGCTTGGGGGTCTTGAGCCCTGACGTGGCTGCCCCTCTGCCCAGCTACCCCCTGCTATCCCTCGGCGGATCAGATCCACCCACCGCTCCAGCTCTCTGGGGATCCCAGATGCAGACTGCTGTCGTGAGTAGAGAATCCTTATGTTTGGGGACACCTGACCCTATAATAGACCTAAGAGACCACCTTCCCCTACCATCAGGCCTCCAGAGACCCTCAGCATCATCTGATCCTATAAGAGACCCCAGACAATCTCATCAGCACCTGAACTACAAAATGACCGTAGAGGCCAGGCGTGGTGACTCATGCCTGTAATCCCAGCACTTTGGGAGGCCAAGGTGGGCAGATCATCTGAGGTCAGGATGTCAAGACGAGCCTGGGTAACATGGTGAAACCCTGTCTCTGCTAAAAATACAAAAATTAGCCGGGTGTGGTAGTGCACGCCTGTAGTCCAAGCTACTTGGGAGGCTGAGGTAGGAGGATTGCCTGAACCTGGGAGGTGGAGGTTGCAGTGAACCAAGATTGCGCCACTGCACTCCAGTCCAGGTGACAAGAGCGAGACCGTCTCAAGGACAAAACAAAACAAAACAAAAACAAAAGCAAAATGACCATAGAGTTCCCAGGGAGACCTCAGAAATCTCATCAGAACCTCAATACCCAAACGGATCCTGAAAACACCCTGTAACTACATTGAGCCCCCAACTTCCTGATCCCAAAACTTATTTATTTGTTTATTTTTTTGTGACAGGATCTTGCTGTGTCACCCAGGCTGGAGTGCAGTGGTGTGATCACAGCTCACTTAAGCCTCAAACTTCTTGGGCTCAAGGAATCCTCCCACCTCAGCCTCCTGAGTAGCTGGGACTACAGGCTTATTCACCACGCGTGGCTAATGTTTTTTTTTTTTTTTTTTTTTTTTTTTTTTGAGACGGAGTTTCACTCTGTCGCCCAGGCTGGAGTGCGATGGTGCGATCTTGGCTCACCAAAACCTCTGCCTCCTGGGTTCAAGCGATTCTCCTGCCTCAGCCTCCAGAGTAATTGGGATTACAGGCGCATACTACCATGCCCGGCTAATTTTTGTATTTTTTTTTAGTAGAGACGGGGCTTCACCATGTTGACCAGGCTGATCATGAACTCCTGACCTCAGGTGATCTGCCTGCCTCACCTCCCAAAGTGCTGGGATTACAGGCGTGAGCCACTGTGCCCAGTCACTTGGCTAATTTTTAATCATTTTTTGTAGGGATGGGTTCTTGCCCAGTTGTCCAGGCAGGTCTCAAACTCTGGGTTCCAGCGATCTGCCCACCTCAGCCTTCCAAAGTACTGGGATTATAGGCGTGAGCCACTGCACCTGGTCTTGATCCCAAACTTGACCCCCAAATGAAGTCCCTGTAATCCAAGACCCCTTTCCCCAAGGGACAGTTCCCTGAGATCATTTGCAGTCCCCAAGATCCTGACTGCAACCCCCCCGCCAATTCTACTCTTTCTGTTCTTAAACCCATCTCGTTACCCCTTGCCCCCAGCTCACAGCAGGTTATCTTCCCCCACCCACCCTAGGGCGGCACATGGAGTTCAGGAAGCTCCGAGGAATGGAGACCAGACCCCCAGCCAACACCGTGAGATGCTGTCCCCCCACTCCCCACCACACCGCCTGCTTCCCTGAGGCCACTGCTGACCCTTTTCCTACCCCACAGGCTCGCCTACAGCCTCCTCGAGACCTCAGGAGCAGCAGCCCCAGGTCAGGGACCCCAGGGAGGATGGGGAGGGGGCTGGAATGTGGACAAGGCCCCCAAGGCTCATACCTGTCACCCTTCAGGAAGCAACTGTCAGAGTCGTCTGACGATGACTATGACGACGTGGACATGTAAGTGAGGCCCTGCCTGCAGCTCCACAGGCCCCACCTCAGCCCCCACCTTCCTACAATCCCCTGATGTGGCCTTTCCTCCACTCCTGACCCCGCTGCACCCCTGCCTTTCTTCTAGCCCCGAGCCCTGAGCCCTGATTAGACCCTCAATGCAGCCCCTCTGCCCAGCTACCTAGGCCCTGTTCCCTAACCCCACCTCCCTTAACCCTTCACCTCCAACCCCTGACCCCCAACCTGATCCCAGCTCCAGCTCCCACTTTCCTTCTTTCCTTCCACCTTCTTCTTTTTTTTTTTTTTTTTTTTTGAGATGGAGTCTCACT
The DNA here is from genome assembly GCF_000001405.40 of Homo sapiens. NCBI lineage: Eukaryota > Metazoa > Chordata > Mammalia > Primates > Hominidae > Homo > Homo sapiens. The sequence goes on along the minus strand of NC_000019.10, from coordinate 38,607,543 downwards.
CTGTGGCCCAGGCTGGAGTGCAGTGACGTAGTCTCAGCTCACTACAACCTCGGCTCCCCGGGTTCAAGCGATTCTCCTGTCTCAGCCTCCTGAGTAGCTGGGATTACAGGCACCTGCCACCATGCCCAGCTAATTTTTTGTATTTTTAGTAGAGATGGGGTTTCACCATGTTGGCCAGGCTGGTTTCAAACTCCTGACCTCATGATCCGCCCATCTCAGCCTCCCAAAGTGCTGCGATTACAGGTGTGAGCCACTGCACTTGGCCTCCTTCCATCTTCTTATACAATCTTTTGACTTGACCCTCAGCGTCAGCCCCCCACCTGCTCTCCACCCCAGAGCTGACCCCAGTTCCTTCTAGAATGTGCTGCTGCTCCAATCTCTGACTTGACCCCACCTATCCTCCATGACCCTGCACCCTCAGCCACATCCCAGTCTCAAACTCCTCCCGAATGTCACTCTCACCCCAGACCCACCCTCCAGCCTTCAGCCCCAGCCCTCAGCTTTTCCTATCTTTTTGCCCGCCCTCAGGCTGAACCTTGGCACCTGGAAATCTCCCAAAGACCAGATACTGAGCCCCAGATCCAGACCCAACAGTCAGCCCAGGCCCCCATACTCCCCAGCCCACAGGCCGAGTCAGGCTCCATCCAGGTGCGCGCACTCACTTCACCCATCACGTGCGACAGCCTGTGTGTGGCGCCAGCACAGGGAGAGCAGGGCCACGGCGCTGATGTCACCTGTGTTACTAGGTGGTGTAAAGGTGCAAAGCCGTGGTGCACTGTCAGCACTCCACCTCCAAGAGTTGCTGTTACTGTTATTAGTCTTTTTTTTGGAAACAGGCTAATCATTTTTTTGTAGGATGGGGTCTTGCCATGTTGTCCAGGCTGGTCTCAAACTCATGATTTGTTTTGGCACCAAGGCTAAGTGCAGGAGTGCAATGATGGCTTACTGCAGCCTCAACCTCCCAGGCTCAAGCAATCCTCCCACCTCAGCCTCCTGAGTAGCTGCGGTCACAGGCGCACCTGCCACGCCTGGCTAATTTTTAATTTTTTTCTGGAGACAAGGTCTTGCTATGCTGCCCAGGCTAGTCTCGAATTCCTGGGCTCAAGCCATCCTGCCCTGGCCTCCCAAAGCACTGCGATTACAGGCATGAGCCACTATGTCCAGCCTGGCTATTAATCCTTTAATCCTCTGCTCCAGGCAGAACCAGTCATCCCTTAATCCTCCTCACCTCAGACCCCAGTCCCGGGCCTCCAGCCCAGAACCATGCCATCTTCCCCGAGTCCTTGTTCCCCAGCCCCCCAGCTATTTAACCCATCTTTGTGTTTCAGCCCCACCCCTGCAGAGGACACACCTCCTCCACTTCCCCCCAAGGTAAGGCCCTGGGCCAGAGCTGGGAGGCTGGGGCCTCAGGGCCACTGGGGGCCAGGAGGCCAGGTCCTTAGATGCTGGGATACTGGGCTCTCCAGGGCAGGGAATTGGGGAGACCAGGATGATGGCTACATTGGGATCTGGAAGTGGCATCCCTCAACCTCAGGGTCGGATTCAAAATATTTAGCCTCTTAGACACTGGTCAGTAGCTGGTCCTAGGAAGCCCCTGCTATATATCCAGCATTAACCCATTAGTTTCTGAAGTGTGTTGATGTCCAGGCTGGGGATGTCAGGGGAAGGCTGGAGGGGGCACAAGATGTTGTCGGGGGGGTGGGTCAGAGCCACAGCTGTTAGTTCTGGTGGAGGCAGGGACTTGAGTTGCAAAAGGGTGCCCTCTCTGAGATCATCTGATGTATTTCCCCACGCTCCATTCCCGTCTCCAAAGCCCAAGTTCCGTTCTCCATCAGACGAGGGTCCTGGGAGCATGGGGGATGATGGGCAGCTGAGCCCGGGGGTGCTGGTCCGGTGTGCCAGTGGGCCCCCACCAAACAGCCCCCGTCCTGGGCCTCCCCCATCCACCAGCAGCCCCCACCTCACCGCCCATTCAGGTAATGGGACAGGCTAGGGTGGAGGGCGGGAGGGTTGGGGGTTCTTGGGGGCTGATTTTCTCCTAACCCCTCTCAGAACCCTCACTCTGGAACCCACCCTCCCGGGAGCTTGACAAGCCCCCACTTCTGCCCCCCAAGAAGGAAAAGATGAAGAGAAAGGTGAGGTTCAGCTCTGCTGAGGACTTACACCTCTGGACGGGGCTGGGGATGCCTGGTGGGGTGGGGAGGGGGTGGCAGGACTGACAGTAACAACAGGTGACATTTGTTGAGCGCTTCTCTGTGCCCTACACTTATCTCCTATCATTACATGGCATAAAGCTTCACAGAGTGAAGAAGATATCACAGAGATGTTATCCCCCATTTCACAAATGGGGAAATTGAAGCACAGAGAGGGTAAGTGGCTTACCCAAGGTCATATAAATACCTTTGAGGAGGCAGGCTGAGGCAGGATTGTTGTTTCTGCTTTTTTTTTTTTTTTTTTAAAGACGGAGTTTTGCTTGTTGCCCAGGCTAGAGTACAGTGGCGCGATCTTAGCTCACTACAACCTCCGCCTCCCTAGTTCAAGTGATTCTCCTGCCTCAGCCTCCGGAGTAGCTGAGATTACAGGCAATGCAGCACCATGCCCGGCTAATTTTGTATTTTTAGTAGAGGTGGGGTTTCACCATGTTGGTTAGGCTCGTCTTGAACTCCTGACCTCAGGTGATCCACCTGCCTCGGCCTCCCAAAGTGCTGGGATTACAGGCATGAGCCACCGCGTCTGGCATGCTTTTTTTTTTTTGAGACAGAGTCTCACTGTGTCACCCAGGCTGGAGTGCAGTGGCGCGATCTCGGCTCACTGCAAGCTCCGCCTCCCAGGTTCACACCATTCTCCTGCCTCAGCCTCCCGAGTAGCTGGGACTACAGGTGCCCGCCACCAGGCCCGGCTAATTTTTTGTATTTTTAGTAGAGACGGGGTTTCACCGTGTTAGCCAGGATGGTCTCGATCTCCTGACCTTGTGATCTGCCCGCCTCGGCCTCCCAAAGTGCTGGGATTACAGTCATGAGCCACCGCGCCCAGCTACTAAAAATTTAAAAAATTAGCTGGGCGTGGTGGCACACACCTATGGTCCCAGCTACTTGGGAAGCTGAGGTGGGAGGATTGCTTGAGTCCAGAAGTTAGAGTCTTTTGACAAGATCCATCAAAACCTCCATGAGTCACTACCACATATGCAGTTGCCCAAAGAGCCAAGATCTCAAGAAATTTTACCTCTCATAAATGGAGATGTACAAAAAGAACATCTCTTTATTCAGGAAGTTTCAGTGTTTTTACGTACATGCATAATGCCTACACACGTAGTCAGTGTTGTGATAATGCACCTTTGTGGCATCAAATTTGCCAACAAATGCATAAAATGAATTAGAACTCTCTAAAGTCTTTTTTTTTTTTTTTTTTTTTTTTTGAGATAGTATCTCGCTCTGTCGCCCAGGCTGCTGGAGTGCAGTGGCGCGATCATGGCTCACTGCAGCCTTGACCTCGGAGACTCAAGCAATCCATGCACCTCACCCTCCCTAGTAGCGCTTGGCTAATTTTTTTTTTTTTTTTCTGAGATGGAGTCTCACTCTGTCGCCCAGGCTGGAGTGCAGTGGTGCTATCTTGGCTCACTGCAACCTCTGCCTCCCCAGTCTAAGTGATCCTCCTGCCTCAGCCTCCTAAGTAGCCATGACTACAGGCGCCCACCACCACGCCCAGCTAATTTTTGTATTTTTAGTAGAGACGGAGTTTTGCCATGTTGGCCAGGCTGGTCTCAAACTCCTGACCTCAAGTTATCTGCCAGCCTCGGCCTCCCAAAGTGCTGGCATTACAGGCGTGAGCCACCGCGCCCGGCCCAGCTTGGCTAATTTTTAAAAAAATGTTTTATAGAGGCAGGGTCTCACTATGTTGCCCAAGCTGGTCCTGAACTCCTGGGCTTAAGTGATCCTCCCACCTCGGCCTCCCAAACTGGTGGGATTACAGCCGTGCCTGGTTGGCTACCGGCTAAAAGTATGTATAATTTATACCTCCAGCACTGGAAATGATTCAAAGATGAAATGCATAGCATAATTAATCATACATATATACATATACATATATACACACACATATACATGTATATGTGTGTATATATGTATACGTGTATATATATGTATATGCATATATATGTACATGTGTATATATGTATATGTGTGTATATATGTATATGTGTATATATGTATATGCGTATATATGTACATGTGTATATATGTATACATGTATGTGTGTGTGTATATGTATGTGTATATATGTATATGCGTATATATGTACATGTGTATATATATGTGTATATGTATATGTGTATATATGTATGTGTATATATGTATATGCGTATATATGTACATGTGTATATATGTATACATGTATATGTGTGTATATATGTATATGCGTATATATGTACATGTGTATATATGTACATGTGTATATATGTACATGTGTATATATGTATATGTGTATATGTATATGCGTATATATGTACATGTGTATATATGTATACATGTATATGTGTGTATATATGTATATGTATATATGTATATGCGTATATATGTGCATGTGTATATGTGTGTATATATGTATGTGTATATATGTATATGCGTATATGTGTACATGTGTGTATATATGTACATGTGTATATAAGTATATATGTACATGTGTATATATGTATATGTGTATATATGTATATGCGTATATATGTACATGTGTATATATGTATATATGTATGTGTGTATATATGTATATGTGTATATATGTATATGCGTATATATGTACATGTGTATATATGTATACATGTATATGTGTGTATATATGTATACATGTATATGTGTGTATATATGTATATGCGTATATATGTACATGTGTATATATGTATATATGTATAGGTGTGTATATATATGTATATGTGTATATATATGTATATGCGTATATATGTACATGTGTATATATATGTATATATGTATATGTGTGTATATATATGTATATGTGTATATATGTATATGCGTATATATGTACACGTGTATATATGTATATATGTATATGTGTGTATATATGTATATGTGTGTATATATGTATGTGTGTGTGTATATATATGTGTGTGTGTGTGTGTGTGTCTATATATATATGTATATGTGTATATATATATATGCTGGCCAGGCACAGTGGCTCATGCCTGTAATCCCAGCACTTTGGGAGACCAAGGCAGACGCATCACCTGAGGTCAGGAGTTCGAGACCAGCCTGGCCAACATGGCGAAACCCTGTCTCTACTAAAATACAAAAATTAGCCAGGCGTGGTGTTGTGTGCCAGTAATCCCAGCTATTCAGGAGGCTGAGGCAGAAGAATTGCTTGAGCCCAGGAGGTGGAGGTTGCAGTGAGCTGAGATTGCATCACTGCACTCCAGCCTGGGCAACAGAGTGAGACTCCATCTCCAAAAACAAAACTGACAGCTGGGAGTGGTGCCTCACGCCTGTAATCTCAGCACTTTGGGAGGCTGAGGCAGGTGAATCACATGAGGCCAAGAGTTCAAGACCAGCCTGGGCAACATGGCAAAACTCCATCTCTACTAAAAATACAAAAATTAGCTGGGTGTGGTGGCACACGCCTTTGGTCCCAGCTACTCAGAAGGCTTAGGCATGAGAATCAGTTGAACTTGGGAAGCAGAGGTTGTAGTGAGCTGAGATCATGTCATTGCATTCCAGCCTGGGCAACCGAGTGAGACTCTGTCTTAAAAAAAACAAATGCTGATGATTTAGGATAGTGGAGGAAAAACTAAAAAAAGAAATATATAACAACAACAAAAAAAAACAAAAACAAACTGAAAAGAAAACTCAATGTATGAAAAAGTGTATTACAGGGATAGATTATGGGAAATTGCACCAAGGTAAGAGGCAGGATTTGAACCTTGGCACTCTCGCTCCAAAGTCGTAACCACTGCCCCTTCCTGTTCCCTGCTCTCTTTGCCGGATCTGCTGCCTGGCCCCGCGGCGACCTGCCCAGGGATGTGCCCTTCTCGTAAAGTTGTTCAATGGCTGCCCCCTCCGGATCCACAGCACGGCCGCCTGGACACATCCCTCCACCAAGGGTGGGCATTCTGGAGGGTCAAGGAGATCCTGTAGGGAATGGGAGAGCAAAAGTAGGGGTGGGGAGAAGCCTAAGGAAGGCACAAAGGCAGGGACGGGGAGGAGCTTAATGGAGTTGGGGTGTGGCCAGGCTGAAACAGGGGCGGAGCTTGTCCTTACACTCAGGATTTGGTGATCAAAGATGCATAGAGGGCAGCCAGGTGTGGTGGCTCACACCTGTAATCCCAGCACTTTGGGAGGCTGAGGCGGGTGAATCATTTGAGGTCAGGAGTTCAAGACCAGCCTGGCCAACATGGTGAAACCCCGTCTCTACTAAAAATACAAAAGAAGCTAGGTAGGCCGGGCATGGTGGCTCACGCCTGTAATCCCAGCACTTTGGGAGGCGGAGGCGGGCGGATCATTTGAGGTCAGGAGTTTGAGACCAGCCTGGCCAACGTGGTAAAACCTCGTCTCTACTAAAAACACAAAAATTAGCCAGGCGTGGTAGCACGTGCCTATAATCCCAGCTACTCAGGAGGCTGAGGCAGGATAATTGCTTGAATCCAGGGGGCGGAAGTTGCAGTGAGCTGAGATCATGCCACTGCACTCCAGCCTGGGCAACAGAGCAAGACTCAGTCTCAAAAAAAAAAAAAAAAAAAAAAAATGGGTAGAGGGATGAGTTGGAGAGTGAAAGTAGGAATATTGGAATTCAGGGGCCAGGAGTGTCAGAATATAACAAAAAGGTTAGAGTTTGGAGCACGAGAAAGATGGACAGCTGGAGGTTAATGATAGGGAGACTGGGAGCAGCATTTTGGGGTGAGGAATTTTAGAGATTAGGATGCAGCCAGAAAGGGACAGAATCTAGAGATCAAAGAGATGAAGACAAGGTCAGTGTTAAAGGAACAGGTCACACTGGACAGAAAAAGTCCTGTTTGGGGGTGTCTGAGTTTGAAGGTCAATGTTAGGATTGGCATTAGGGTATCAGAACTGGGGAGAAAGAGGGGAGGAAATCAGAGGACTATTTTGGGGGACAGGTCTAAGGTTGGGGTCAGTTTGGTTCAGAAGACAGTTGGGCAGAGAAGAAAGAACCACCAGAATATGGGTAGTCAAAAGGAGGGAGAGTGAGACTGGCTTGCGGGACCGTCCGCTCTGGCTTTGTTTGGGGAAACAGAGGCTGGGAGTATTGGTTTGGAGAAAGAATAGAGGGTCAGAGCTGGGGACAGAGTGTCAGTGTTTGAGGTCAGACAGGTGGGGATCTGGGAGGTCCCTGAGGATGAAGTCGGTCCCAGCGTCCTTGTCTGTGCCTCCAGACCAGCACCTGCTCCTGGGGGCAGAGGAAGGCATCTTCATCCTGAACCGGAATGACCAGGAGGCCACGCTGGAAATGGTGAGGAACCATACCGGGCCAGGGCAAGGGCAAGGGCCGGAGTCGGGGGTTGCTGGGGTGTCACCAGAGCCATCTCTCCCATTCCCTGCAGCTCTTTCCTAGCCGGACTACGTGGGTGTACTCCATCAACAACGTTCTCATGTCTCTCTCAGGTCTGGCTGTGGGTAGCAGGTGGGATGGGGTCGGAAGTTAAGGGGTCCAAGGGTTCGGGGGCTGGGAAGTAGACGGGCACAGCTGAAAAAAAACTTAGACTGCTTGGTCACAAAGTCCTAGGTTCAAATCCCAGACACTTTTTGACTGTGCTCCCCAAGCCTCAATTTCTCCATTTGTAAAATGGGGTTCACAATAGTCCTCACCTCTCAAGTCAATTTTGAGGTAGTTTCTACAATAAATTAGTCTTTTTTTTTCTTTTTTTGAGACAGAGTCTCCCTCTGTCACTCAGGCTGGAGCGCAGTGGTACAATCTCAGCTCACGGCAACCTCTGCCTCCCAGGTTCAAGTGATTCTCATGCCTCAGCCTCCTGAGTAGCTGGAATTACAGGTGTGCACCACCACACCTGGCTAAATTTTGTATTTTTAGTAGAGACAGAGTTTTACCCTGTTGGCCAGGCTGGTCTCAAACTCCTGACCTCAGGTGATCCAACTGCCTTGGCCTCCCAAAATGCTGGGATTACAGGCATGAGCCACCACACCTGGCCTTAGATTAGCCTTTTTTTTTTTTTTTTTTTTTGAGACCGAGTCTCACTCAGTTGCCCAGGCTGGAGTGCAGGGGCGTGATCTTGGCTAACTGCAACCTCTACTTCCTGGGTTCAAGCAATTCTCGTGCCTCAGCCTCCCGAGTAGCTGGTATTACAGATGTGAGCCATCATGACTGGCTTTTTTTTTTTTTACTTTTTTTATTTTTTATTTTTAGTAGAGATGGGGTTTTACCATGTTGGCCAGGCTGGTCGCAAACTCCTGACCTCAGGTGATCCACCCGCCTTGGCCTCCCAAAGTGCTGGGATTACAGGTGTGGGCCACCGCACCTGGCCTAAATTAGTCCTTTTTTTTTTTTTTTTTTTTTTTGAGATAGACTCTCACTCTGTTGCCCAGACTGGAGTGCAGTGGCGCAGTCTCGGCTCACTGCAACCTCCGTTTCCCAGGTTCAAGCGATTCTCCTGCCTCACCCTCCCAAGTAGCTGGGATTACAGGCACCTGCCACCACACGCGGCTAATTTTTTGTGTTTTTAGTAGAGACGGGGTTTCGCCATGTTGGCCAGGCTGGTCTCGAACTCCTGACCTGGTGATCCACTCGTCTCAGCCCCCCAAAGTGCTGGGATTACAGGTGTAAGCCACCGTGCCCAGCCCTAAGTTAGTCTTTAAATAGCTTTCATGTTCAGATGACAATCAGAACTTATTCCATACTTTACTAAGATAGAGTGAGCAAGTTATAGATTTCAAAATCTGGACGGGGTGCAGTGGCTCATGCCTGTGATCCCAGCACTTTGAGAGGCCAAGGCAGTAGTACTGCTTGAGCCCAGGAGTTCTAGATCAGCCTGGGCAACATAGTGAGACCTCGTCTCTACTAAAAATTAAAAAAAAATTAGCTGGGTGTGGTGGCACACACCTATGGTTCCAGCTACTCGGGAGGCTGAGGTGGGAGGATCACTTGAGCCCAGAAGTTAGAGGCTGCAGTGAGTCATGATCACACCACTGCACTCCAGCCTGGAAGACAGAATGAGACCCTGTCTATATATAACAATAAATAGGCCGGGTGCGGTGGTTCACACCTGTAATCCCAACACTTTGGGAGGCCGAGGCGGGTAGATCACCTGAGGTCAGTAGTTCGAGACCAGACTGGCCAACATGGTAAAACCCCGTCTCTACTAAAAATACAAAAATTATCCAGGCATGGTGGCGCATACCTCTACTCCCAGCTACTTGGGAGGCTGAGGCATGAGAATTGCTTGAACCTGGGAGGCAGAGGCTGCAGTGAGCCAAGATTATACCACTGCACTCCAGCCTGGGTGACAGAGCGAGACTGTCTAAAATAATAATAATAATAATAAATAAATGAAATAATTTCTAGTTTTGGGGGAAACACCAAGCCAAATGGGATTCATGAGTTAGTGAAAGCCACATCTGTGATGACAAACTAGAAGATTTTCTAGATGTGTTTCTTCTAAAACTTTGTAAGATGTGTAACTTCATCTGACTGGTTATGTGTCCAGAGTTTCTGATACGGCTACAAATACCACGAGGGTAGGGAACATATTTTTTATGCTCATCACTGTTCACCAGAGCCAAGCACAGCAGGCCTGGCCTACAATGGACGTTCAATCTATGTGGAGTGAGAAATGAATGAATGAATGACAAGTACTTGAGACTTGCAGGCTTGGGAGTTTCAGACAAAGGGATGGGGCTGAGGGAAGGGATGGAGGAAAGGAAGTGGTATATGGGATCCTATAACTTCCTGCTTCCCCCTACATACACACACCCTGCAGGAAAGACCCCCCACCTGTATTCTCATAGCATCCTTGGCCTGCTGGAACGGAAAGAGACCAGAGCAGGAAACCCCATCGCTCACATTAGCCCCCACCGCCTACTGGCAAGGTACCAGCTCCCAATGAATGGCACCACACAGCCTTATAATTCCTCCCATGCCCCTCTGCCTCCTGCTGTCCTACCCCCCTTCACACCTACCTATTCTCCAGGAAGAACATGGTTTCCACCAAGATCCAGGACACCAAAGGCTGCCGGGCGTGCTGTGTGGGTGAGAGAGAGCTTCACGGGTGTGCAGAGAGTGGGCGGGGCCAGGCCAGAGGAGGGGCTTGAACTGCATCCACCTGAGAAGGTTACAGAGTTAAGGCAATGTGTCCAGAACCCAGAAGATGGGTGGTAGTGTGGGTGGCGAGGAGGATAGAGGGCATTGATCTTGACTCATCCTTGCCCATGCCACAGCGGAGGGTGCGAGCTCTGGGGGCCCGTTCCTGTGCGGTGCATTGGAGACGTCCGTTGTCCTGCTTCAGTGGTACCAGCCCATGAACAAATTCCTGCTTGTCCGGGTAAGGGGCTTGGGAGGGTGCTGGGAACTCTGAGGAGTGGGTGGCTAAGGCCTTGCACCCTTTGCGCTTCTATCAAGAGCTCCATGAAGCCCCACCTCCGTCGAGGCCCCGCCCCAATCTCCCGAGGCCCCGCCCACCTGCGGTCTGCGCTTGGAGCCTCGTCCTTCTGAAGCCATCCTGATCCTTAAGCGCCGCCCCTCACACCTGGGCCTAATTATTCCTCAGGCTCAATGCTGCCACTCCCTGGGTGTCCTAGTAGAGCCCATTTAGAGCCTGTCTCTTTGAGTGTCTAAGCAGGTTTTGCTATCTTTGGGGCCCTGCCCGTCTGCCGCCAAGGTGGCATGCCCCCACATGGAAGCCACACCCACTCGGAGGTCACGACCCCCGTTCCCGCGGAGGCACCAGGCCTTATCCCCTGACATTTCTAGACGGCATCCCCCAAGACTTAGGGCCCTGGTTCGGAAGTCCCAGGCCAGCTACAAGCCACGCCCCCTGAGGCCCCGTCCTGAACCACCCCCTAGCCCGCCCCTCCCTGTGCGGCCCGCAGCAGGTGCTGTTCCCACTGCCGACGCCTCTGTCCGTGTTCGCGCTGCTGACCGGGCCAGGCTCTGAGCTGCCCGCTGTGTGCATCGGCGTGAGCCCCGGGCGGCCGGGGAAGTCGGTGCTCTTCCACACGGTGCGCTTTGGCGCGCTCTCTTGCTGGCTGGGCGAGATGAGCACCGGTGAGTGGGGCGGAGTCTTGCTGAGGGCGGGGCTTATCAGATCCGGAGGGGCGGAGCTGGAGGCGGGGCTTCGCTTAGCCTGAGGCACTACGGGACTGAGAAAGGGCTGGAAGGGCGGAGAAGGGAGAATGGCAGGTTTTAGTTAACTGGGGAGATTGATGATGGGGTGGGACCGGGATGGTGGGCGGGGTTTAGCCCACTTGCTTGTGAACTGAGGCGGTGGCTAAAGCACAGGTACTGGCCTTCTGGGGGTGGTGTGGGGAAAGGGGAATGGGGTGGGGTCAATCCTTAACCCACTCCCCCCAAACAGAGCACAGGGGACCCGTGCAGGTGACCCAGGTAGAGGAAGATATGGTGATGGTGTTGATGGATGGTGAGAACCCTCCTTCCTCCCCTTCCTCCCCACCCCTCCAGCTGCAGTCCCTAGATCTCTGCCTCCGAACTTGTGCTTCTCAGAACCCCCTGAGCCCCTCTGGGCCTTGCCCCTGTCCTACATAGCTTTCACACTGAATTTATGGATTGGTCCCTTAGTAACCCTCTAAGCCTTGCTCACAGTTCTTAAAACCGTCTATCTCCTTCCAGGCTCTGTGAAGCTGGTGACCCCGGAGGGGTCCCCAGTCCGGGGACTTCGCACACCTGAGATCCCCATGACCGAAGCGGTGGAGGCCGTGGGTCTGTGCAGGGACGGGAGAGCCCAGGATCAGGGGTGGAAACTCAAGTGATCCCCAAGGGTAACGGGCATTGCTTTCTCCCCAGCTATGGTTGGAGGTCAGCTTCAGGCCTTCTGGAAGCATGGAGTGCAGGTGTGGGCTCTAGGCTCGGATCAGGTAAGCCCCTCCATCCAAACTCCACATCACTGCCCCCCAGCCTCCATCATGACATTCATCAGATGGGCTCCGAGAACTCCTGAGTCAGAGTGTGAAGTCCTGGAGGGGAAACATCTTCCAAATTTCAGTTCAGATAGATCCCCTTCTTTGCCCCAGGATTTATTTTTTATTTTATTTTTATTTATTTATTTATTTAAGACGGAGTTTCACTCTTGTTGCCCAGGCTGGAGTGCAGTGGTGCGATCCCGGCTCACTGCAACCTCCACCTCCCGGGTTCACGCGATTCTCCTGCCTCGGCCTCCCAAGTAGCTGGGATTACAGGCATGCGCCACCACAGCTGGCTAATTTTTGTATTTTCAGTAGAGACGGGGTTTCACCATGTTCATCAGGCTGGATGGTCTTGAACTCTTGACCTGGGGTGATTCACCCGCCTTGGCCTCCCAAAGTGCTGGGATTACAGCTGTCAGCCACCACACCCGGCCTATTTTATAGATAGATAGATAGATAGATAGATAGATAGATAGATAAAATTTATTTATTTTTGGAGATGGATTCTTGCTCTGTCACCCAGGCTGGAGTGTAGTGGCGCGATCTCGGCTCACTGCAGCCTCTGCCTCCCAGGTTCAAAGAATTCTCCTGCCTCAGCCTCCTGAGTAGCTGAGACTACAGGTGCATGCCGCCATGCTTAGCTAATTTTTTTGTATTTTTAGTAGAGACAGGGTTTCACCATGTTGCCCAGGCTAGTCTCAAACTCCTGAGCTCAGCCAATCTGCCTTCCTTGGCCTCACAAAGTGCTAGGATTACAGGTGTGAGCCACCACTCCTGGCCATTTTTATATATTTTTTGAGACAGAGTCTCGCTCTGTCACCCAGGGCAGAGTGCAGTGGCATGATCCGAGCTCACTGCAACCTCTGCCTCCTGGGTCCAAGTGATTCTCCTGCCTCAGCCTCCCGAGTAGCTGGGATTACAGGTACACTCCATCATGCCCAGGTAATTTTTGTATTTTTAGTAGAGACGGGGTTTTGTCATGTTGGCCAGACTGGTCTCGAACTCCTGACCTCAAGTGATCTGCCCGCCTCAGCCTCCGAAAGTGCTGGGAGTACAGGCGTGAGCTACTTCACCCGGCCTGTTTGTTTTGGAGATAGGGTCTCTCTCTCTTGTCCAGGCTGAAGTGCAGTGGTGCAACCATAGCTAGCTGTAGCCTTGACTTTCTGGGCTCAAGCAATCCTCCCTCCTCAGCCTCTCAAGTGGCTTGGATTACAGGTGTGAGCCACTGCACCTGGCTGCTCTTGGATTTCTTGAGTCCCAATCTCATCCTGGGCCACTACTGTGACCTTGGGCTGGCAACGTTGCTTCTCTTTAAGCTTCTGTTCCCCAACTGTAAAATGGGGACCACTATAGAGATATATGGATAGTTAAGACAAGACTGTCTGGGTTGGAATTCAGCTGAGTGGCCTTGGGCAAATGACTTAACCTTCCTGTGCCTCACTGTCCTCATTTGGAAAATGGTGTTTATCTCACAGAATACTGTGTCAGACTTTGCCCTTACACTTTAGTATTTTTATTTATTTATTTTTGCTCACTCAGTTCCTTCCCTCTTTTTGAAATGGAGTCTCGCTCTGTTCCCCAGACTGGAGTGTTAGTGGCACAATCTTGGCTCATTGCAACCTCTGCCACCCAGGTTCAAGCGATTCTCGTGCCTCACCCTCACAAGTAGCTGGGACTACAGGCATGCGCCACCACAGCTGGCTAATTTTTGTATTTTCAGTAGAAATACAAAAATTATCTCAGCTGGAGATCTCGGCTCCAGTGGCACGCCCAGTGGCGCAATCTCAGCTCAATGCAATTTCTGCCTCCCGGGTTCAAGTGATTCTTCTGCCTCAGATCCTGAGTAGCTGGGACTATAGGCGCGCACCACCATGCCTAGCTAATTTTTGTATTTTTAGTAGAGACGAGGTTTTGCCATGTTGGCCAGGCTGGTCTCGAACTCCTGACCTCAGGTGATCCACCCACTTCGGCCTCCCAAAGTGCTGGGATTACAGGCGTGAGCCACCGTGCCCAGCTCCTTGCTGTCTTTAAGGGAGCCATGTTCGTAGTGACAGTGGAGGTATCTTCCAGGCACTGAGACACACACTTTTTTTCCCTAGCTGCTACAGGAGCTGAGAGACCCTACCCTCACTTTCCGTCTGCTTGGCTCCCCCAGGTATGTTGTGGGGTGGGGTGCAGAAGGACCTGGGAGGGGGCTTCTGATGTGAAGAGAGCATTCTGAGGTGTCCCCAGCAAGGTATCTCTAGCCTGGACAGTGTCTCACCTGGTCACCCTGCTTCCATCCCTGCTCCCTAGAGTCTGTTCTCTGCACTGCAGCCACGGGGGCGTTCTCTCTTTTTGTTTTGTTTCTCACTGTACTCAAAGGCTGGAGTGCAATGGCACGACCACGGCTCACTGCAGCCTTGACCTCCCAGGCTCAAGTGATCCACCCACCTCAGCTTCCTGAGTATCTGGAACTACCGGCATGTGCCACCATGCCCAGCAATTCTTTTATTTATTTATTTATTTATTTATTTATTGAGATGGAGTTTTGCTTTTGTTGCCCAGGCTGGAGTGCAATGGTGTGATCTTGGTTCACTGCAACCTCTGCCTCCCAGGTTCAAGCGATTCTCTTGCCTCAGCCTCCCAAGTAGCTGGGATTACAGGCATGTGCCACCACACCCGGCTAATACTATATTTTTTAGTAGAGATGGCATTTCACCATGTTGGCCAGGCTGGTCTCGAACTCCTGACCTCGGTGATCCACCTGCCTCGGCCTCCCAAAGTGCTGGGATTATAGGCATGAGCCACTGCACCTGGCCAATCCTTTTATTTTTTAATTTTAATTCTTTTATTTATAAAATTTTTTTAAAATTTATTTTTGACACAGAGTCTCGCTGTGTTGCCCAGGCTGGAGTGCAGTGGCACAATCTCAGCTCACTGCAACCTCTGCCTCCCAGGTTCAAGTGATTCTCATGCTTCAGCCTCCCAAGTAGCTGGGTTTACAGGTGTGTACCACCACATTTGGCTATTTTTTGTATTTTTAGTAGAGACGGGGTTTCGCCTTGTTAGCCAGGCTGGTCTCAAACTACTGACCTCAGGTGATCCAGCTGCCTTGGCCTCCCAAAGTTCTGGGATTACAGGAGTGAGCCACTGCACCTGGCCTTAATTTTATTTCATTTTTGAGACAAGGTCTCATTCTGTTGCGCAGGCTGAAGTGCAGTGTTACACACACAGCTCACTGCAGTCTTGACCTTCTGAGCTCAACTGATCCTCCCACCTCAGCCTCCCAAGTAGCTAGGTCCACAGGCATACACCACCACAACTGGCTAATTTTTAAAATTTTTTTGTAGAGACGGGGTCTTGCCATGTTGCCCTGGCTGTCCTTGAACTGCTGGCCTCAAGCAATCTTCCTACCTTGGCCTCCCAAAATGTTAGGATTACTGGCATGAGCCACCACACCTGGCTGCATTTTTTTTTTTTTTTTGAGACGGATTCTTGCTCTGTTGCCCAGCCTGGAATGCGGTGGCGTGATTTCAGCTCACCACAACCTCCACCCACTGGGTTCACGCGATTCTCCTGCCTCAGCCTCCCGAGTAACTGGGATTACAGGCATGTGCCACTGTGCCCGGCTAATTTTTGTATTTTTAGTAGAGACAGGCTTTCGCCATGTTGTCCAGGCTGCTCTTGAACCCCTGATCTCAGGTGATCTGCCCGCCTCGGCCTCCCAAAGTGCTGGGACTACAGGCATGAGCCACCGTGCCCAGCCCTGGCTGCATTTTTATTTTAGATTTTTATCTTATTAAAAATTTTTAACTATTAAAAATAACTATTTTAACTATTTTGACATAATTTAAAACTCACACTCCCAGAGAAGTTGCAAAAATCCCTTTTATCCAGATTAACCAGATCTTTTTTTTTTTTTTTTTTTGAGATGGAGTCTTGCTGTGTGGCCCAGGCTGGAGTGCAGTGGATCTCCACTCACTGCAACCTCTGCCTCCCGGGTTCAGGCAAGTCTCCTGTCTCAACCTCCTGAGTAGCTGGGACTACAGTTGCACACCACCACGCCCAGCTAATTTTTTTGTTTTTTTAGTAGATGTGGGCTTTCATCATGGTGGTTAGGCTGGTCTCGAACTCTTGACCTCAGGTGATCCACCCACCTCTGCCTCCCAAAGTGCTGGGATTACAGGCGTGAGCCACTGTACCTGGCCAGATGTTAATCTTTTTAACCGCATTTGCCTTATTATTCTTTTTTTTTTCTTTTCTTGAGACAGAGTTTCGCTCTTGTTGCCCAGGCTGGAGTGCAATGGCATAATCTCAGCTCACCACAACCTCCCACTCCTGGGTTCAAGCACTCCTCCTGCCTCAGCCTCCCGAGTAGCTGGGATTACAGGCATGTGCCACCATGCCCGGCCTCTTCTCTTTCTTATGCGCACACACCACACATACAAGTATATGTGTGTGTGTGTGTGTGTGTGTGTGTGTGTGTGTGATTTTTTAATGAATATTTGGGAATGAATTGCAGACGTGATGCCCATTTACCCCTAAAATACTTCAGTGTATGTTTCCTGAATCAAAGCAAGGACATAATGTTACAAACCACAGCACAGCTGTCAAAATCAAGAAAACAACACTGAAACATCACAACCTTCTAATTCATACCCCTACTCAATTTCACCAGTTGGCCAGGTGTGGTGGCTCACGCCTGTCATCCCAGCACTTTGGGAGGCTGAAGTGGGCAGATTACCTGAGGTCAGGAGTTGGAGATGGGCCTGGCCAACATGGAGAAACCCCACCTCTAGTAAAAATACAAAAATTAGCTGGGTGTGGTGGCACGTGCCTGTAATCCCAGCTGGGAGGCTGAGGCAGGAGAATCACTTGAATCGGAGAGGTGGAGGTTGCAGTGAGCCGAGATTACGCCACTGCACTCCAGCCTGGGTGACAGAGCGAGACTCTGTCTCAGAAAACAACAACAACAACAACAAAAAATTTCACCCGTTGTCCTAGTGACGCCCGTGATTATATATATATATATATATATATATATATATATATATATATATTTTTTTTTTTTTTTTTTTTTTCTGGTCCAAGATCATAGGTGGCACTTAGGAGCCATGTTTCTTTATAATTAAGCCGGAAAAAATAATTAAAACTTCTTTTGTCTTAAAGGAGCTTTGACCTTTTTAAAAATTAAAGGAAATTTGTTTTCTAAAATGTCCCTTAACTGTGTTTGAGGTTTCCACGTTCTGAATTTTGGGCAGGAATACTGCAGAAAGATGTCTTTCTCAGTGCATCATTTCAGGAAGTACACAATGCTAGTTTGTCCCATTACTGGTGATATTAACTTCGGTCATTTGGTTAAGGTAGAATCAGCCAGTTCTCTCCACTGTGAAGTTGCTTTTTTCTCCCTTTTTCTTTTTTTTTAAAGATAGATTCTCTCTCTGTCACCCTGGCTGGAGTGCAGTGACGCGATCATGGCTCACTGCAGCCTCGACCTCCTGGGTTCAATCAGTCCTCCCACCTCAACCTCCCGGGTAGCTGGGATGACAGGCGCGTACCACTACACCTGGCTTATTTTCGTATTTTTTGTACAGACAGGGTTTCGCCATGTTACTTAGCCTGGTCTGGAACTCCTGGACTCAAGAGATTCACCTGTGTAGGCTTCCCAAAGTGCTGGGCTTATAGGCAGGGGTCACCGCACCCAGCCTCTGTTTTTCTTTGTAATAAGAAGTATCCCACCGGTCGGGCGCGGTGGCTCACGCCTGTAATCCCAGCACTTTGGGAGGCCGAGGCAGGTGGATCACCTGAGGTCGGGAGTTTGAGACCAGCCTGACCAATGTGGAGAAACCCTGTCTCTACTAAAAATACAAAATTAGCCGGGCATGGTGTTGCATGCCTGTAATCCCAGCTACTCGGGAGGCTGAGGCAGGAGAAGCGCTTGAACCCGGGAGGCGGAGGTTGCAGTGAGCCGAGATCGCGCCATTGCACTCCAGCCTGGGCAACAAGAGTGAACTCTGTCTCAAAAAAAAAAAAAGAAGTATCTTTTGGGGAGATTCACTGAGACGAGGTAAATAGTCTGTAAATACGTTGTTTCTCATCAGATTTTCACCCACTAGTTTTATTGTTTTTTGTTTGTCTTTTGTTGTTGTTTTGAGTCAGAGTCTCACTCTGTCCCCCAGGCTGGAGTGCAGTGGCACGATCTCGCCTCACTGCAACCTCCTCCTCCCAGGTTCAAGCAATTCTCCTGCCTCAGCCTCCCGAGTAGCTGGGATTACAGGTTTGAGCCAACGCACCTGGCCTGCCCACTAGTTTTAGAATCAATTGATTTTTCCCTGAATCTATTATTGTTAGGTGGCTACTAACAATAAATGGTGATTTTCTGATTCTATGTTTCCTTCTGCGTGTGTTAGTTGGCATTCTACTCTAAAGAAGAGCTGTGTCTTCTCCATTCTTCTTTCTTTATACCAGCATGGTCTCATGGATTTTTATTCTGTGGGTTATAGTCTATTACTGTCATTATTTATTTATTTATTTATGAGATGGAGTCTCGCTCTGTCACCCAGGCTGGAGTGCAGTGGTGTGATCTCAGCTCACTGCAACCTCTGCCTCCCAGGTTCAATCGATCCTCCTGCCTCAGCCTCCCGAATAGCTGGGATTACAGGCGTGCACCACCATGCCTGGATAAATTTTTTTTTTTTTTTTTGAGACAGAGGCTCGCTCTGTCGCCCAGGCTGGAGTGCACTGGCGCTATCTCGGCTCACTGCAAGCTCTGGCTCCCAGGTTCACGCCATTCTCCTGCCTCAGCCTCCCGAGTAGCTGGGACTATAGTGCCTGCCACCACACCTGGCTAATTTTTTTTTGTATTTTTAGTAGAGATGGGGTTTCACCGTGTTAGCCAGGATGGACCTGGATAATTTTTGTAGTTTTAGTAGAGATGGGATTCACCATATTGGCCAGGCTGGTCTTGAACTCCTGACCTCAAGTGATCTGCCCCCCTTGGCCTCCCAAAGTGCTGGGATTACAAGCATGAGCCACCATGCCCGGCCTTGTCATTATTTATTTTGAGGCACAAATGGTCTTAAATTTAGCCAGTGGGAACCACTTTAAGTAGCCCCTGTGTCCTTTTGACATGCCAGAAGGGTCACTTTAAATCCAAATCTGATCGTGTCACTGTCTCCCTGCTTAAAATCCTCCCATGGCCTCAAGATAAAGACTCAATCCTGGCCACAGCCCACAAGGCCATGACATCTCCAGCCAAGTCCCAGCCTTTCTCCCACCTCAAATCCTTTGCACAGGCTGTTCTCCCCAGCCAGAACACTCTTCCTTGCCCTTTCACCAAGTTCCCTCCTAACCCCCCTTCAGGCTGCACCATCCATTCTCTGGGGAGTCTGGGCTGACCTCCTGGGTTAGGTTTCCCTGCCAGACATGCCATGCTTTTTTGCACTCATGTAATTCACTGATTCATGTTGATCTCCTTCTCTAGAATGCAAGCTTCCTAAGGGCAGGGACCGTGTCTGCCCATTCACTGCTATAGTTCAGCATGGGGCTGGCACAGTCTCTATTAACTACTTTGTGAATTAATGAATCAATGAACATATGAATGAATAAATGAACTGACTTATCTCTTCCTTCCACAGGCCTGTAGTGGTGGAGACACGCCCAGTGGATGATCCTACTGCTCCCAGCAACCTCTACATCCAGGAATGAGTCCCTAGGGGGGTGTCAGGAACTAGTCCTTGCACCCCCTCCCCCATAGACACACTAGTGGTCATGGCATGTCCTCATCTCCCAATAAACATGACTTTAGCCTCTGCTGTCATCTTGTTTTTCTTGGGGGAAACAATTCCTGGATGTCCACTCCTCCAAAATTTCAGCAGGCCAACACAGTGATGCTGGGGGGCGTAGCACAGATTTATTTTCCAGTACTAGGTCACCTCTCCCCCAGCTGCCTTAGGGGGAGGGGCTTGGGGACTAAGGGGCTTGCTGTGAGAATAAGGCACTTGAGGTGGGGGTGGAGGGCCAGCTGGGGGTGTGTCAGCTAAGCTGGTCCTCATACTGCTTACGGAAACAATCACCAGCTGGGAAGAAATCCCAACATCTCTCTTGGTACATCTTCCAGACATAAGACTCCTAGGATTGGGGATAGAAAGAGTTCATTGGTCACATCTTCAAACCCTTGAGACATATATATATATATATTTTTAGACAGGGTGTTGCTCTGTTGCCCAGGCTGGAGTGCAGTGGCGACAATCACAGCTCACTACAGCCTCCTGGCTCAAGCGATTCTCCACCTCAGTCTCCAGAGTAGCTGGGACTACAGGTGCACACCACCACCCCTGGCTAATTTTTTAATAGAGAAAGGGTCTCGCTGTGTTCCTAGGCTGTCTTGAACTTCTGGTCTCAAGCAATTCTCCCGCTGTGGCCTCCCGAAGTGCTAGGATTGCAGGCGTGAGCCAGGACGCCCAGCCCAAACCCATTTTTTTTGAGATGGAGTATCGCTCTGTCACCTAGGCTGGAGTACAGTGGCATGATCTTGGCTCACTGCAACTTCTGCCTCCTGGGTTCAAGCGATTCTCCCACCTCAGCTTTCCAAGTAGCTGGGATTACAGGCATGCACAACCACGCCCTGCTAATCTTTGCATTTTTAGTAGAGACTGAATTTCACCATGCTGGCCAGGCTGGTCTTGAACTCCTGACCTCAAGTAATCCACCCGCCTTGGCCTCCCAAAGTGTTGGGATTACAGGCGTGAGCCGCCGTGCCCAGCCCCCAGCCCTAACCCTTGATATTGATAGGAGCTTTTTACTGCCACCTACTGACTGGCCTTATGTTAAAGGGCTCCACGTCCTGCCCACTGTCCTCCCATTAACACCCCCTTACCTGACCCGTGTGTTCTGTCTCATCCTTGTTTATCAAATACATCAGGAAAAACCTGAGGGTGAGAGGACCACAGGAGACAAGTCAGAACCACCCTTACCTTATTTTATTTTTCATTTATAGTAGAGAGGAAGTCTTGCTATGTTGCCCAAGCTGGTCTCGAACTCCTGGCCTCAAGTAATCCTCCCCACTTGGCCTCCCAAAGTGCTGGGCTTACAGGTGTGAACCATCTTGCGGGGCCCCACCCTTACCTTCTGATTGGCTGGCAGGGAATCTGCCCACATGGACACTACACCCCCTTTCCTAACTGGCCAAAGCTAAGTACCCCACTGCTGGCTATTGGCAGCCATGCCCCCCACCCTCCTGACTGGCCAGTGTGTCTGCTCACATGTAATTGGCCAGGTTGTGCTCCTCCAGCGTGTGAGTCTCGAAGCCATGCGGTGTCGTATCAAAGTAGTCACTGCCGATTCCACAGATGAAGCACTTGGTCTGTGAGTGGCAAGAGACATCAGAGTGGAGGCCCACTTGACCCCCTGAATCCCGTAATCCCTCTGGGTCACCCCCAGACATGACCTACCTCCATATCCTCCTTCACTTGCTCTTGTTGGTCTCGGAGCTCACCAAAAGCGTCGATGATCAGACCTGGGGTGGCAGGACACAAGTCAGTGCCCGACCTCTGACCTGGTTCAGACTCCCCCCTCTCCAGCTACCTACCTCCAGGGCTTGCCCTCCATCCCCCATTTCCCTAATCTCACCCCTAATCTCGCTTCCTAAGAAGATAGTATTAGGCCTTTATTGGCCGGGTGCGGTGGCTCACGCCTGTAATCCCAGTACTTTGGGAGGCTGAGGTGGGCGGATCATCTGAGGTGAGGAGTTCAAGAGCAGCCTGGCCAACATGGTGAAACCCCCTCACTACTAACAATAAAAAAATAAAAAAAATTAGCTGGGTGTGGTAGCATGTGCCTGTAGTCCCAGCTAATCAGGAGGCTGAGGCAGAAGAATCGCTTGAACCTGGGAGGTAGAGGTTGCAGTGAGCCAAGATTGCACCACTGAACTCTGGCCCGGGCAACAGAGCGAGACTCCCTCTCAAAAAAAAAATTATACATATATATATATAGACACACACACATATATATAAATATATATAAACACATATATAAATATATATAAACACATATATATATAAATAAACATATATATATATATATATCTCAGGCCTTTATTGAGCACTCATATGAGCCAGACACCGAGCGCCTATGAACTGACTTAATCCTGATCACAACCTATGAGGTTAGTACCATTGACACCCTCGTTTTGCAGATGGAGAAACGGAGGCCCCGAGAGGTGACTTGCCCAAGGTCTCACAGTAGCGAGAGGTAGAGATGGGGTATGAATGCAGGCCGACTGGATCCTGGGCCTGCATTCTTAGCCATGGAGCTAGCCTGCCTCCGGGCCCTGAGCGCCCACTCCCAGCACTGACCCTGGATGATGGCCAACAGGATGACGATGACGAAGAAGAAGAAGGTGATGTCGAAGACCACCCTGTAGAGCTCGTATTCGTCACCCGCGGGGTCCTCGATCTCGTCCCCAATGCCTCCGCCAGCCCGGACACCCACGTACATGTGAAACAGGTAACACTGAGGGAGGGGAGCACACTGGTCACTCATTCATTCGACATTCACTGAGTACCAGCCAAGGCCCCGGGATAGGCAGGGCTGAAGACATGGTAACGACTGAGACAGCCCTGGGCCCTGCCCTCAAAGGGCTCACAGATACGGCATCAGACAGGGACCAACAGCCAGAAATGGTCAGGGCTGTGACAGGAACAGCACGGGCAGGGGGGTGAGGGCCAGGTTGGGTGTGGGGCGCAGGCAGAGGGGTCAGGGCCAGGATGGGGGGCACAGGCAGAGGGGTCAGGGCCAGGATAAGGGGGGCACAGGCAGAGGGGTCAGGGCTGGGATGGGGGGCACTGGCAGGGGAATCAGGGCCAGGATAAGGGGGGCACAGGCAGAGGGGTCAGGGCCAGGATAGGGGGGCACAGGGAGAGGGGTCAGGGCTAGCATGGGGGGGCACAGGCAGAGGGGTCAGGGCTGGAATGGGGGGTACAGGCAGAAGGGTCAGGGCCAGGTTGGGTGGGGGGCACAGGCAGAGGGGTCAGGGCCAGGATGGAGGGTACAGGCTGAGAGGTTAGGGCCAGGATAGTGGGGCACAGGCAGAGGGGTCAGGGCCGGGATGGATGGGGGGCACAGACGGAGGGATGAGGGCCGGGATGGGTGGGGGGGGGCACAGGTGTAGGGATCAGGGCCAGGATAGGGGGGCACAGGCAGAAGGGTGAGGGCGAGGATGGGAGGGGCACAGGCAGAGGGTCGAGGCTGGGGTGGGGAGGCACAGTGTGACCAGGGATGAGCTAGGGGAAGCACTGGAAGCTTTAACAGCCCGCTGGAGGCATCTGATCCAGCCTAGGTGATCAGGTGAGGCTTCCTGGAAGAGGAGGCAGGTGTGAGCTGAAACCTAAAGGAGGCCTTAGGTGGAGGGGTGGTGGGAGAGTGTTCCCAGCAGAGAAGGCCACATGCTGCCTCGCCATCAGTGAGGAAAGAGTACATCCTGCTGCTGTGAGGAACTGAAAATGGTTGGGTGAGGCTGGAAAATAGAGCTCCTGTGCAGGAGAGCAGGGAGAGATGAGGCAGGGCCTGGGCATGTGGCTCTGTGGGCCCTGGCCCAGCCCGCGGTCAAGGGGCTTCCTGTAGGATGTGGCATTTAAGTGGAAAGGTGAGGTATCAAGTGAATGGGGTGTGTGTGTATGTCAGGCCTGGGGTAGGGGACAGAGAGAACATCAGGTGCAAAGGGCTTGAATTGGGAGAAAACACACAGTCCTAGGGGAACTGAAAGAGGACCAGGCGGCTAGAAAGCAAAAAGCAAGAGGGTTTGCGGTTAGACCCAGGCAGGGCCAGCCCTTCCCAGGCTTTGTAAGCCACGGCAGGGTGATTCGACTTTATCTACAGTGGGCTGGGGAGCCACAAGAAGGGTCTGAGTGGGGGTGGGGAGGGAGCATGGTCTACCTGGCATTTGGGAACAACTTTACATATGTTTTTTTTTTTTTTTGAGACAGAGTCTTGCTCTGTTGCCCAGGCTGGAGTGCTGTGGTGCAATATTGGCTCACTGCGACCTCCACCACCGAGTTCAAGAGATTCTCCTGCCTCAGCCTCCTGAGTAGTCGGGAATACAGGTGCGTGTCACCCCACCCAGCTAATTTTTGTACTTTTTTCTTTTTTTTTTTTTTTTGAGATGGAGTTTTGCTCTTGTTGCCCAGGCTGGAGTGCAATGGCGTGATCTCGGCTCACTGCAACCTCCGCCTCCGGGGTTCAAGAGATTCTCCTGCCTCAGCCTCCCAGGTAGCTGGGATTATAGGCGCCCACCACCACATCCCACTAATTTTTGTATTTTTAGTGGAGACAGGGTTTCACCACGTTGGCCAGACTGGTCTCAAACTCTTGACCTCAGATGATCCACCTGCCTTGGCCTCCCAAAATGCTGGGATTAAAAGCGTGAGCCACAGCGCCCGGCATACACTTGTTCTTTCCGTGTCCCCAGGATGTGAGAGAACACAGTCATCCTAGAGTAAAAACTAAGATAAGTGACTATAATGAGAACGAGGCTGTGGGCAGCGAGGCCGTGTCTGGAAGAGCCTCAGATGTCAGGTTGAGGAGCTGGACTTTGTCCTGAGAGCAGGGAGGAACCCACGGAGCCAGACTGCAGGACATCTTTGGAGATAAACCCCAGAAATGATTCTTTTAATTGTGGATTGTGGCCTGTGTCTCTAGTAAGTTCGCATCAATTTGGGTTATGATCACCATTATTAGAATAGAAGAGAAAATATAAATGTGCATTGAACGCTGGGTATACCTTGGGTGAAACTTTTTTTTAAACTTGACACAGAGTCTCAATGTGTTACCCAGGCTGGAGTGCAGTGGCGCAGTCATAGCACACTGCAACCTCAAACTCCTAAGCTCAAGCAATCCTCTTGCCTCAGCCTCCCACAGTGTTGGGATTACAGGCGTGAGTCACTGCGCCCGGCCTGGGTGAAACTTTTAATTGTGGATAATGATGATAGAAGCTAACATCTATATAATCCTGAGGATGTGCCAGGCACTAGTCTAAGTCTTTTTTTTTTTCCTTTTTTTTGAGACGGAGTTTCACTCTCGTTGCCTAGGCTGGAGTGCAGTGGCGCAATCTCGGCTCATGGCAACCTCCACCTCCCGGGTTCAAGTGATTCTCCTGTCTCAGCCTCCCGAGTAGCTGGGATTACAGGCATGCGCCACCATGCCCAGCTAATTTTGTATTTTTAGTAGATATGGGGTTTCTCCATGTTGGTCAGGCCGGTCTCAAACTCCCAACCTCAGGTAATCTGCCCCCCTCAGCCCCCCAAAGTGCTGGGATTACAGGCATGAGCCACCGTGCAAGGCAATGGTCTAAGTCTTTTAAGTCTTCGATAGCCAGGGAGCACCTATTAGTCCTAAAAGCAACTACTATTACACACTCATTTTACAGGTGAGGCCCCCAGGGCATAGGGAGGAGGTTGAGTAGCCTGCCCCAAAATCACACGGCTCATAAGTGGCAGGGGCACGCTCCCTGAGTACCTTTCCAATAATAATAGTTTGAAAAGCTCAAATAAGGCCGGGTGCAGTTGCTCACATCTGTAATCCCAGCACTTTGGGAGGCCGAGGTGGGTGGATCATTTGAGGTCAGGAGTTCGAGACAAGCCTGGCCAACATTGTGAGACCCCCCCACCTCCATCTCTACTAAAAATACAAAAATCAGCTGGGTGTGGTAGTGTGCGCCTGTAATCCCAGCTACTCAGGAGGCTAACGCAGGAGAATCACTTGAACCTGAGAGACAGAGGTTGCAGTAAGCTGAGGTCATGTCACTGCACTCCAGCCTGGGTGACAGAACGAGACTCTGTCTCAGGAACAACAACAACAAAAAACCTCAGCTCAAATAATATTGAAACAATGGCGAAGAGGTGTGGAGCACTCATATGCCTGGCACTGTTCAAAGTATCTGACATGGCCAGGTGCGGCGGCTCACACCTGTAATCCCAGCACTTTGGGAGGCCGAGGTGGGCAGATCACGACGGCACAGGCAGAGATGGAGACCATCCTGGCCAACATGGTGAAACTCCGTCTCTACTAAGAATACAAAAATTGGCCGGGCGCAGTGGCTCATGCCTGTAATCCCAGCACTTTGGGAGGCCCAGGCGGGCGGATCACCAGGTCAGGAGATCGAGACCATCCTGGCTAACATGGTGAAACCCCGGCTCTACTAAAAATACAAAAAATTTGCCAGGCGTGGTGGCGGGCGCCTGTTGTCCCAGCTACTCGGGAGGCAGAGGCAGGAGAATGGCATGAACCCGGGAGGCGGAGCTTGCAGTGAGCTGAGATCACGCCACTGCACTCCAGCCTGGGCCAGACTCTGTCTCAAAAAAAAAAGAAAGAAAGAAAATTAAGAATACAAAAAGTATCTGGGTGTGGTGGCATGCGCCTGTAGTCCCAGCTACTTGGGAGGCTGAGGCAGGAGAATCACTTGAACCCAGGAAGCGGAGGTTGCAGTGAGCTGAGATTGCGCCACTGCACTCTAGCCTGGCAACACAGTGAGACTCCATCTCAAAAAAAAAAAAAAAAAATGTGCCTGGCATGCATCAGCTTGCCAAACTGTAGGTACTATTTTCATTTTTTAGAGATAGGGTCTCTGTCTGTCTGCCAGGATGGAGTGTAGTGGCCCATTCGTAGCTCACTAAAGCCTCAAACTGCTGGGACCAAGTGATCCTCTTGCCTTAGCCTCCAGGCACACAACACAACACCCAGCTAACGTTTAAATTTTTTTTTATAGAGACAGGATTTTTGCTTTGTTGCCCAGGCTGGTTTCCAACTCCTGGACTCAAGTAATCGTCCCGCCTCGGCCTCCCGACGCACTGGGATTGCAGGCTGGAGGCACCACGCCCGGCCTGGAGGTACCATTATTAACTCCTTCAACAGATGCGAGAAGGAAGGGTCCCAGAGTGCTAGGGGAGGGGCTCACCGTCATCATGTCATCACACTTCATGTCAGGTTCATCCTCATCCTCGCTCTTGTTGTAGAACTTGCGGAAGAAGTTGAAGGCCACCACGGTGTACAGGTAGACGACCACCGCCAGAAGGCCCACGGTCATCACCAGCTGGGGGCAGGATGGGGCCAGGTCAGCTCCGCCCTGGGCTTGCCCTCCCCCCACCCTGCCCATGCTGGGTCCTGGCCCCGGTTCAGTCCCTGTGGCTCTACCTTGCTGCCCCACACACCCCCGGCTCAGCGCACCTGGCCTTGCCCCTCCTCAGCCCAGCTGCCCGGCCCTTATCCCTTCACCACCCACTGCCACGCTGGTCCCTGCTGGCCCACGCCCCACAGCCAGGTCCTCCCCACACCTGTTTCCCATTGTGGGTGACAGAGGACAGGATGGTGCGCAGCGTCTTGACCCCCATGGCGATGTCCAGGAGATGGGCAGCAAAGAAGAAGTTGTTGTAGTGTCCCAAGAGGGACATCACCATATACCAGCCCAGGTACAGGAAGGACTGTGGGCACACAGGGCCAGGGGTCAGGGGGAAGGCAGGGACACACGAGGAGCACTCTGGAGGGTAGGGGCCACTCGAGAGTCAGCTGTGCCCTGGGGGTCGGGTGCCAGCTCTGTTTGGGGAGTACATGGAGGATCAGGGCATTCCGGGTGAGAAGGCATCCTGCGGGGAGATGAGAGCCCCCTCCAGAAGGAAATAATCTGGCAATCTAAGGGCACACTGAGGGAGCCAAAGGATGTTCTGGGCCGGGTGTGGTGGCTCATGCCTGTATCCCCAGTGCTTTGGGGGGCTGAGGCAGGAGCATCACTTGAGGTCAGGAGTTGAAGACCAGTCTGGGCAACATAGCGAGACTCCATCATCTCTTCCTCTGTCTTTTTTTTTTTTTTTTTTTGAGATGGAGTTTCACACTTGTCACCCAGGCTGGAATGCTATGGCGCAATCTCAGCTCACTGCAACCTCCGCCTCTCAGGTTCAAGTGAAGGAGGCTAAGCCTGCCAAGTAGCTGAGACCACAGGTGTGGGTAACCACACCCAGCTAATTTTTTTTTTTTTTTTTTTGAGATGGAGTCTTAGTCTGTTGCCCAGGCTGGAGTGCAGTGTTGCAATCTCAGCTCACTGCAACCTCCGCCTCCCGGGTTCAAGCGATTCTCCTGCCTTAGCCTCCAAAGTAGCTGGGACCACAGGCGTGGGTCACCACACCCAGCTAATTTTTGTATTTTTAGTAGAGATGGGTTTCACCATGATGGCCAGGCTGGTCTCTAACTCCTGGCCTCAAGTGATCCACCCACCTCGGCCTCCCAACCCAAAGTGCTGGGATTACAGGCCTGAGCCACCGCACCTGGCCACTCTCTGTTTTTTGTTAGAGACAGGGTCTCGCTCTGTTATCCACGCTGGAGTGCAGTGGTGCACATGCAGCTCACTGAAACCTCTGCCTCCTGGGCTCAAGCCATCCTCCCACCGCAGCTTGTTGAGTGGCTGGGACTACAGGTGTGCACCACCACGCCTGGCTAATTTTTGTATTGTTTGTAGAGACAGGGTTTCACCGTCTCTACAAAAGTTGCCCAAGCTGGTCTTAAACGTTTGAGCTCAAGCAAACCTCTGCCTCCGCCTCCCAAAGTGCTGGGATTATAGGCCTGAGCCACTGTGCCTGTCTGCCTGGCTAATTTTTTGTGTTTTTGTTGTTGTTGTTGTTGAGATGGATTCTCATTCTGTCGCCCAGGCTGGAGTGCAGTGGTGCGATCTTGGCTCACTGCAGCCTCCACCTCCTGGATTCAAGCCATTCTCCTGCCTCAGCCTCCTGAGTAGCTGGGATTACAGGCACCTGCTGCCATGCCCAGTGCCAGGTTTGTCTTGAACTCCTGACCTCAAGTGATCTGCCTGCCTCGGCCTCCCAAAGTGCTGGGACTACAGGCGTAAGCCAGCACGCCCAGCCCCAGCTAATTTTTAAATTTTCTGTAGAGAGAGGATCTCACTATATTGCCCAGGCTGGTCTCAAACTCTGGGCTCCAGTGATCCACCAGCCTTGGCTTCTCAAAGTGTTGGGAGTACAGGCGTGAGCCACCACACCCAATCCCAGCTATTTAAAAAAAAATAGTAATAATAATACTAATAAGATGTCTAGGGGGATAAGGAGCCTTGTGTGGATAAGAAGATACCCTAGGGTCACAGCCACTCAGGGTCCCAGGAGTCATTCTTTGGTCAGGAACACCCGACGTTGGGAACCCTCCTAACGCCCCACCCCTGCAGAGTCCCTCCCCAGTCTGTGGGCCCCTGCTCACGTTGTCTGTGAAGATGACCCCGAACTTCCAGATCTGGTACTTGACATCGATGGACATGAGCCTGTGGGGGCGGGGGTGGGGAGAGATGCTTGAGTGTCAGACTCCAGTCACCTCCCCTGCATGCCCCAGGCCTGTGCAGGGGTGTCCTGGGCTCACCAGGTCAGCAGCCCTGGCGGCGGGTTGGGCTTGCGCTCATTGTGGGCTGTGATCTCTAGTGTGGCCAGGTCCATGCCCAGTAGCTCAGCAATCCGCTCCCGC
This sequence comes from Homo sapiens, assembly GCF_000001405.40. Classification (NCBI taxonomy): domain Eukaryota; kingdom Metazoa; phylum Chordata; class Mammalia; order Primates; family Hominidae; genus Homo; species Homo sapiens. The sequence continues at coordinate 38,577,946 of NC_000019.10, read as the reverse complement.
CCGTAGATGTCCCCATGTTTGTCCAGGACCTGCACAAGAGAGCATCAGGCTGTGTAGACACAGCTGGAGTGTGGGTGTGTGTCGTGGCCTGCAAGGGGGTTCTGGGGACACTCCAAACTCTGAGTGAGAAATGGGAGGTGCATTTTTTTTTTTGAGACAGTCTCCCTCTGTCACCCAGGCTGGAGGGCAGTGGCGCCATCTCTGCTCACTGCAACCTGTGCCTCCCGGGTTCAAGCGATTCTCCTGCCTCAGCCACCTGAGTAGCTGGGATTACAGGCATGCACCACCATGCCCGGCTAATTTTGTATTTTTAGTAGGGACGGGGTTTCTCTGTGTTGGTCAGGCTGGTCTTGAACTCCTAACCTCAAGTGATCTGCCCTCCTTGGCCTCCCAAAGTGCTGGGATTACAGGCGTGAGCCACCGTGCCCAGCCCACTTTGTTTTTTTCTACAGCATTTATCACCACTGACATACTGTACTTGGGTTCATCATCTATCTTTCCAACTTGAAGGTCAGAATCACTGTTTTGTTTAACACGGGATCCCAGGTTTCTAAAACTGTTCCTGGCACATAATAGGTGCTCCGTAAATATGAGTGAACGAATTATAGTAACAGCCAACATATCTAGTGTTCTCCTATATGCCAGATACTGCTCATGTAGTACATAATACAACAACCCTGTAGGGTTGGCCGTATTATTACCCCACTTTGAGTATGAGGTACAGAAAGGTCAATAAGCCAGAAATAGAAAGGCAGGCAATCGGCTGGGCGCGGTGGCTCGTGCCTGTAATCCCAGCACTTTGGGAGGCCGAGGCGGGTGGATCACCTGAGGTCAGGAGTTCGAGATCAGCCTGGCCCACATGGCGAAACCCCGTCTCTACTAAAAATACAAAAATTAGCCAGACGTGGTGGTGGGTGCCTGTAATCCCAGCTACTCGGGAGGCTGAGGCAGGAGAATCGCTTGAACCCGGGAGGTGGAGGTTGCAGTGAGCTGAGATTGTGCCACTGCACTCCAGACTGGGTAACAGAGCGAGACTCCGTCTCAAAGAAAAAAACAAAAGAAAAGCAGGCAATCTGGTTCCAGAGTGTGTGTGCTTAAGACATATTGCTAACTTCCTCTCTTTCAACTAGTATTTCTCTCTTTTTTTGAGACGGAGTCTCGCTCTGTCACCCAGGCTGGAATGCAATGGCGCGATCTCGGCTCACTGCAGCCTCTGCCGCCCGGGTTCAAGTGATTCTCCTGCCTCAGTCTCTCAAGTAGCTGGGATTACAGGTGCCCAGCTAATTTTTGTGTTTTTAGTAGAGATGCAGTTTTGCCATGTTGTCCAGGCTGGTCTCAAACTCCTGACCTCAAGTGATCTGCCCACCTCGGCCTCCCAAAGTGCTGGGATTACAGGCGTGTGCCACTGCTCCTGGCCTCAACCAGTATTTCTTGAGTATTCACTCTGTGCCAGGCACTATGCTATGCTTTCTTATTTTTTGTTATTATTATTTTTTTTGAGATGAGGTCTCACTCTTTCACCCAGGCTGTAGTGCAGTGGTGCAATCTTGGCTCACTGCAACTTCTGCCTCCCAGGTTAAGCGATCCTCCCACCTCAGCCTCCTGAGTAGCTGGGACTACAGGCATGCGGTACCGTGCTAATTTTTTGTATTTTTGGTAGAGACGGCATTTTGCCATGTTGCCCAGGCTGCTGTGAAATTCCTGAGCTCAAGTGTTACATCCATCTCAGCCTCCCAAAGTTCTGGGATTACAGGCGTGAGCCACCACGCTTGGCCTTGATGCTCTGCTCTTTCCATGTGCCCATTCAAGAAAGGGAAGCAAGCTTACTATGCCCATCTCCCCATGGGGAAACTGAGGTGCTACTCAGAAAGGCAAAAAAACCTCTTGCCCAAGGTCACACACCAAGCAAGTGCTTGGCAGGCCTGTGATGGCCTGGTGGCAGGCAGGGACCCAATCCAGGACCCAGGGCATCCATGTCCTCTCACCTTGCGCTTGACAAACTTGTCCCAGTAGTTGCTAGGGAAAGACCTGCAGAGAGAGAGAGAGAAAGCGTGAGTATAAGATGTTAGGGCCAGAGGGATCAGAGCTGTCAGCCACGACAGGGTTGGCTGAAACTCCACTGTTTTTCTTTTTCCTTTTTTTTTGAGATGGAGTCTCACTCTGTTGCCCAGGCTGGAGTGCAGTGGTGTGATATCTGCTCACTGCAAACTTTGCCTCCCAGGTTCAAGCGATTCTCCTGCCTCAGCCTCCTGAGTAGCTGGGATTACAGGCGCCCACCACCACGCCCGGCTAATTTTCGTATTTTTAGTAGAGACGAGGTTTTGCCATGTTGGCCAGGCTGTTCTTGAACTTCTGACCTCAGGTGATGCCCCCACCCGCCTTGGCCTCCCAAAGTGCTGGGATTACAGGCGCCCACCACCACGCCCGGCTAATTTTTGTATTTTTAGTAGAGACAGGGTTTTGCCATGTTGGCCAGGCTGGTCTCAAACTTCTGACCTCAGGTGATCCCCCCTCCCGCCTTGGCCTCCCAAAGTGCTGGGATTACAGGCGTGAGCCACCTGCGCCTGGCTCCACTGCTTTTCTTGTAGGAACCTTGAACAGTGGGGACCCCACTGCCATCTTTGCTAGACCCCAAATGAGGCAGAGAATTTGCATTCAGAGCCAGATGTGCAAAAAAGACCTCAGAATGGCACTCTGATAAAGAGGCTCTGGCGTGGTGATGGGTGGGGAGGAGTCCAAAACAGCAGCCTAACTCAGCACCAACTCCAGTGCAACTGCCTGCTTCCTCATACTGGTTGATTTCATTTAATTTCATGATTCTGGCCCTTTATTCACCAGTTTTCCAAGTGACAAATTGATGCCCTAACATCCTCAAATATGGCCAACGAGTTTTTTTTTTTTTTTTTTGAGACGGAGTCTCGCTCTGTCGCCCAGGCTGGAGTGCAGTGGTGCCATCTGGGCTCACTGCAAGCTCCGCCTCCTCGGTTCACGCCATTCTTCTGCCTCAGCCTCCCGAGTAGCTGTGACTACAGGCACCCACTGCCACGCCCAGCTAATTTTTTTGTATTTTTAGTAGAGACAGGGTTTCACCATGTTAGCCAGGATGGTCTGGATCTCCTGACCTCGTGATCCGCCTGCCTCGGCCTCCCAAAGTGCTAGGATTGATTACAGATGTGAGCCACTGTGCCCAGCCACGAGTTTTGTTTTTTGAGAGGGTGGAGCGATGATTGATTATGAATTCACGGATTTGCAATTATTTGAAGTGCTTTGATTCATTGCACTTCCAATTCCTACTTGTTTTTTTTTTGGCCCCCAGACATAGGGTCTTGCTCTGTCACTCAGGCTGAAGGACAGTGGCATAATCATAGCTCACTGCAGCCTAGAACTCCTGGGCTCACGCCATCCTCCAGCCTCAGCCTCCCAAACAGCTAAGACTACAGGCATGCGCTAGCCAGGCTAGCATGTCTGGCTAACTTTTTAGTTTTTTTTTTCTAAAGATATAGGTCTCTCTATGTTGTCCAGGCTGGTCTTGAACTCCTGGGCACAAGGGATCCTCCTGCCTCAGCCTCCCAAAGTGCTGAGATTACAGGCGTGAGCCACTGAGTGCGGCCCCTAGGGCCCCTAATGATTTCTTTTCTTTCTTTTTTTTTTTTCCTTTCTTTTTCTTTTCCTTTTTTTTTTTTTTTTCAGATGGAGTCTCGCTCTGTTGCCCAGGCTGGAGTGCAGAGGCACAATCTCGGCTCACTGCAACCTCCACCTCGCAGGTTTAAGTGATTCTCATGCCTCAGCCTCCGGAGTAGCTAGGACCACAGGCACCCACCACCATGCCTACTTTTTGTATTTTTAGTAGAGACTAATTTTTGTATTTTTAGTAGAGATGGGGTTTCACCATGTTGGCTAGGCTGGTCTCGAACTCCTGACCTCAAGTGATCTGCCACCTTGGCCTCCCAAGTGTTGGGATTACAGGCATGAGCCATCGTGCCTGGCCATGTTTTTTTATTTTGCACTCATTGCACCTGAGTAAGAATCACACCTGGAGACAGGGTTTAAAACACGGGTTCCTGGGCTCACACCCCAGAGTCACTGAACAGGAACCTCCAGGCCTCAAGTCTAGGAATCTCTGTGTGCCAACCTCACCCACACAGATGCTGTAATGCATGGGAAATGTGCCTCTTTTATGGAAAGAAAGAGTAAGACTTGGGGAGAATGAGGCAGGGCCTGCAGGGACTGAAACCCTAGGTTTTTTTTTTTTTGTCTGGGGGGAAGGGGGTGGAATTTCACTCTTGTTGCCCAGGCTGGAGTGTAATGGTGCGATCTCGGCTCACTGCATCCTCCACATCCCAGGTTCAAGTGATTCTTCTGATTCAGCCTTCCCAGTAGCTGGGATTACAGGCGCCCGCCACCACGCCCAGCTAATTTTTGTACTTTTAGTAGAGACGGGATTTCACCATGTTGTCCAGGCTGGTCTCAAACTCCTGACCTCGTGATCCGCCCGCCTTAGCCTCCCAAAGTGCCGGGATTACAGGTGTGAGCCACCGTGCCCGGACCGAAACCCTAGTTTTTTGGGGTCCAGGCCTGGACTGGGTGGAAACCCAGGTCCCCTCCTGCTGCCACCCTGAGGTGGGGGCTGGGTCCTTACGGCGTGTTGAGCACCAGTCGGTCCCACTGCCCCTTCACGTCATCGTCCTCAGGCTGCTCCGTGATGTACAGGCCATCAAACTCCAGCTTCCGGGCCAGCTCCTTCTCCCGCTTAAAGATTACCAGGGGCACCTGGATAGTGGGAGGAGGCCAAAGGTGGGCGTCAGGCACCTTGGCTGGACCATAGTCTCAGCAGAAGCCATGACATCTTGCTGGGGTCTGTGTGTGACCCCACATCAGAAGTGCTTTCCCAGTGATAAGGGTAGAAATGAGGCCCAGGCAGAGGGCTTAGGGCTGGGATGTGGGGAACATGGGCAGAGGGGTCAGGGCAGGGATGGGGGAGGCACAGGCAGGGGGGTCAGGGCTGGAATGTGGTGCATAGATAGAGGGGTCAGGGCCGGGATAGGGGGCATAGATAGAAGAGTCAGGGCTGGAATTGGGGGGCACAGGCAGAGCAGTCGGGGCTGGCAGTGGAGAGGCACAGGCAGGGGTGTCAGGGCTGGGATGTAGGGGCATATAGGGGTCAGGGCTGGAATGGGGGTGGGGCACAGGCAGAGGGATCGGGCCAGGATGTGAGAACAGGGGAGCTGTGGGAGCCCAGGAGTGGTGCCTGATGCCACCTGGGGCTTCCCAAGGGAGGGAGGTCTGAACTCAGAACTGAAGGATGAATAAAACAGGCAGGTGCAAGGAGGTGGAAGCAGGGCAAAGTATTGCAGGCAGAGGGAATAGCATGTATGAAAGTTTTAAGCCCAAAGAACTCTAGTTCAATAGCAAAGTATCAAGACAGTGGTCCAGAACCTGGTTCCTCAGCTATAAGCCGTGTCCGTTCCCAATCTGAATGTCGTCCTTACTGGAGACCCCTGTCATCCTTGCTGGAGACCCCAATCCTGTACCCAGTTCCCCAGCCCTCACCCCAACCCTAGGCCCCCTCTGTCCCAACCACTTTGAGGGCCCCCAGCCCCAGCCAGTGCTCCAGCACTGCCCCCACCCCCACCCAGCCAATAAGCCCTTGCCCCAGAACCATGGCCATGGGCCCACCTTGAGACAATTATAGCCAATGATGCAGAGAAAGGCCACCAGTGTATGCAGGAGGCTCAGACACCGCAGGGCGGGTTCCATGTAGCCTGTGCTTTCCTCCAGGAAGTAGTACACCATGTTCTCATCCTCATCGCCCTCTGCCTCCTCTCCGGCCCCCAAGCCCCAGCCAGAGCTGCCACCAGAGCCTGCACCTGACACATCCCCAGCAGCTGAGCCTTCCATGTCGTCCTCCCCTGGTGGAGAGTCTGAGACCTGAAATGGGGACAGAGATTCATCTGTGGGTCTGCCACATGCAGAGCCCACTCACAAAATTGAGCCTCCATTCCCGAGATTGGACTGGGACCATACCAGATACAGTCTTGGTGTGGCTGTCAATCAAGATCAAGGGTTGGGCCTAGGGCTGTAGCTAGCAAATCAGACTCTGACCTGGGAATTAGCCTATTGAACTGAGTGGCACAGAACTGAAGACAGAGTTGGTTCATCTTGATAGTGGAGCCCTAAAGAGACTGCCCACTAATATTAACACTAACATGAAAATTAGTAGCAGCTAAACATTTACACAGTGCTTTTTATATGCCAGGTACTGTTGCTCTAACTGCCTTACACACACTCATCCTCTTTTTTTTGGTGGGGTGGACGGAGTTTCACTCTTGTCACCTAGGCTGGAGTGTAGTGGTGCAATCTCGGCTCACTGCAACCTTTGCCTCCTGGGTTCAAGGGATTCTACTGCCTCAGCCTCCTGCATAGCTTGGATTACAGGTGCCCGCCACCAGGCCTGGCTAATTTTTTTTTGTATTTTTAGTAGAGACGGGGTTTCACCATGTGGCCAGGCTGGTCTTGAATTCCGGACTTCAGGTAATCCACCTACCTCGGCCTCCCAAAGTGCTGGGATTACAGGCGTGAGCCACTGTGCCTGGTGCCTTATCCTCTTTCAATCCCCACAGCTCTAAGAGGTATTCCATTTTACAGATGAGGGAGTTGAGGCACAGGGATGGTAAGCACCTTGCCTATCGTCATGCGCCAGTGGGCAGTCCCACTGTGGGACTTCTGGGTCCCACAGAAGCCATGCTTCGATCTCTCTAGTCTACCTTACTGTCCTGTTATCTAGACCCCTGGCAAGACCCCAAGGGTCCCTTTGTCCTTCAGGAGGCCTGGTTCTTAACCCATTCCTTCCATTCTGTGAGTGGCCCATTTCTTCCTCCCTGCAAACTTCTGTTTAGCTTATGTGAAACCAAAGATGCTTAACAGAATCAGTGGGTGTTGCCAAGAGCTGAGGGCCTGCACCCAGGCGCACAGGACTGGCATGTGGCCGAGCTGAGCAGAGAACTCAGCTCCTGCTCCTGCTCTAACTCCCACAGACACTCAGGCTTCTGTCCCAGATGGATCCAGATATCCCCTACTCACCCCCATGGAGGGGGGTCCCAGGATCCAGGTGTCCAGCCTGAACCCTCCTAACGACCCAAAGCCCAATACCTTATCCCTTCAGTGGAGGAACCCTGAAATTCTGATAGGGGCTGAGCCTCCCATCCCACAGCATGGAAAAGGGCCTGACCCTCCCAGCCCTTCAGGACCAGCACCTTATAAAACAGCAAGATGAAGTTGATGGCAAATGCCAAGAAGAGGGCAAGGAACCGCAGGGTGTAAAAGTTCCGGGACAGGTAGTTCTGAGAGAGAAGAGAAAAAGAGAGAAAGCGCTCACAGATCAGCCTCTTCCCTGGAGAATTCATCCCATCATTTACCTGCAATCAAAGTACCTGGGCTCTCAATATCTTTCCTACAACCTCCTATTTATTTATTAATTATTATTATTATTATTTTTGAGACAGAGTCTTGCTCTGTCGTCCAGGCTGGAGTGCAGTGGTGCGATCTTGGCTCACTGCAACCTCTGCCGCCCGGGTTCAAGCAATTCCTCTGCTGCCGCCTCCCGAGTAGCTGGGACTACAGGCGTGTGCCACCACGCCCAGCTAATTTGTGTATTTTTAGTAGAGACAGGGTTTCACCATATTGGCCAGGCTGATCTCAAACTCCTGACCTCGTGATCCGCCCTCCTCAGCCTAAGTGCTGGGATTACAGGCTTGAGCCACCACGTCCAGCCTATTTATTTATTTTTGAGACAAGGTCTCACTCTGTCACCCAGGCTCGAATGCAGTGGCGCCATCTCGGCTCACTGCAACCTCTGCCTACCGGGTTCAAATTCTCATGACTCAGCCTCCTAAGTAGCTGGGATTACAGGTATGCACCACCACACTCAGTTAGTTTTTGTATTTTCAGTAGAGACGGGGTCTCACCATGTTGGTCAGGCTGGTCTCAAACTCCTGACCTCAGGTGATCCACCCACCTCAGCCTCCCAAAGTGCTAGGATTATAGGTGTGAGCCACCTCGGCTGGCCTCAACCTCCTATTTGTTGAGTGCTTGCTTATACCAACATCTGGGCTAAGAACTTTATTTGCATGAGCTTGTTTAATTCTCAGTACACCCCTGTGAAGTGGGCACTACTGTTATGCGCACTTTACAGATGAGGAAACTGAGGCTCAGGGAAGTGGTGTCTTGCTCAAGGTAACATAACCAACGAGTGGCAGAGATGGGATTTGAACCCGGGCAGTCAGCCTCCAGAGTCCAAGCTCCAAGCCACTTGGCCATGCTGCTTCCTGAGTGAGGTCACCCCACCTGTCGCCCTGCCTGCTTTACAGAAGATGAAAGGGAATTTTTTTTTTTTTTGAGTCAAGGTCTTACTCTCACCCAGGTTGGAGTGAAGTGACACAACCATAGCTCACTGCTGCCTCAACCTCCTGTGCTTAAGTGATCCTCCCGCCTCAGCCTCCTGAACAGCTGGGACCACAGGCATGTGTCACCTCACCCAGCTAATTAAAAAAACATTTTTGGCTACTCTGGGTGCACTGCCTAGAGGGTAGCCCTGCTCTGCAAGGAGCAGTAATTAAAAAAAAAAAAAGATTAAAAATATTCGGCCAGGTGCAGTGGCTCACGCCTGTAATCCCAGCACTTTGGGAGGCCAAGGCGGGTGGATCACAAGGTCAGATCTAGGCCATTCTGGCTAACACGGTGAAACCCCGTTTCTACTAAAAATACAAAAAATTAGCCAGGCGTGGCGGCGGGCGCCTGTAGTCCTAGCTACTCGGGAGGCTGAGGCAGGAGAATGGCGTGAACCCAGGAGTCAGAGCTTGCAGTGAGCCGAGATTGTGCCACTGCACTCCAACCTGGGCAACAGAGCGAGACTCCGTCTCAAAAAAAAAAAAAATTCTTTTGTAGAGACAGGGATCTCCCTATGTTGCCCTGGCTTGCCCCAAACTCCTGGGCTCCAGTGATCCTCCTACCTTGGACTTCCAAAGTACTGGACTTACAGGCATGAGCCCCCTCGCACGGCCAGGAACATCTTCCATCTCTCCCTCTTTCTCTCCACCTTTCCCTCCATCCCTCATTCTTCCCACAAATTCTGACGGAACCACCTTCGTTCCACATGATTCCCTCACCGCCCCCCCGCCCCCCACCACCACTTTGTTTGAGGCAGAGTCTCACTCTGTCGCCCAGGCTGGAGTGCAGTGGCACGATCTCGGCTCACTGAAACTTCTGCCTCTTGGGTTCAAGCGATTCTCATGCCTCAGCATCCTGAGTAGCTGGAATTGCAGGCATGCACCACTATGGCTGGCTAATTTTTTTTTTTTTTTTTTTTTGTATTTTTAGTAGAGATGGGGTTTCACCATGTTGGCCAGTCTGGTCTTGAACTCCTGACCTCAGGCGATCCGCCTGCCTCGGCCTCCCAAGGTGCTGGGATTACAGGTGTGACCCACCGTGCCCAGCCTCCCTCACCCCCTCCTATCGGGCCAGGCCTGGAGGGGAGACAGGATGGAGGGAACCCTGGGACCTGCCTCCCAACACCCACCCTTCTTCCTGGCCTGGATGAGATGAACGCTTCCCCAGGAATTGGGAGAGCTCAGACCTCCACAGCAGCACTGGGAGTGGTGGAGGGACTGAGACTGTAAGGGCTGACAGCCAAGAACAGGCCACGGTGGGAAGGCCAGAGTGGTGGCCTCACTGAATGTAGCTCTGGACAGAGGATGGAGGTGGAAGTGTGGGTGGGTGGCCCCGATGAACAGAGGTATGGAGGTTGGAATAAGGATAGTGAGCAGGGAAGGGACAAGGAACCAAGTGAGGGCCATCTGAAAATGCTACCCTGTCCGCAGGTCTGGGGATACCTCTGCCCTTTCCCCAGCTAGGGTTCTTCTTAGAGACGAGCTTGAACAGATGAACTCAAGAACAAGGTGAGCAGGAGAGGTGGGCACCAGAGGTGGGGCTCCCGGGGAGAAGAAGGTTCAGGTGACCTGGCTGGATCCTTACCAGGAACTTCACCCTCTGCACCTCCAGTTCTCCCCAGAATTCGCCTCCAGCTTCCTCCTTCTTTGGAGGGGGTGAGGGAGGTGCTTGCTTCTTGGGGGGCTCTGGTGTGGGCTCGGGAACTTCTTCCTTCTCCCCATTCTCGGCACTGCAGGGCAGGACAGAGAGAGGTCAGGAGGTGCCTGGGCAGGCAATGCATGAGTTCATTCATTCAAAACCATTCACCAAGGGCCCGCCCTGTGCCTGGCCCAGGTTTGGATGGTACTGGGTACATGGGATGATGAGATAATCAGGACTTGCCCTTATGGGGCTCCAGTCCAATGTGGGAGACAGGCAGTGACAGTGACACCAGGCAGTGACAGCCCAGAGTGGTCGGGGCTGGGATGGAGGAAGCTCAGGGGGTTGTGGGAATCTGGAGGAGACACCTCCTCAACTTAGGAGGGGGTCAGGTGTCCTGGAGAATTGGAAAGGATGAGAAAGACTCAGAGTAGGCATGGGGGCCTGTGTTCCAGGCAGCGGGAAAGCACATGCGAAGGCCTGGCAGTTAGATGGGAGTTTTCATTTTTCTATCTCTCCATATTTTTTTTTCTTTTTCGACACAGGGTCTTGCTCTGTCACCCAGGCTGGAGGGCAATGCTGCGATCAGGGCTCACTGCAGCCTCCACCTCCAGGGGTCAAGTGATCCTCCCACCTCAGCCTCCCCACACACCACCATGCTTGGCTAATTTTAATTTTTTTTTTATGTTGCCCAGGTTGGAGCATTTATTTCTTGATTCTTTTACTCAGAGCCCCTCCTCCGTGCCTGAGTCTGGGCTGGGTGATGCCGAGGACACAGGGTGGCCAGGACAGCCTTGGGGCCTGACCTCTGGAGGCTCCTACTCTAGGAGGGAGGCAGTGATAGGGGCTAGGCCCCTCAGCCCCAAGGCCACTCACTCGGCTTTCTCCGGCTCCAGCTCTGGTTCCGGCTCGGGCTCTGGCTCTGGCGGGAGCTCCTCCTCCACTCCATCCACCTAGGGACAGGGCAAGCATCAGGGCTGAGTCCTCACCCTAAGCGCTTCTCAGGCTGCCTGCCTGCTCCTCTCATCTCCTTTCTCTCTTATTTCCCCTGGGTAATCTAAGTTTTACACTTCCCTCCACCAGAAAGAGGCAGATTATGATTCCCGTTTTACAGAGGGGAAACTGAGGCTCATCGAGGTGAAGCCCTTTGCCCAAAGCACTGCGCAGGGTCGGGCTGACTCCAAGTGCAGCTCTGCTTGTCCCCAGGGCTTCCCACCACCTTGACCTCCACATTCCCAAGGCATTCCCAGCACCAAGGGCCTGAGGATGTTTGGGGTCCCTTCCTCCACGGTGTACTTCATTCCCACAACGAGTATCTCCGAGGGTCTTTTCCTAGTGGCCCTGACCCTGTCTCGGGACTTTTTTTAGTCTTGGTCTTTCTTTTCCTTTTTTTTTTTTTTTTTTTTTTTTTTTTTGAGACAGAGTCTCGCTCTGTCGCCCAGGCTGGAGTGCAGTGGCACCATCTTGGCTCACTGCAACCTCTGCCTCCCGGGTTCAAGCGATTCTCCTGCCTCAGCCTCCCGAGTAGCTGGGATTACAGGCGCACACCACCATGCCCGGCTAATTTTTATATTTTTAGTAGAGACGGGGTTCCACCACGGTGGCCAGGATGGTCTCAAACTCCTGACCTCAGGTGATCGGCCCGCCTCGGCCTCCCAAAGTGCTGGGATCACAGGTGTAAGCCACCGCGCCTGGCTTAGTTTTGGTCTTTCCTGCCCTCTAATTTGGTCTCTGGGTTTCTTACTCTCTCTGGCTCTGCAGGTATCATTTTCTCTACCTCTCCGGGCCCTGCACTCTGTCCGGCCCTGCACTCTGTCCGGCCCTGCACTCTCTCTCCCCGGCCCTTTCTCCAGGTCTCCATCTCTGAGTCTCTTTCTCTGTGGGTCTGAGTATCCCTCTGTCTCTGAGCGTCTCTCTTGCCCGGCGCCCGCTGTCCCCGTGTGCGTCCTCCATGGGTGCGTCCTCCGTGGGTGCGTGTGCCCATCCCCCTAGCCAGTTCTCTCCTCTGTGTGTGTCTCCACCCAGCCGGGCTCTCTTCCTCCCTCCAATCCCCCATCTTTCCAAAACCCCAAAACCCCGCCTGCTCTCTCACCCCCAATTTCCTCTTGAGGATGGGAGAGCCCTCGGGTGTGGGCGGTTCCGCAGGCGTCGTGTCCCCCATGTCCCCGAGACCGCCAGCCCCTTCGGGCCGGAAGGGGCCCCCATCGGTCACGGCCACCGCCCCGTCGGCACCGCCCGGCCCGGCCTCGTGCACCGCCTCCTCCTCGTCTCCAGCGCCCTCCGCGGCGTCTCCAGCGCCCTCGCTGGCACCCTCGCCGTCTGCGTCTCCGCCCGGCCCGGCCGGCTGCTCGCCGTGCACCTCGTCGCTGGTGGGGTCGGGCATGCCTGCCAGGAGCTCGGTCACCGTCACCTTCTTGGCGCCCTCCACCAGGCCGCCGCCGAACAGCGAGCCCCAGAGCAGGCCCAGCGCGCCCGCCGCCGCCCCCGCGCCAGCGGCCCCAGCGCGCGTCACTGCTGCCCAGAGCAGCGCCGCCACTGCGGTGGCCGCCTCGCGGGCCGTAAGCCGCCGCAGCCGCCGCACGCGCCGCCGCAGGCTGCGGTAGCTGAGGCCTCGCAGGGCCCGGCCTGCGGCCGCCACAACCCGCGCCGTCGCCCCCGCCGCCGCCGTGGCCGCCGTGCCCTCGAGCCCCGCCGCGCCCTCCTCCGCGCCTTCCGCGCCCGCCTCCGCCGCGCCCGCGCCCTCGTCCTCGTCGGTCTCCGGCTCGCCCTCGGGCTCCGAGATCTGCGCGGCGATCTGCATCTCGAAGATGGTGTCCTCGCAGAAACTCACGAAGAGCTCCATCTTCTCAGCCTCGCCGCCCTCGTTCACCACGTCGAAGATGAACTGGCGCTTGGACTCCTTCACCTGAAGCGAGGGGCGGCAGACAGGATAGGGCGCCGTCAGCGGGGGCTCGGACAGCAGCGACAGCGCAGTGGCAGCTACAAGGGGTCACCGCGGCAGGCGCTGTTCTAAATGCATTGTTGGTATTTTGTTTTTGAGACAGGGTCAGGCTGGGCGCGGTGGCTCCGCCTGTAATCATAGCACTTTGGGAAACTGAGGCTGGCAGATCACTTGGGGTCAGGAGTTCGAGACCAGCCTGGCCAACATGGTGAAACCCCCGTCTCTACTAAAAATGCAAAAATTAGCCGGTGTGGTGGCGCACCCCTGTAATCCGTTACTCGGGAGGCTGAGGTAGGAGAATAACTTGAACCCGGGAGGCGGAGGTTGCCATGAGCTGTGATCGTGCCACTGCACTCCAGCCTGGGCAACAGAGTGAAAGTCTGTCTCAAGAAAAAAAAAAAAAAAGACAAGATCTAGCTCTGTCTCCTAGGCTGGAATGAAGTGACGCTGTCTCACTGTAACCTTCGTCCCCAGGGTTCACATGATCCCCATGCCTCGGCCTCCTGAGTAGCTGGGATTACAGGCGCCTGCCACCATGCTGGGCTGAGTTTTTGAATTTTCAGTAGAGACAGGGTTTTGCCATGTTGGCCAGGCTGATCTGGAACTCCTGGCCTCAAGTGATCTGCCCGCCTCACCCTCCCAAAGTGCTGGGATTACAGGCATAAGCCACCATGACTGGCCTGCTAATTTCTAAAAAAAATTTTTTTGCAGAGACAGGGTCTGTCTGTGTTGGTCAGGCTGGTGTCGAACTCCTGGCCTCGAGCAATCCTCTGGCCTTGGCCTCCCAAAGTGCTGGGATTACAGGCAGGAGCCACAGCGCCTGGCCAAGTTGTTGTTTTGATTATCAATAGCAAACCTATAGAGAGAGCTTTATAGAGAGCACTCACTGTGGGTACTCCTGTAAATGCTTCAATAAGGCCAGGCCCCATACAAGCAGTTTCCATAAAACTCATTTAATCCTCACAAACAAGCCTAGGGCTAGCGGGTTTTCTTCCCATTTTATAGATGAGGACAGGGAGGCCCAGAAAGTTACATGCCCAGGTGACACAGACAAGGTGGCACATATAGGATTCGAACCCCCAGAGAGCTGGCTCCAGAATGGATGTGTTTAGCTTCCTTGAGAGGAGGAGCATAGTGCTTAAAGGCAAAGGCTCTGCAGCCAGCCTGCCTGGGTTCAAATCCTGATTCTGCCACTGAGTAGCTGGGTGATTTTGAATTAACTCTCTGGACCTCCGTTTTCCCCTCTGTAAAATGGGCATAATAGGACCTACATTATAGGGTTGGTGTGAGGGTTAAATGAGTTAATAGATGCTGCATGATTAGAACAGCGCCCGGTGCCTGATAAATGCTGTATAGTGGGCAGGCCACGGTGGCGCACACCTGTAATCCCAACACTTTGGGAGGCCGAGGCGGGCGGATCACCTGAGGTCAGGAGTTCAAGACCAGCCTTGCCAACATGGCAAAACCCCGCCTCTACTGAAAATATAAAAATTAGGTGGGCATGGTTGCACATGGCTGTAATCTCAGCTACTCAGGAGGCTGAGACAGGAAAACCGCTTGAACCCAGGAGGTGGAGGTTGAGTGAGCTGAGATCGTGCCATTGCACTCCAGCCTGGTCAACAAGAGCGAAACTCTGTCTCAAACAACAACAACACCGTAGTGTTACCTATTATTATACTGCCCCACAGGTGCTCCAAGGCCACATGGGCATACGTGGATGCCTGAGAAGCAGGGGAAAGTGGAATGGGAAGGGGTGAGCAGAAGGAAGCGGGTGTTTGGAGGAATAGCACTAAGGCAAAGAGTGTTTGTATGGGGAGCACGCAGGGTCAGAGGAAGAGAGGAGGGCAGAGCTCCCCCAGCACGTGCAAAGAATGAGTGGGAAGGGCCGTGGTGAACAGGGGCTTCCTGCAGAGGCAGGGATGTGTGGACATCCTGGGTGCCAGGATGCTGCAACCACTTGTGTGCCAGATGGGGGTGTGTATGCAGTGGGGCCCCGAGGGGCACAGATGAGTGTGCAAGATCTCAAGGGTTCCTGCGGAGTATGTGAGGAGACACCGGGGGCCAGGGAGGGATCAGGAGTAAGGAGGGCGTGGCGGCATGGGAAGATGCCAAAAGTGTGCAACCACGAGAGGCTCAGTGTGCACGGTGGACGTGGGCACACGGGGCAGGTGTGCAAGGGCCTGGGACTCTGTGGGGGGACAGGAGGAGTATGAGTGTGAGAGGGGCCTGCAGTTATGCAGTGTGCGTGAGGCAGGCATGAATGTGGGAAGGGGAGCCAAGGGTTTGTGTACTGGCTCCCAGAACATGAGGACAGGGCTCTGTGTGGGACATGAGCCCGCGTGCATGAGCTGGTGTCCCCTGAGGAGACATATGAAGGGCCCACTCATGAAGGAGGTGACGGGTGCGCAAACCTCCCGGGCTATGTGTGTGAGACAAGAAGGGGTGTGCAAGTACCTGGCGGCATCTGAGGAACAACAAGCAAGTGTGTGTGCAAGAGAATGAGGTGAGGGTGTGTCAGGGGCGTGTGGGGAGTGTGAGGGAATGGGGAGGGGAACCATATGTCAGCCAGGTGTGCCAGCTCTGCTGGGGACATGCCGGGACCACGTGAGTGTACCCTTGGGGCAAGCGAGTGTGTGAGGGATGTTCAAGCATTTGTGGGCTGGGCATAGGAGGAGCTGAGATAGGGCATGTCAGATTAGAGAGTAGGTCTGAGGGCTCTTCTGGGTGAGCCTGAGACCGTGGCCCAAGTGTGCATGGGTGAGCATGGTTGTGCCAGGGCTACAGTGAGGGCAAGTGGACAGTGAACAAATGAAGCATGCCAGGGTTCTGAGAGGGCTCATTGGCATCCTCAGGGTGTGTGTGCAAGAGGTGTGCACCCACGTGTGGGCCCAGAATAAGTTGGGGTACACATATGCTAGGACTTCAGAAGGCATCTGGGGGCAAACGTGATGACTGGTGAAGGGTGGGTCAGCATGCCAGGGCACCCCAGAGCCCCCAAGGCGAGCGTGTACAAGAGTGAGCATGAGCGGGCCAGGACCAAGAGACGGCACGCCGGGGGCTACTGGGAAGGTGAGCAAGGGGTGTGTCGCCATGCAGGTTCGAGGAGGTGAGAGTGTGGGTAGGGCTGCATCAGGGCTATAAGGGCCTGCCAGAGCTCCCAGGGTGTGGGTGTAAGGGGAAAGCATGGCGTGTGAGCAGCCACAGTCAGGACACACTGACCCTGCTTCATGCCCAAGGGGTGTGCATCCTTGTGTGGGCCAGGTCCGCAAGAAGTGGCCAGGGGCGAGCCAGGGATGTGCAAGGGCGCAGCTGGACGAAATGTGTACAAAAGGGTGGGCGTGGGCTTGCCGGAGCAGGGCAGATATGCGAGGCACGCACAGCCCCCGTGGGGTCTGAGGGTGCAGGAAGTGAGCACCCGCATGCCCGAAGCCCCAGGAGGCGAGCTTGCACGCGCGCGGGTTCCCTGACCTGGGGCATCTCCCACTGGGCGCGGTTGGTCTCTGAGATCTCGAAGTAGATGCGCTCGATGCGGCGTGACGCGCCCATGATCTCGATGCGGCCCAGGTAGGGGCGGAAGTACTCAAGGATGCTCTCGGCCAGCTCCAGGAAGTTGTGCAGGCGAGGGTCATGCGGCACATGCTCCGACAGGTTGGTCAGCAGCACCGCCACGTTGAAGCCGATGTCGCGTGCTGGCTCCTGGAAGCGGTTGGCGAACTCTTCGCAGTTGATCATTTCGTTCTCATCCGCTTCGGAGCACGAAAGCAGGAACTGGATTTCTGGACCGCTGAACTGCTTCTGGCTGTCCATGGCCTGGGGGCGGGCAGGGAGGTCAGTGGGGTGACCTGGAGAGCCTCAATTCTCTCTCTTTTTTTTTTTTTTTTTAAGACAAGGTCTCGCTGTGTCGCCCAGGCTGGAGTGCAGTGGCGCAATCACAGCTCAACCCAGCCTCAAGACATCCCCTCTCGTCCCCATCCCCACCCCCGGGCTCAAGTACCCAGCATCCAGAGCAGCTGGGACTACAGGCACACACCGCTACACCTGGCTAATTTTAATTTTAATTTTTTTTTGTAGAGATAAGGTCTCCCTATGTTGCCAAGGCTGGTCTCAAACTCCTGGGCTCAAGGGATCCTCCCACCTCAGCTGAAACTTGCTTTTTTTTCTTTTTCTTTCTCTTTTTTTTTTTTTTTTTTTTTGAGACGGAGTTTCGCTCTTGTCGCCCAGGCTGGAGTGCAGTGGCATGATCTCAGCTCACTGCAACCTCCACCTCCCAGGGTCAAGTGATTCTCCTGCCTCAGCCTCCTGAGCAGCTGGGATTACAGGTGCCCGCCACCACACCTGGCTAATTTTTTGTATTTTTAGTGAGATAGGGTTTCATCATGTTGGCCAGGCTGGTCTCGAACTCCTGTCCTCAGGTGATCCACCCGCCTCGGCCTCCCAAAGTGCAGGGGTGACAGGTGTGTGCCACCGCGCCCAGCCATAACACTCTTTATCTGTTATCCTGCTAATGGAAATGTAGGTTGCTTCCAGATTTGTATTTTGTTTTTGTTTTTTTTTTCTGAGACAGGGTCTCACTCTTTCACCCAGGCTGGAGTGGTGCAGTGGCACGATCTCAGCTCATTGCAGCCTCCACCTCCCAGGGTCAAATGAGTCTCGTGCTTCAGCCTCCTGAGTAGCTAGGACTACAGGTGCATGCCACTGTGCCTGGTGAATTTTTGTATTTTTTTGTAGACGGGGTTTTGCCATGTTGCCCAGGCTTGTCCCAAACTCCTGAACTCAGGTGATTTGCCCTCCTCCGCCTCCCAAAGTGTTGGGATTACAAGCATAAATCACCAAGTTCACCCACAGATTTCTTTCAGACAACACTTTTCTTGAACATTCTTGTGCTGATTGCCCATGCATTTTTGCAAGAGGTTCTCTAGAGCAGCATAAAATGTTCTTGACCGCACTCACTCAACCATAAGAATACATTTTACAATGTGACTCAAAAAAAAAAAAAAAGGTTTCATGACATAATTCTGACCTTTGCTGTGTAGCACACTCTGCAGTGTTCTATTTTATTTCTAAAGATGCTGGTCACGAGTTACGCATTGCTAAATTAATTTCATTACCTCCAGACGGGTAGCAACATGCAGTGTGAGAAATGTTGCTCTGGGGTATGAACAGAAGCAAAATTTTCTGGCTCTCAAAAGTGCTTTGTAAAAACCCCAGAACTTTGCAAAATGCTTTCTAAATGAGTAACATGCTTTGCAAATCATGAAGGGCTCTAGAAACCACAGAGCATGGAGACATAATCACACCGGAACCCCTCACCTTCTGCCCTCACCTCGTCTGCTTGCCTACCCCTCTATCATGAGCAGTGTGACACTGTCTGTCTCAAAAATCCACCTCTGGCCAGGTGTGGTGGCTCATGCCTGTAATCCCAGGACTTTGGGAGGCCGAGGCGGGTGGATCACCTGAGGTCAGGAGTTCGAGACCAGCCTGGACAACATGGTGAAACCCCGTCTCTACTAAAAATACAAAAATTAGTTAGGCATGATGGTGCGTGCCTGTAATCCCAGCTACTTGAGAGGCTGAAGCAGGAGAATGGCTTGAACCTGGGAGGCGGATGTTGCAGTGAGCCAAGATTGTGCCATTGCACCTAGCCTGGGCAATAAGAGCGAGACCCTGTCTCAAAAAAAAAAAAAAAAAAAAAAAGAAGCCCACCTCTCCACAGGCGCCTGGGACACTATCACCTCCATTCACTCCTAGACTTTGCTCTTGTGATTTGCTGATCTCTCTGTGTCATCATTCATTGCCCATCCCTTTATTTATTTATTTACTTACTTACTTATTGAGACGGAGTCTTGCTCTGTCTTGCCCAGGCTAGAGTGCAGTGGCACGATCTTGGCTCACTGCAGCCTCCGCCTCCTGGGTTCAAGTGATTCTCCTGTCTCAGCCTCCTGAGTAGCTGGGACTACAGGCGTGTGCCACCACACTGGCTAATTCTGTATTTTTAGTAGAGACAGGGTTTCGCCATGTTGGCCAGGCTGGCCTTGAACTCCTGACCTCAGGTGATCTGCCTGCCTGGGCCTCCCAAAGTGCTAGGATTACAGGTGTGAGCCACCACACCTGGACTATTTTTTTAAAAAATTATTTTTATTTTTTGAGACAGAGTCTTGCTCTGTCACCCAGGCTGGAGTGCAGTGGCGTGATCTTGGCTCACTGAAACCTCTGCCTCCAGGGTTCAAGCGATTCTCCTGCCTCAGTCTTCTGAGTAGCTGAGATTACAGGCATGTGCTACCACGCCAAGCTAATTTTTGTATTTTTAGTAGAGATGGGGTTTCGCCATGTTGGCCAGGCTGGTCTTGAACTCCTGATCTCAAGTGATCTGCCCGCCTTGGCCTCCCAAAGTGTTAGGATTACAGGCATGAGCCAGGCCTTTTTATTTTTCATTTTTGTGGGTACATAGTAGTTGTATTTATTTATGGGGTAGATGAACTATTTTGATATAGGCATGCAATACGTACTCACATCAGGGTTAATGCGTTATCCATTCCCTCTGGCATTTATCCTTTCTTTGTGTTACAGTCTACTTATAGTCTTTTAGTTGTTTTACTTTATTATTAATTTTTTGAGACAAAGTCTGTCTCTACTACCTAGGCTGGAGTGTAATGGAGTGATCATGGCTTGCCATAGCCTCGACCTCCTGGGCTCAAGTGATCCTCCCGTCTTAGCCTTCCAAGTTGGGACCACAGGCATGCACCACCATACCCAGCTAATTTTTTAAACAGTTTTTTTGTAGAGACAAGGTCTCATTATGTTTTCTAGGCTGGTCTTGAACTCCTGGGCTCAAGCGATCCTCCCACCTCAGCCTCCCAAAGTATCGAGATTACAGGCATGAGTCATCGTGCCTGGCTAGTATTTTATTTTATTTTATATTTTATTGTATTATTTTATTTTATTTTTGAGAGAGTCTCACTCTGTTGCCCATGCTGGAGTGCAGTGGTGCAATCTCGGCTCACTGCAACCTCCGCCTCCCGGGTTCAAGCGATTCTCCTGCCTCAGCCTCCCGAGTAGCTGGGAATACAGGCATGCACCACCATGCCTAGCTAATTTTTGTATTTTTATTTCTTTTTTTTGAGACAGAATTTCGCTCTTGTCACCCAGGCTGGAGTGCAATGACGCGATCTTGGCTCACAGCAACCTCCCCCTCCTGGGTTCAAGTGATTCTCTTGCCTCAGCCTCCCAAGTAGCTGGGACTTCAGGCATAGGCCACCATGCCTAGCTAATTTTTGTATTTTTTGTAGGGACAGGGTTTGGTTTCGCCATGTTGCCCAGGCTGCTCTCTGTCCCTCTTGTTCCCATTTTTCAGCCTTTCCATTTACTGTCCCCTTTGCCTGGGACACCACAGCCTCGCTGAGTCATATGGTATCTTTCAACTCTCAGCTTCGCTGTCCCCTCCTGCAGAAGGCCTTCCGCCACCAGCCGGTTTACAGGGCTTACCACACCCTGCTCACTCCCACACCCTTCAGACCACAGATTATAACCTGCAATTACTTCGTGTATTTCGTTATTTGCATCTGCCCCTTCCCACTGGACTATCAGCCCCCACAGTGGGCTCTCTGTTTTGTTCACTGCTGTACCTTCAGGACCAGGGCAGTGCCTGACACACAGTAGGTACTCATACTCATTTGTCAAGTGAAGGAAGCATCATGAAAACTAAGAGGCTGGGCGCCGTGGCTCATGCCTATAATCCCAGCACTTTGGGAGGCTGAGGCAGGAGAATCGCTTGAACCTGGGAGGCGGAGGTTGCAGTGAGCCGAGAGCATGCCACTGCACTCCAGCCTGGGTGACAGAATGAGACTCTGTCACAAAAAAAAAAAAAAAAAAAAGAAATGAGACTATCGCCATTTTGCAATCTCTAATGAATGAATATGTCTGAGTGTTGAGCAGAAACAGCTGCTGGCATCTGGAAAGGAGGTGCCTCCTGGTGGAGGTATACAGTAGCCCCACATAGGAAGGTTCTGGCTAAAAAACTCCTTACACCCAAATCTGAATCTGCTCGAACTTTGGCTGAGTCCCACTTTGGAGGAAACCCAGGGGACACAGGAACACATGAAATGACACCACAAGGACGCATTGGTCAGGTCCAGACTATGGGAAGCTCTACAACTAGGACAGCACTATCCACTGATAGACTTAGTGTGAAAAAAGAATGAAAAATGTCGAGCTAATCATTTTTTAGATTGATTATGGCCAGGCACAGTGGCTCTTGCCTGTAATCCCAGCACCTTGGGTGGCTGAGGAGGGTGGATTGCTTGAGCACAGGAGTTTGAGACCAGCCTGGGCAACATGGCAAGACCCCATCTCTATAAATAAATAAACAGGATTGATTCCATGTTGAAATAATATCCTGAGTGTACTAGATTATGTGTAGTGTTTCATTTTACTTTTTTTTTTTTTTAACAGAGTCTTGCTCAGTTGCCCAGGTTGAAGTACAGTGCCATGAACATGGCTCACTGCAGCATTAACCTCCAAGGTTCAAGAGATCCTCCTGCCTCAGCCTCCCCAGTAACTGGGACTACAGATATGCACTACTACACCTGGTTATTTTTTAAAGTTTTTATAGAGATAGGGTTTTGCTGTGTTACGCAGGCTGGCTCAAACTCCTGGCCTCAAGTGATCCTCCCGCCTTGGCCTCCCAAAGTGCTGGGATTACAGGCACGAGCCACCATGCCGGTCCTCTTTTTACTTTTTAAAAAACATGGCTATTAGAAAATTTAAAATTATGGTGACTCACGCCTGTAATCCCAGCACTTTCGGAGGGTGAGGAGGGCAGATCACTTTAGGCCAGGAGTTTGAGACTACCCTGGCCAACATGGCGAAACCTTGTCTCTACTAAAAATACAAAAATTAGCCAGGTGTGGTGGCGCATGCCTGTAATCCCAGCTACTCAGGAGGCTGAGGCAGGAGAATCACTTGAACCTGACAGGTGGAGGTTACAGTGAGCTGAGATTGCCCCACTGCACTCCAGCCTGGACAACAGAGTGAGACCCTGTCTCAAAAAAAAGAAGAAAATTTAAAAATATACATATTGCTCATATTGTATTTCTGTTGGACAGTAAAGATCTGCAGGACTGGATCTCCAGGAGATAAATTGCAAGGAAAAAGAAAAGATAATAGAGGGGAAGCAAGAGATGAAAGATGATTTTAAAAAGTATCAGCCAATTGCAATGGGTGGCCCTTGTTTGGATTCTGATTTAAAGAAGCTACAAAAAATCCTGATAGTTACATGAAAGTTATGAGATTTGGAAATTTGCACACTCACTAGATATTTGATGATTTAAAGGACTGTGACTTTTTTATTTGTACTGTTTTATTTTGGGTTAGGAGTGATGACATTGTGGTTTGTTAAATAAAAGGAACGTCTTTTAAGGCCACACACACATACACACACACGTGCGCACACACACATGCATTTTTTTTTTTTTTTTTTTGAGGCAGGGTCTCACTCTGTTGCTCAGGCTGGAGTGGAGTGCAGTGGTGTGTTCAGGACTCACTGCGACCTCAACTTCTCGGTCCTCCCACCTCAGCCTCGCAAGTAGCTAGGACTACAGGCATGTGCCACCACACTCGGCTAATTTTTTGTATTTTTAGTGGAGACAGGGTTTCGCCATGTTGCCCAGGCTCTTCTCAAACACCTGGACTCAAACAGTCCACTCTCTTGGACCTCCCAAAGTACTGGGATTACAGGCGTGACCCACCGTGTCTGGCCAAGACCATATATATTTTATGATACCATTTATATGCAGTGTTCAGAATAGGCAAATCTATAGAGGCAGAAAGATCAGTGGTTACCGGGGGCTGGGGTGGGGGAAGTGGGAAATGACTGCTAATGGGTATGGGGTTCGTTTTCAAAGGATGATTAAAATGTTCTAAAATTAGATTGCAGGGATGGCTTCATAATTCTGTGAACACACTATAAACCACTGAACTGTACATTTTAAATGGGTGGATTTTATGGTATGTACATTCTATTTCAGTAAAGACACTTTAAAAAGGAAGTGTTTTAATTAAGAGACAAATAAAATTTGCAGATAGGAAAACAATGAAGATAACCTCAAGACTGTTTACTGACCAGGAATAAATCAGTAACCTAAAATGTGGTTTCTGTTGGGTGAGGTGACTCATTCCTGTAATCCCAGCGCTTTGGGAGGCTGAGGCAGGAGGATCCCTTAAACCCAGGAGTTCAAGACCAGCCTGGGCAACATAGGGAGACCTCATCTCTGTTAATATAATTAAACATTTAAATAAATAAATAAATAAAATGTGATTTCAAACACCAGAAAGGGCCTTCCAAGCTATAGTAGATGTTTTGAAATCTACAAAGTACTTCATCAATGAAGATGTGATTTGTAAACTGTCAAGAACTCTGGCAACCATGAAGAACTTGGGAAATTATAGAACAATGCTACTTATTTTTTTTTTCTTTTGAGACTGAGTCTTGTTCTGTCGCCCAGGCAGGAGTGCAGTGGCGCAATCTCAGCTCACTGCAACCTCTAACTCCCGGGTTCAAGCAATTCTCTGCCTCAGCCTCCCAAGCAGCTGGGATTACAGGTGCATGCCACCATGCCCGCTATTTTTTCGTATTTTTAGTAGAGATGGGGTTTCACCGTGTTGGTCAGGCTGGTCTCGAACTCCTGACCTCAGGTGATCCACATGCCTCAGCCTCTCAAAGTGTAGCAAGAGTAATTGTTATAGCCAGCATTGCTTTAGGCCCAAATACTACAGCCTTCCTCAGCACATTTCCCTCCATCTGCTGGAACTCTGCAGTAAAACATGTACAAATGTAAAATGTCTGTGGTATAAATGACATCCTTGTGCAGTGCACAATGGGTGCAACTATCCATGACAGCCCTGACTGCAACATGGGTTGTATAGCAAAACATTGGGAATAAAGCCAGTGTCCATCAACAAGGAATAGCAAATAAACCATAATATACACACAGCGTGGAATATTGGACACCTGTAAAAAAGAATGACGACACTTCCTATATCTCCAGAATATGTTATTAAATAATGCAGACCAGTGATGTTATACCTATTATGTACAAAACGAGAAAAACAAAAATATCTGTTTGTATTTTCATTTAAAAAATGATGGAAGGATACAAAAGAAACTAACGAAAGGGCTTTACCATGGTAGATGTGGGGAAGAGTGGATTGGAAAAGAGCAGGAGTAAGACTTCTCACTTCACGCCTTGCTGTATTTTGATAAATGTTTTTTTGAGACAAAGTCTTGTGCTCTGTTGCCCAGGCTGGAGTGCAGTGGTACAATCATGGTTCACTG
The DNA here is from genome assembly GCF_000001405.40 of Homo sapiens. Classification (NCBI taxonomy): domain Eukaryota; kingdom Metazoa; phylum Chordata; class Mammalia; order Primates; family Hominidae; genus Homo; species Homo sapiens. The sequence goes on along the minus strand of NC_000019.10, from coordinate 38,553,593 downwards.
CAGCCTTGACCTTCTGGGCTCAAAGGATCCTCCCAGCTCAGTCAGCCTCCAGAGGAGCTGGGACTACAGGTGCACACCTCCACATCCAGCTAATTTTTTGATTTTTTTTTTTTTAGCAATGGGGTCTTGCTATATTGTCCAGGCTGGTCTTGAACTCCTGGCCTCAAGCAATCCTCCTGCCTTGGCCTCCTAAAGTGCTGGAATTACTGGTGTGAGCCACAGCACCTGGCTATATTTTGATTTTTTTTTTTTTTTTTTTGATATGGAGTCACACTCTGTCACCCAGGCTGGAGTGCAGTGGCGTGATCTCAGCTCACTGCAATCTCTGCCTCCCAGGCTCAAGGGATTCTCCTGCCTTAGCCTCCTGAGTAGCCGGGATTACAGGCACCTGCCACCATGCTTGGCTAATTTCTGTATTTTTAGTAGAGATGGGGAGGTTCGCCATGTTGCCCAGGCTGGTCTTGAACTTCTGACCTCAAGTGATCTGCCTGCCTTGGCCTCCCAAAGTGTTGAGATTACAGGCGTGAGCCACTGTGCCCAGCCTATATTTTGATTTTTAAAATCGTGAGTAATTATATATTCAAAAAATAAAATGAATACACTTTTCCCAGTTGCAGATTATAACTTTGTGTAACAGATGTTGAGCTGTAAAATGTCAGGTAGGTGACATTAAACCCTGTGATCTGTGCAGCCCCAGTCAGGAGAGATCATTACTCATTTTCAATTGTGAATCATGTGTACTTTAGCTCCTGCAAATGCTTTTTGCTTCTCTTGTAGCCACCCCAGACTCTCTCCCTAAACCTGCCAGGCTCGAGAGTAGGGCTGAGACCCCCAGCCAGGGCCCAGCCCCCAGGAAGTGCTCACTGACTATCGATTAGACCAGATTAACAGATGAATCTGAAGGCAGTGTACTCTGAGGCCAGACCGCCTGAGGTCTAACCCTAACCTTGTCACTTATTAAGATGGGTGACCTTAAGCATGTCCGTTTAATCTCCCTGTGCCTCAGTTTCCACATCCATAAAATGGGAATAAAAAGCAATCCTGGCCAGGCGCGGTGGCTCACGCCTGTAATCCCAGCACTTTGGGAGGCCGAGGCAGGTGGATCATGAGGTCAGGAGATCGAGACCACCTTGGCCAACATGGTGAAGCCCGTCTCTACTAAAAATACAAAAATTAGCTGGGTGTGGTGGCGCATGCCTGTAGTCCAGCTACTCGGGAAGCTAAGGCAGAAGAATCGCTTGAACCCAGGAAGCGGAGTTTGCAGTGAGCCGAGATCACATCACTGCACTCCAGCCTGGTGACAGAGTGAGACTCCTCCATCTCAAAAAAAAAAAAGCAGTCCTGCTGGGCATGGTAGCTTATGCTGGTAATCCCAGCACTTTGGGAGCCTGAGGTGGGCTGATTGCTTCAGTCCTGGAGTTCAAGACCAGCTAGGGCAACATGTCAAACCCCGTCTCTAAAATAAATAAATAAATAAAAGTAGCCGGGTGTGGTGGCACACACCTGGAGTCCCAGTTACTTGGGAGGCTAAGGTAGGAGGATCACCTGAGCCTGGGAGGTGGAGGCTACAGTGAGTTGTGATCACGCCACTGCACTCCAGACTGACTGATAAAGCAAGACCCTGTCTCAAAGAAGCAAAACAAAACAAAAATGTTTTACCATGTAGGGTTGCTGTAAGGACTAAATGAGCAAATTCATTTATACGCAGGGCACAGAGTGAGAATATGGTAACTATGAGCTCTTCATGAAGGTGGAGGGCTCAGGCACAGTGAAGGGTAAGAGGCTAGGAGGGATCAGCTGGGAGGCAGGGTCCGAAGGATGTGAGGCTCAGGTTCAGGGAAGCAGGCATTGCCCCTCAGGGTTGGGGAGGGAAACGAAAAGGCCAGCTGTGACAAAGGCTGCCAAGATGACAAGTCAGAGGGGACAGTCAGAGGTAAAGAGGTCACTGATGATCTTGGTCAGAGGAGTTTCAGGAGCCTGACAGGGACGGAAGCCGGCAAGCCCCGAATCAGGGAAGGAGTGGGAGGTGAGAACAGATGATCAAGGGCAGATGACTCTTGCAAGGCGTGGCTGAGAAGCAGAGAGACACAGTGAGGCTCTTGGGGGACAACTGGAAGGCATGGGGCACTTTGATTTTAACTCAGGGAACCCTGAGCTTACCTAAGTGCAGATGGCCAGTCACAGCTGCAACCCATAGACTAAGAAGCCATGGGCCAGGTGCAGTGGCTCACACCTGTAATCCCAGCACTCTGGGAGGCTGAGGCGGGCGGATCACTTGAGGTTGGGAATTTGAAACCAGCCTGACCATCACTTGAGGTCGGGAGTTCGAGACCAGCCTGACCAACATGGTGAAACCCCCGTCTCTACTAAAAATACAAAATTAGCCAGGCATGGTGGTGCATACCTGTAATCCCAGCGACTTGGGAGGCTGAGGCAGAAGAATCACTGAACCCAGGAGGCGGAGGTTGCAGTGAGCCAAGATCATACCATTGCACTCCAGCCTGGGCAACAAGAGCAAAACTCCGTCTCAAAAAAAAAAAAAAAAAAAAAAAAAAAAAAAAAAAAAAAGCCGTGAATCCACACTGATATAAATGAATGGATGAATGAGAAAATGAAATGAAATGGACAAGAAGGAAACACTCTTTCTTACAGTAAAATGGTGCCTAGTGATGGTAAAGCATACGGCGAAATGAGAAAACCACCATTTGTCAGCTACTAGAGGAATAATTGTTTCAGGCAAGAATCATCAATGGATGATGACCCCAGAGTTAGCAGAATATTTACATAGCCTCAAAGTATATCCTCATGAGACACTTATTGATTCCAAAGGGAATAACAGTAACTTCATTGTGGAGCCCCTGGTGAACACCGAGTTAACCAAGCCATCCAAGTTAACAACAGTAATGGGAAGAGACATTGGCCAGGTGCAGTGACTCACACCTGTAATCCCAGCACTTTGGGTGGCTGAGGCAGGAGGATCGCCTGAGCCCAGGGGGTCAAGGATGCAGTGAGCTAGGATTGTTTGACTGCACTCCAGCCGGGGCAATAGAGCAAGACTCTGACTCTAAAAACAAATAAATAAGAAAATAAACAGTAATGGGATGAAACCACATGTGCCTCCTAATACATTACACTGAGGACACATCACTTCTCTGATATTCCTGCAAAAGATGCATAACCCTAGTCTGATAATGATGAAAACTCAGACAAACCCACACTGAACGACATTTTACAAAACAGTTTGCCTGCGTTCTTCAAACATGTCAGGAAAGATAAAGACAGACCCAGGCACAGTTCCAGACTGAAGGAGGAAAACAGACAGAACACCTAAATACAATCCCTGGTTCTGGGTTGGCAAAGAAAAGACATTGACGAAAGAAATTTATTCAACAAGGGAAACTGAATAAGGTCTAGGATTAGATAGCAGCATTGTGCCAATGTTAATTTCCTGATTAGCATAATTGTCCTGTGCTTAGGTAGGAGAATGAATTTGTTCTCAGGAGATACACGCTGAAGTGTTTCAAAGTAAAGGGAAATTGGCTAGGCGAGGTGGTTCATGCTTGTAATCCCAGCACTTTGGGAGGCCGAGGCAGGCAGATCACTTGAGGCCAGGAGTTCAAGACCAGCCTGGCCAACATGGTGAAATCCCATCTCTACTAAAAATACAACACACACACACACACACACACACACACACACACACACACACACACACACAAATTTAGCTGGGCATGGTGGTGCGTGCCTGTAATCCCAGCTACTCAGGAGGCTGAGGCAGGAGAATCGCTTGAACCCAGGAGGCGGAGGTTGCACTGAGCTGAGATTGCACCACTGCACTCCAGCCTGGGCAACAAGAGCAAAACTCCGTCTCAAAAAAAAAAAAAAAAAAAAAAAAGGAAAGGAAAGGGAAATCATGATGGAGTAAATAGTAAATAGAAAACATTTGGGCAATGTGGGTGAAAGGTATTCAGAAATTCTATGTGCTGTTCTTGCAACGTCTCTATAAACCTGAAGTTATTTCAAAATAAAAAGTTAACAAAATGGTAACATTAAAGATCAGGGAGTAGTAATAGCAGCTAACATCTCTTGAGGACTCACCATATTCCAGGTACTGCCCGCACTGCCCATCCTCACAATAGTTAATAGTTGTTTTATTTTTATTTTTATAGATACAGGGTTTCACTAGGTTGCCCAGGCTGATCTCGAACTCTTGGGCTCAAGCGATCCTCCCACCTCGGCCTCCCAAATTGCTGGGATTATAGGCATGAACCACCGCACACTGCCAATAGTTAGTGGTTAATGTGATTATCCTATCCCCATTTTACAGAGTAGGAAACTGAGGCTCAGAAGAAAAGATGGAGAGTTAGGATGGGAGAGGTGGTTAGAGGAGGAGGAGTGGGTTTCTGAATAAGGATGTTCCAGCACTTCCCTCCTAGCAGGCTCATTATTTAGACTTGGAATGGTCTAGTTAGTGACTGCCTCCCCCATTAGACTATAAACCCATGAAAGCACGGGCTGTGTCTATCTTGGTCATTGATGCGTCAATAGTGTCACTACAGGCCCTACACAGAGAAGAAAGCCAGCCAATGTTTATTGATGGAATAACTGATGCCTATTCACAATAATGATAATGTTATGACTATCAATAAAGATAACAGTAATAACGGTTCTCATCTGTGTTAATGCATTTCATCCTCAAAATAACCCAAGGGGGCTGAGCGAGGTGGCTCATGCCTATAATCCCAGCACTTTGGGAGGCCAAGGTAGGAGAATTGTTGGAGCCCAAGAGTTCAAGAGGAGCCTGGGTAATGTAGTGAGACCACATCTCTACAAAAAATAAACTTAAAAATTAGCCAGGCATGATGTCACACACCCGTCGTCCCAACTACTCAGGAGGCTGAGGTGGGAGGATTGCTTAAGCCAGGAGGTCAAGGCTGCAGTGAGCTATGATCACGCCACTGCACTCCAGCCTGGGCAACAGAGAAAGACCTTGTCTCTAAAATGAAATAAAACAGAATACATATAACCCAAGGACTGTTTTATCCTCATTTTACAAACAAGGAAAGTGAGGCTTGCAGAGATGTCTCTTGCCTGAGGCAGCCAGCCAGAAGGGTATGGCTGGCCCTTGGCAACCCCACCCAAGTCCTGGGCCCACACGATGTCCCACACCCACCTTCTGGAAGTCCTTCTTGGAGATGAGGCCACGGGGATCCGTTACGTAGTCCTGGAAGGCTTCAGAGCCCACAATGTCCTTGAGTTTCAGGAACATGTCGAAGAACTTGAGGATCATCTCCACATTGGATGAGGATTCCACGAGCATGTCCACCATCTGCCGGGCGATCATGCCGTTCACCACGTTCCCTGCAGGCAGCCCCAGGTCAGTGTGGCCGGTGAACACTCCCTTCTGGGGCCCCACCAGGCTTGCCTCTCTTTCCAGCCCAGGAGCCACCACGCTGCTGGAGTGTCCCTGGCCAGCCACAGCCTCCCCTCCACAGGTCCCTTCCTGACCTGCGTCAGCCTCCTGTGCCAACCTGGCTGATCCTGCCTTTGCCCACCTCCCCCAGTAAAGCTAATGATGTCAGGTCGGACGTGGTGGCTCACGCCTGTAATCCCAGCACTTTGGGAGACCGAGGTGGGTGGATCACTTGAGGCCAGGAGTTTGAGACCAGCCTGGCCAACATGGTGAAACCCCGTCTCTATTAAAAATACAAAATCAGCTGGGCGTGGTGGCATGTGCTTGTATTTCCAGCTACTTGGGAGGCTGAGGCACGAGAATTGCTTGAACCTGGGAGGCGGAGGTTGCAGAGCCGAGATCGTGCCACTGCACTCCAGCCTGGGTGATGGAGTGAGACTCTGTCTCAAAAAAAAAAAAAAAGATAATGATGATGTACGCTAAAGGTAGGTGCCAAATGCTACCCTGGCACAATCACACAAAAAGGGAAGTGTGTGACTCTACTTTTAGGAAGAGAAACTGAGACATAGAGAAAGTCATGCACTCAAAGTTACATAGCCAGTAAAGTGGGGAGAATGGATTTGAACTCAGAGCTGCATGACCTCAGGGCTTACACAACTAAAACTTCCACCAGTACACACAGTCAGGAGGGTCCACAGAAGACTGAGGCTAGCCAGTGGTAAGCAGCAAGGAGAGGTAGAGATTGGCAAACTGCGATCCCACACTCCCTCTAAAGGCAGCAGCTGAAGCTTGGCTCCAGTTTATTTTTGTAATTTTTAAATTTTAATGTAGGCTGGGCGCAGTGGCTCAAGTCTGTAATCCCAGCACTTTGGGAGGCTGAGGCGGGAGGATCACGAAGTCAGGAGATCCAGACCATCCTGACCAACATGGTGAAACCCCGTCTCTACTAAAAATACAAAAAAAAAAAAAAAAAAATTAGCCAGGTGTGGTGGCGGGCGCCTGTAGTCCCAGCTACCGGGGAGGCCAAGCAGGAGAATGGCGTGAACCTGGGAGGCGGAGCTTGCAGTGAGCCGAGATCGCGCCACCGCACCTCCAGCCTGAGCGGCAGAGCGAGACTCCGTCTCAGAAAAGAAAAAAAAAAAAAAGGGATCCTAATATATCCACATTCATCAATTGTTTATCTTTTGCCACATTTGGACATTTGGTTTGTTTTTGGGGTTTGTTTTTTTGAGACAGGGTCTTGCTCTGTCACCCAGGCTGGAGTGCAGTGGTGTGATCACAGCTCACTGCAGCCTGGACCTCCCGGGCTCTGGTGATCCTCCCACCTCAGCCTCCCGAGTAGCTGGGTCTACAGGCACACACCACCACACTAGGCTAATTTTTGTATTTTTAGTAGAGACAGGGTCTCACCATGTTGCCCAGGCTGGTCTCAAACTCCTGACTTCAGGTGATCTTCCCACCTCGGCCTCCCAAAGTGCTGGGATTACAGGTGTAGCCACCGCATCTGGCCTATTATGGCTTCTTCATCAACCCATGGATCCTGACACGATGTCAGATGGGGTTGAGGATTAGGGTCTCCCGGGTCTCAGGGGGCCATTCTCAGGCTTCTCTGAACCTCTTTACTGTTCCCTCACCCTCACTCCTGGGTGTTTACCTTCTAGTAGCGACAGCAACATCACCACCATGTCCTTCTGCAGATCCAGCAGCTCCTTCAGCAGCTCGATCTGGCTTGAGTCCTAGAGATCCCAGCTCGGTGAGGGCTGGTCTCAGCATACACCTCCCCCACCTCTGTTGCTTCTCCCCCTCCTCACCTACCCAGCAGGGCCTAAACCCGTTTTCTCCCCTCTTACCTCCGAGGGGACCCGAGTCCAGACATGTTCCTCGGAAGCAGGGGAAGGGGCAGAGAGACAAGATTGTGGGGGTGGGGTTGGCACTTGGGGGACGGGCTCGATAGGTGATGGGTAGTGGGAAGGCTGGCAGACAAGGAGGACTGAGAGGCTTGCGGGGCAGACATTTGGGGCAGAGAGAGACAGAGACAGACAGAGACAAACACTGGGGACAGAGACCCAGGTCTAGGAAGGGATGTGAGCCCAGCACTGTGCCTGGCCTACGGTGGGATTGACAGATGTATGTTGAATATAATGTGTGATGGCAAGAGTGGGACTCTGGGTTCAGGAGGAAGGCTGCAGAGACAGCCATGTGCTTTCTGGTAAGCCGTCTGCGGGGAACATAGGGCCACAGTGTAGGGCCCATAGAAACCTCCAATACAAAGTTTTGCCTCATGGCCCCTATTTATGTTAGGTTGAGTCACATAAAATTGCCAACATGTGATCACTTTTGGCTCACAAAGTGGTAATTTCTTTCTTTTTGAGACAGAGTTTTGCTCTTGTTGCCCAGGCCGGAATGTAATGGCGCAATCTCGGCTCACTGCAACTTCTGCCTCCCAGGTTCAAGCAATTCCCCTGCCTAAGCCTCTCGAGTAGCTGGATTACAGGCATGCGCCACCATACCCAGCTAATTTTTTACTTTTAACAGAGATGGGGTTTCTCCATGTTGGTGAGGCTGGTCTCGAACTCCTGACCTCAGGTGATCTGCCCGCCTAGGGCTCCCAGAGTGCTGGGATTACAGGTATGAGCCACCGTGCCAGATCCAAAGTGGTAATTTCATATGGTTCCACCAAATAAAATGGAGAGGGGAGGAGATGATACCAGATAAATGGGATGTAAGGATCTTTTGCTCCCATGCTAGTTCTATCAGTTGTTGATTCCAATCCTAATGTATTTCCACAGTTCCAAAGCTCTGCATTCTGCGCCTAAGGTCCCGACACTCCTAATCTCAAGATCTTACAGTGGGTGGGCGCCTGTGGTTTGTGCCTACCCATGATTCAGTCCCCCTCCTCTCTTTACAATCCCTCAATTTTCACCTGCGGAGTCCCCCATCCCACAGTCAGAGCACATGGGGCTAACCCTACCTCCTGGTTCTATAGGTGGGTATATGACCGGGCCTGGTCAGTCAAAGCTTTCTTTCCTAAGCCTATGATGATTGGTTCAGGGAGGGACATGTGACCCAATAGGCTAGTCAGAGAGAATCTCAGGTTTTTTTTTTTCTTGGAGCTTTCAGGAAAGAGGAGATCTCTTCCCTCTAGGGCTGTTAAGAAGTAGAGTGGATAGGAGCCTGAGGCACCATTTTTTCCAGCCCAGGGAGACAGCCTGCTTGCAAATGCAGTCAAAGAGGAGGCAGTTCTGCTGACATCACTCTAAGCCCTGGATCTGTAATATGAACTGATAAATTCTTTATTTTTCTTAAGCCACCACTTTGCACTGGATTTCTAGCTTTTGCAACCTAGACTAGATGGTGGCGGATGAATTAGCCCTGCAGGATTTGGAATTCTACATGATGATACCAACACTCTCTAGAATTTTAGGATACCAACAGCACAACTTCAGCTGCTGTGACACGGAGGAATTGCATTCTAAGTTTAACTCCTTTTAAAAAGTCAGATGACAACGAATTAGGGTTTCTGCCAGCCCCTGGGGCACCTTTGAGCAAATTAGAAAAAAAGGCGTCCCCTAAAACACTTCCTGTAGGGAAGTTATAACATGCTGGATGCTTTACTGCCATCTGCTGGAAAACTAAACTATTGTAATAAATACACCATTATGTGTAGGATGTGAATGCTCTCAGAGATCGTGCCTTTGTGCAGTGCACGACCTGCGGAACAGTATATGGCAGCCTTGAATATAGTTACCAGACAGAAGCAGAGCAAATGGATTAAGTGTTCGTGAGACATTGGCAAGGCTGCAAAGGGGTGAGGGAAAGAGGAACAAGGATTATGGAAATGGAAGGTGGTGCTCAACAGGGACCTTACATCATGAATGCCTGATATGGGTGTCATCTGCCGCAAGTAAGATAAAGAAGCAAAACATTTCCTCAGCCCCAGGCTCTAATCTAGAAACCAGCCCCATCCTAGCCCAAGGACTGTCCACATCTGCGATGACTCATCAGAGAGAAAAACAGCAATCAATCATAGAGGAGCTCCGGCCATTGGGACGGGGCCAACACGTCAGACCAATGGAAGCGTGGATGGAAAACCAGCTGATTGGTGGGGAGGGAGGGGCAGAGGAGGAGGCGGGGTCATGCAGACAGCCAATCCAGAAAGAGGATGGATTTGGCCACTGAGAGGGAACCAGTCTGGAACATGCCGGGAGCACTCGGGTGACAAACTGACCAAAGGGGCAAGACTTGGAAATGGACCACTTGGGGGACGCCCGGAAGCAGGTGGATGGAGACCAGAGGGGCTCGAACCTGAGCGAGCTTCATCATCATGTGGGCGAACACGTGCAGGAATCCCACCACTGCGTCCCATAGGCGACTGTGCGCCAGGCTCTGCTGGTTCCCGGTGCAGGGACCCTGGGAGGCAGAGTGCCGTGTGGGGGGGAAGGGAATCCCCGAGAAGGGATCAGGGATCACGATGCGGGACCCCCTCCCTTCCCACTCCCGCCCCAGGGGGAGCGCCCTACCTGGATGTACTCAGTGAGGCTGTTGAACACCTGCTTAGCCACCGACATGGCTTTGGAGAAGTTCCTCTTGCCCTGCTCTTCAATGACATCCTTGCCCGAGTAGTACCAGTAGAAGTCGCTGATGGATTCCTGGTGGGGGCGGGTAGGGTGTGAGGGGGTGCTGGGGCCGACCATGGCCCTGCAGCCCCCGACCCAAGTCACACCTGAACCGTCTCACGTCCTCACCTGCAGCCGCAGGAGGTAGTCCACAGTGCAAATGATGATGTTAATAGTGGTCGTGTTCCCTGTCTGTGTCCGTAGGTAGTTCTGGAAATCTGGGGAGATGAAAAGTCATTTATCCAGCACCTCCCATGTGCTAGGGGAGATGAACAGTGGGTCATTTATTCATTTATGCAATACTCATGTGTTGAGTTCCTATTGTATGCCAGAAAGCATATCATCATCAATTTATTTAATAACTATCAAGTACTTACTATGTGACAGAGAAAGATGGATGATCATTTATTCATTTGTCTAAAAATACTGGCCGGGTGGCTCACGCCTGTAATTCCAGCACTTTGGGAGGCCCAGGCAGGCAGATCACCTGAGGTCAGGAGTTTGAGACCAGCCTGACCAACATGGTGAAACCCCGTCTCTACTAAAAATACAAAAATTAGCTGGGTGTGGTGGTGGGCACCTGCAATCCTAACTACTTGGGAGGCTGAGGCAGGAGAATCGCTTCAACCCCGGAGGCAGAGGTTGCAGTGAGTGGAGATCTCACCATTGCAGTCCAGCCTGGGCAACAAGATGGAAACCCCGTCTCAAAAATAAATAAATAAATAAATAAATAATTTTAAAATAGGCTGGGAGCGGTGGCTCACACCTGTAATCCCAGCACTTTGGGAGGCCCAGGTGGGTGGATCACTTGAGGTCAGGAGTTTGAGACCAGCCTGGCCAACATGGTGAAATCCCGTCTCTACTAAAAAAAATACAAAATTAGCCAGGTGTGGTGGCATGTGCCTGTAATCCCAGCTACCTGGGAGGCTGAGGCAGGAGAATTGCTTGAACCCGGAAGGCAGAGGTTGCAGTGAGCCTAGATCATGCCACTGCACTCCAGCTTGGGCAACAAGAGTGAAACTCCGTCTCAAAAAATAAATAAATATAAAAAAATAAAATATAAATATTATTGAGGGCCTGCTATGTGTCAAATGTGGTGGAGCGTCATTTATTCATTCAGTTTTTTCCAACAAATTTGTATATTGACCACCAACTATGTAGCAGGGAGAAATAGAGATTCAGTTCCTCGTTAGTTTCCAAACAATTTTATCAAATTCCTCCTATGTGCTGGGGATATTCATGCATTTATCCAACAAATATTTATTGAGCACCTACTAAAGGCCAGGGAACATATGGATTGGTCACTTGTTCATTTATTCAACATATTTTATTGAGTGTATACTACATCCTCACGAGATTAAGATTGTCACATCCTCTTTGCTACAACAAATTTGTTGCGTTCTTACTATGTGTCATGCAGTATTCTAGGCTCTGGGGATACAGTAGTAAAAAAAAAAAAAACAGTCCCCGGCCTTGGGGGGGATTTTTTTTTTTTTTTGACAAGGTCTCCCTCTGTTGCCTAGGTTGGAGTACTGTGGCATGATCATAGCTCACTGCAGCCTTGACCTCCTGGGTTCAAGTGGTCCTCCCACCTCAGCCTCCCAGGTAGCTGGAACTATAGGTGTGAGCCACCACATCCGGCCAATTTTTAATTTTTTTGTTGAGACCAGCCCAGGCTGGTCTCGAACTCCTGGCCTCAAGCAACCCTCCTACCTTGACCTCCCATAGTGCTGGGATTACAGACATGAGCCGTATGTCCAGCCCCTGCCCTTGTGAAGTTTATATTCTTGTGCAGTAATTTTTTAATCTTTTCTGACTGCAATCTATGGTAGGAAATCCTTTTTTTTTTGAGATACAGTCTTGCTCTGTCACCCAGGCTGGAGTGCAGTGGCATGATCTCAGTTCACTGCAAACTCTGCCTCCCAGGTTCAAGCAATTCTCCTGCCTCAGCCTCCTGAGTAGCTGGGATTACAGGCATGCGCCACCACGCCCGGCTAATTTTTTTGCATTTTTAGTAGAGACAGGGTTTCACCATATTGGACAGGCTGGTCTCCAACTCCTGACCTTGTGATCCACCTGCCTCGGCCTCCCAAAGTGCTGGGATTACAGGTGTAAGCCACCACACCCAGCCGAGGAAATCCTTTTTACATTGAGACCTGATACATGTGTTCAATCTGAAATTATATTCACCTATTCCCGAAAGAGAAGTTTCACATTGCCTTACTCTGTGCCATGCATTCTGTTCTTTTCTGTCCTGTACTGCTCTAGTTAACTACAAAAGAAGAAGTGTGTGCTTCTCATCCTCTCAACCTTGGCTGCACATCAGGACAACTAGGAGGCTTTTAAAAACCCCAGTGCTCAGGCCCAACCCCAGATCAATTGAATTAGAACCTGTAAAGGCAAAACCTGGGCTTAAGTCTCTTTTAAAGCTCCCCAGGCATGCCAGTGTACAATTACAATGAGAACCTCTGCGTGAAACTGATTCATGAACGTCTGTCTGATGGGTTGGTTCCCACTATTTAAAAAACATTGTTCTGTGAAAGCAAACTGTTAAAGCTGAGTGATGGGTAGTTGGGGGTTTATTATACTGTAATATATGATTGGAGGTTTATTACACTGTAGTATATGATTGGAGGTTTATTACACTGTAGTATATGATTGGAGGTTTATTACACTGTAGTATATGATTGGAGGTTTATTACACTGTAGTATATGATTGGAGGTTTATTACACTGTAGTATATGATTGGAGGTTTATTACACTTTAGTATATGATTGGAGGTTTATTACACTGTAGTATATGATTGGAGGTTTATTACACTGTAGTATATGATTGGAGGTTTATTACACTGTAGTATATGATTGGAGGTTTATTACACTGTAGTATATGATTGGAGGTTTATTACACTGTAGTATATGATTGGAGGTTTATTACACTGTAGTATATGATTGGAGGTTTATTACACTGTAGTATATGATTGGAGATTTATTACACTGTAGTATATGATTGGAGGTTTATTACACTGTAGTATATGATTGGAGGTTTATTACACTGTAGTATATGATTGGAGGTTTATTATACTGTAGTATATGATTGGAGGTTTATTATACTGTAGTATATGATTGGAGGTTTATTATACTGTAGTATATGATTGGAGGTTTATTATACTGTAGTATATGATTGGAGGTTTATTATACTGTAGTATATGATTGGAGGTTTATTATACTGTAGTATATGATTTTTTTTTTTTTTGGTAGAGACAGGGTCTCCTTATGTTGCCCAGACTTGTCTTGAACTGCTGGGCTCAAGTGATCCTCCTGCCTCAGCCTCCTAAAGTGCTGGGATTACAGGCATGAGCCACAGTGCCCAGCCAAGTCCTTTTAAATGTTTATAGCAACATCATGTTGCACAGGAAGGTTTTAACAGCCCCTGAAAGTATTTTTGCCCCCCGTTTTTCTTTCCCCTTAACTTTTTTACAGTCAGTTCACAATTGCTCTATCAGGTTGGCTCAACAGAAGGCCCATTTTGCCTAGTTTCATGACATAGACAAAGCATACTCAAATATTCAAAATTTTATAAGCAAAGGTACAGGTTTTCCCATCAACCCTGCTTTCTAACTCCTTTATTTGTGTTAATTTAAATTGTTAAATTAAATTGTGTTAATTTAAATTGGGCTATATGCAAAAATAAAAGATACACAGCTCCTGTAAAAAAAATTCTGGCAACTGACAACACCTGTTATAGACATGTGCAAATAAGTGAGAGACAAACCTTTTGTCTGCTTTGAATAGCACTGACTCCTCAAGACATGCAAGGGGTCTGAGATTTGAAAGATATTTCAAATATCTATTTGATTAGGTCATGAATTTAGGCGAGGACTGGGTTGCAAATATGTTGGGAGACAGCAATCCCTTTCATAACAACATTCTCATTTTCAAAACTTCATATTCCTGAGGAATAAAATTTATTTTAAACCCAAAGACTGATTCCATCTTAGTTAAAATTAAAGAATGAAAATCTTAGTCCCGGCTGGGTATGGTGGCTCACACCTGTAATCCCAGCATTTTAGGAGGCCAAGGCAGGAGGATTGCTTGAATCCAGGAGTTTGAGATCCCCTGGGCAACACAGTGAGATCTCATCTCTACAAAAAATAAAAAACTTAGCCAGACATGGTGATGCATGCCTGTAGTCCTGGATACTCGGGAGGCTGAGGGGTGGATTACTTGAGCCCAGGAGGCAGAGGTTGCAGCGAGCTGTGATCACACCACTGCACTCCAGTCTGGGCGACAAGAGTGAGACTCTGTCTAAAAAAAAAAAAAAAAAAAAGAAAAAATCTTAGTCCCATGGCACAAAGGTATTTAATAAACCTTGAAAAACTCGTTGTGGACACAAGAGCTTTTGAAAATTCAAGACAAAGAGATCATACTTTATCCTTTGTTGAAAGAAAAAGAATGAAGATTAAAGATATTTACAAATCAGTTACCTTAAAGAGCACTAACCAAGTGGGTGAAGGTTCTATGGAAGTAAGATTACTAATTACTCCAATTCTTGTCACGAAAGTTGATTTCCGGGTAGTCTGTGGTTTCCTAATCACCTGCTAAAGGTTATAACCACAATCTTGAGACTGTACATGTTTGTTATAGGAAATGGCATTGGGTAGAATGTTTTTTGTGCAGAATTTTGTCTGTTCTGTAAAGTTGTAAGCTAGGTTTGCTGCATGAGACTGCATTTCTCATCATTGATGTTGTGTAATTAATTTGCTGTCATCCTCAATCTTGTTAAATTGGCTGAACCACAACAAAACAAAACTCTTGCTTAAGATAGGAAAGAATCTGTAGGCCTTTGTACAGATCTTTCCTCTGCAAAGATTTTATAAGCAAAATAAACAAGTGATTCTAATAGATTTATTTTTAAATGCCAGGCAGTTTTTTCCCTTAGGTCTTTTCTGGACCTAAAGTACAGAAATCCACCACGTGTATAGAACTTTGGCAGCCACTGCAGAGCGCCTGTGGGAAAATAGCATGTGACAAATTGTCCATTTGGGCAAATTGATTTTTGGCCAAATTGGTTTTTGGCAGGTTGCTTTTGGGGAATTGGACTGGCCAGAGGAGATGAGGGGGAAACAAAGTGGCTAGATTCCAGAAATTCCAGCGAGGTTTTTTTTTGAGATGGAGTTTTGCTCTGTTGCCCAGGCTGGAGTGCAATGGTGCGATCTTGGCTCACTGCAACCTCCATCTCATGGGTTCAAGCGATTCTCCTGCCTCAGCCTCCTGAGTAGCTGGGACTACAAGCATGTGCCACCACGCCCTGCTATTTTTTTTATATTTTTAGTAGAGACGGGGTTTCACCATGTTGGCCAGGCTGGTCTCGAACTCCTGACCTCAGGAGATCCACCAGCCTTTGCCTCCCAAAGTGCTGTGATTATAGGCCTGAGTCACTGCGCCCAGCCTCCAGAGAGATTTTGAAAGCTAGGTGGATTGACACTGGCTGGAGAGTGGCCATCATTGACCGGGGGAGGAGGAGGGGCGGAAACTAATTCAGTCAACCCTTCCGTACCAGCCCCAAACCTCGGCTTCCCCTCCACCCCACACCCCTCCTCCTCACCATTATTGTGCCCCTCACAGAGCAATTGTAGGAATCGGAACAGGTCTTGTGTGAATTCATCATCCGCCATGACCTTCTCTCCTAGGTGGAAGGGAGGGGACAGGGCCCAGGAGGGGTCAGATGCGCCAAGACACAGCGCACACATGCACAAGGCCCATGCACACTGCACACGCATGCACAAAGCATGGGGGTGCTGGGAGGAGCAGCTGCCACTCCAAAGACACTGTGAGGGCCATGGGCATCCATGACGCCAGGCGGTCTTGACCTCAGAGCCCATGACATCAGCAGACGGAGACCCAAGGGGCCCTGAGTCATGAAGCTGGGGCCTCAAGTGTCTTTCTACATCAGTGCCCTCTGATGTCACCACTTGTGTTACGTTCGGGAGAGTCTGCTGACCTAGCAGACATTCAGGCAGCTGGTAATGCCCTCAGCCCCCCTTCAGACCGTGGAGGTTAATGGATTATGGGGGTTTGGGTCACCTTCACACAAAGGCTCTGGGCAGGGGAAGATTGGGCTGGGAGGGATAAGGGATGGGGATTGAAAGCCAGCCAATTGGCCCAGATGCCTTGAAAGCAGCCAATCCAGGAGTAGCACAGGGGAGGCGTGTAAACAAGGGCCAATCAGAATGGGCATCTGAAAGAAGCAAATCATGGTGGGCGGTAGGGGAGGAGGCTAGACCGCAAATGGGCCAACCAGAGCAGGCACAGAGGAGGCAGGCGCAGAGGAGGCAGGCGCACACCAATCAGAGTGGATGCCGGAGGCAACCAATTCGGTTGGTGGATGGGAAACGCTGACTGACCAATCTGAGGTCGGGGTGCAGAGAGCAGAGTAGGTGGGAGTGGGGATCACTCCACACCGGGACTGCGAATCTGGGTCTGGAAGTCCGACAATATCCAGCTGGAAAGAGATCTTTACCATGTTCTCTAGCTTCTGCTTCACACATGGGGAAAGTGAAGCTTAGGGAAGGTAAGAGACTTGTTCACAGGCCCATGTATTCTCAGTGGCTGATCTGGGACCTGAATCATGCTCCCCAGACTCCTGATCTCCAGGTTTTGCACTGGCAGGGTGCACCTGCTGAAGGGTCCCTCCCTCCCCTCCACGTCCCAGATCCTCAGCCCCTAGGTGGAGGGGTGGACGGGGTTAGGAGGGGTGGGTGACAGCAGCACAGCACGGGGGTGGGCTGGGGGAATTACCGTTCTGGCGATTGATGACTGGGGCAGCCAACAGGATGGGAGGAGGAAGCAGGAGAAAAGAGAGAAAAAGAGAGGGAGACAGACCGCAAACACACACAATGACAGTCAGGGACAGAGACACAGAAAGACACACAGAGAGAGAGGAACAACCCACAGAGAGAAAGGCAGAGTGATAAGGAGACAGAAGGAAATGGATTAGCAGGGAAGAGGGTAGGAAATGAGGGTAAAAGCAGAGGGAATGAAAGAAGAGGATGGAGAGGGAGAGAGAGAGATGAAGACATAGAGGTAGAAAGGCAGGAGCGAGGATCCGGGTAGAAAGGTTAGACACGTCACAACACGGCAAAGAGGAGACGCGATTAACCCGGATTAGGGACATTAATAAGAGAACAGCAACCAGGGCGTGACATTTGGGGCACGTGGAGGGTGGGGTCCATGTAGTGATGGGTGAGAACACAAGACAGAATGACTTCTGGTGGCGGGGGGGGGCGGAGGTGGGTGGTGGACATGGGGAGGGAGACCCCAGGGGGATGGAGGGGGTGGGACTGGGGGACCACAGCAGAGGGAGGGACCCGAGGGAGCCCTTGGGAACCAGTGTCTTGGAGGAAGGGAGCTCTGGGCAATGGCGGGTGGGGGTGGGGTGGGAGGAATCCCAAAGGAAGATGTCTCAGGGGGTGGGAAGCCCAAGGGAGGGCCTCACCAGTGCCATCCTCATTCACCATGCCCAGCCCCTCGGCCTTGTTCTGTCTCTCAAAGGCATTGAGATCCAGGACGCTGAGGAAAAGAAAGGAAAGATAGGGGGTATGTGATGAAGCCTCTGCCCTCCTCTCTCCCAGGGCCTGGCAGCTCCCCACCATGGTAGCCTGGAGAGCCACAGTAAACCATCTATGCGCTGAAATCAAGAGGAAGCAGAAATGAAGAGTTGGCAGAAGCTAGGACATATGGTTGGGCCAGGATGAACCATGCGCAAGCTGAAATAATGAGGAACCAGAAACCACCCATTTAGCAAAAGCTGCAGAGGGTAGGAAAAATCAGCCGGCAGCAAGAGGTGAATAAAGGCAGACAACAGTAGAGGCAGATTAATTGGGATCATCAGAGAGCTCCTAAATCTCCCACTGCCAAGTTCCCCTTAAATTCTCAAGTTTTTGGTTCCACTGTCTGGAATTCATAATGCAACTCATTCTTCAAGTCTATGACATTTTGCCTCCCTTATTGTTCTACATTAATTCTTATAATAAATTCCCTGTTATTTGAGCGATTCTGAGTGAGTCTCTTTCCCTGGACTGAAAGAGCAGAATCAGAACTGGAAATGGTACCAGGAGTGGGGTGGCAGTGGCACCAAACACAGCTTAACAAGAAGAGGTCCACTCGAACCTACCTGCATGTTTGCATCAGTGCCTGGATACTCTGGAAGAAGCCAACTTCCTTCTTGTCCTTAAGATAATCCAGCATTTTCTGCAGAGGGCGAGGCAGGGGAGGAGAAACTGGGAGTCACACAGGAACCTCTCATCCCTCCTTGCCTTCTTCTGAAGTCCCTTTGCCTCTGTTACCTGCTGGACCTCAGCATTGCCTCCATTGAGGATGGAGATGCCCAGCTTCAGGGTGGAGGACACCATGGCACCTGTCTCTCCTGGAGGGAGTGGGAGAAAAAAGATGGTCCACCCAGTTGGAAGGCAGTGTGTTCCACCCACCAGAAAACAGCCATCCCAAGGGATGTGAGAGAAGGGGATTTAAGAGTGTGCCAAGGTGTGCATGCAGGGGTGATCGTGATTGAAGGATGAGTGAGAAATTGCAAGGCAGGTATACAAGGGGAAGCTGCAAGGGCTGGGGTGTGCGTGCAAACCACAGGCATTGAGGGGCGGCAAATGGGTCCACAGGGAATGGGCGAGCCAGGAGGAGTGAGGTTAGGATGAGTGCACTCGGAAGAGTCCAGTGCACATGTGAGGGGCACCTTTGCAGGCACTGATCATCTGCAGCACCATCTCGGCCGCCCCCCGGGTGTGCAGCCGTGCTTGCTGGTACAAGAGCCTCTGCTTCTCCATCTGTTTCTCCTGGGAAGGGAGGCAGACACATGAAGGCAAGTCCAGGCTTTCCAGCCCAGCCTTTCCCCCTCACATTCTCACTTCTGCCCTCCCTGTTCCAGCCACATCCACAACTCACTCCTTCAACCATGAGCTCCCTCCATCCCCTGGGGCTCACACCCTCGATGTATCTCCTGTACCTAGCACGGGGCTAGGCATTAGGCAAGATCTACATAAATCAGAGCTGGGCATGCAGCAGTCTTAACCTGGGCCCATGGGCCTCCAGGCCATCTGTGAACTTGGATGATGAAAAGTTACATTTTTATGTTTTCCGCCCTCTAACAGAAATGAAGCATTTCCTTCCTATATGGATGAAGCCATAAATCACAGCGATATTAGCAGAACCTGTGGCTTTGTCACCAATAAAAATCACAGATGTGGCTGGGCAAGGTGGCTCACATCTGTAATCCCAGCACTTTGGGAGGCCGAGGCAGGGAGATCACGAGGTCAAGAGGTCAAGACTATCCTGGCTAACACAGTGAAACCCCGCCTCTACTAAAAATACAAAAAATTAGCCAGGCGTGGTGGCATGAGCCTGTAGTCCTAGCTACTTGGGAGGCTGAGGCAGGAGAATTGCTTGAACCCGGGAGGTGGAGGTTGCAGTGAGCTGAGATCACGCCACTGCACTCCATCCAGCCTGGGCGACACAGCGAGACTCTGTCTCAAAAAAAAAAAAAAAAAAAATTACAGATGGTTCCATATCACATTATTATTGCTGTATATTCCATATCACATTATTGTTGCAGAATTAGAACCATTTCCTATTCAAATTCTGCTCTTTTGGTCCAGGAAGAGAGACTCACTCACAATGGCTCAAAGATGTCTTTAAATATCAGTTATGTTCATCACTACTTCTCAATTATAGTAGCTGTTGGATCTACTGCTAGATCTTTTTTTTTTTTTTTTGAGATGGAGTCTCGCCCAGGCTGGAGTGCAATGGCGTGATCTCGGCTCACTGCAACTTCCACCTCGCGGGTTCAAGCGATTCTCCTGCCTCAACCTCCTGAGTAGCTGGGATTACAGGTGCCTGCCACCATGCCCAGCTCATTTTTGTATTTTTAGTAGAGATGGGGTTTCACCATGTTGGCCAGGCTGGTCTTGAACTCCTGGCCTCAGGTGATCCACCCGCCTTGGCCTCCCAAAGTGCTGGAATTACAAGTGTGAGCCACTGCGCCCAGCCTTAGATCTTATTTGATAGATTAACAATGTACAAGTATTACTGGATCACAAATTCATTTTTAAAATATTTTGATAGCTATTCAATACTTGTTTCCTCTGCTATGAATTCATTTTATACATTTAAAAACATGATCCTGAGAAAGTCTTCACCAGATGCCAGAAGGGACTCTGGCACAGAAACAGTGAAGAAAACTATGAAGTAAATGCTTGCTAACTGTCTCAATGAATGAATGGATCGGTGAATTGCATGTTTACTAGCTCTTTCTTGCTGCCTGGCCTTGGCATATACTATTCTCCCTACGTAGAACATTTTTCTCTTTTTCTTCAACTGGCAGGCTCCTTTTATCCTTCTGCTCAGAAGTCCCCTCCTCCGAGAAGCCCTCCCTGATACATTTTCCTGCAGGCTGGGTCAGGCACCTTGTTTGGGCTGCTTTATCCCCCTGAGGTTCCCCCATCTTGGCCCTGACCCCTCTGCCTGTATCCCCATCATCCCAACCCTGACCCCTCTGCCTGAGCCTCCTCAATCCCAGCCCTGACCCCTCTGCCTGAGCCTCCCCAATTCCAGCCCTGACCCCTCTGCCTGAGCTTCCCCCATGACCATGGTGTACACTCCGTGGTGTTAGTTTGGCGGGTGTATCTGTCTCCCCAGTGGACTGACTTGGTCACTGCTGTGTCCCCAGAGCTTTGCTCTGTGAACACATGCTGAATGAATGGGAGATGACTGCAGTCAGGGTCCCCCATCCCTTCCCTCCAGGACCTCCTGAGCCCACCTACCTCAAAGGAGACCTCAACCTCCTCTTCAGCTTCACCGTTCTCCCCTCCCTCCTCCAGGTGGCAGCTCTGGGGAGGGGGCATCAGTTAAGGGATGAACAAAGCAGACCCCTCCATCCCGCCCCAGCCCTTTTTGTGGACAAGCACTGCAGGTGGGGAGAGGGAAATCTGCCCCAGAAGAGGGGGGTAGGGCCTCACCTTTGCCATGATATCAGCATAGGCCATGTACAGGTAATCCTCATCCAGTTTGCTGGGGAAGTAAGCAGGGGAGTGGTCAGGACCCGGTGGAGAGGACCCCCATCTTATAAGAGCTTCTGGGCAGGGTGCGGTGGCTCATGCCTGTAATCCCAACACTCTGGGAGGCTGAGGCAGGCAGATCACTTGAGATCAGGAGTCTGAAACCAACCTAGCCAACATGGTGAAACCCCGTCTCTACTAAAAGTACAAAAAATTAGCCGGGTGTGATGGTGCTTGCCTGTAATCCCAGCTACTCGGGAGGCTGAGGCAGGAGAATTGCTTGAACCCGGGAGGCAGAGGTTGCAGTGAGCTGACATTGCGCCACCGTACTCCAGCCTGGGTGACAGAGCAAGACTCCATCTCAAAAAAAAAAAAAAAAAGAGCTTCTGGTTTTCTTTGGAGGGCCAACCCTCCCCATGTTCAGGCTGTGTGACTCAGGTGGCTGGAGTGGCCATTGCCAGGGTGGCTTGTGACAAATGCATGGCCGATGAGGACTTTTATCTGTGTGGCCATGATGACAGGTAAGAAATGGTCATGTTGTCCATGCTGTCCAGTAAAATCCATTCTGGGAGTTGTTTTGTTTGTTTATTTTGTTCTTGAGACAGGGTCTTGCTCTGTTGGCCAAGCTGGAGTGCAGTGGTGCCATCAAGGCTTACTGCAGCCTCAACCTCCCAGGCTCAAGTGATCTCCCACATCAGCCTCCTGAGTAGTTGGGACTACAGGCACATACCAACACACCTGGCTAATTTTTCCATTTTTTTGTAGAGACAGGGTCTTGCTATGTTGCCCAGGCTGGTCTCAAACTCCTGGCCTCCCAAAGTACTGGAATTACAGGTGTGAGCCACCGCGCCTGGCCCATTCAGTGAGGTTTGCTGGAGCTAATGGTGGAGGCACTCCCTTTCCACTGGGGATGCTAAAATGGAGTGATGGAAGGCTGGAGCTCCCAGAGCCATCTTGCCACCTGTCAGCTCAATAACAAGTATGGCCAATCCCTTTCTGCTTGGGTCTCCTCTACAATGGCCAACACCTGCTGAGTGTTTACACTAACACCATGTCAGTGCCTGTTCTAGGTGCCTTGTATATATTAACAAACTGACCCTCACAGTCATCCAATTGGGTGGGTATGTTAATAGCCCTATTTTATCGGTGGGGGAACTAAGATACAAAGACCCTTCTCGGCTGGGATCACACAGCTTGCGCTGGGACTCAACTTGGATGGCCAAACTCCAGAGCCATCGCTCTCCCACAGGATGCAAAATGGGATGCTCAAATTCTTCATCACCTTGCAGCCCGAGATGGCCTTATGTCAGAATTTCTGGCCAATGAGATCTGTGTGGAAGCTCACCAGAGAGATAAAGAGACCAAAGAAGGCTGGGCGCGGTGGCTCGTGCCTGTAATCCCAGCACTTTGGGAGGCTAAGGTGGGCAGATCACCTGAGGTCAGGAGTTTGAGACCAGCCTGGACAACATGGCGAAACCCTGTCTCTACTAAAAATACAAAAAAAAAAAAAAAAAAGAGAAAGAAAAAAGAAAAATAGCTGGGCATGGTGGCATGCACCTGTAATCCCAGCTACTCGGAAGGCTGAGGCAGGAGAATCGCTTGAACCCGGGAGGTGGAGATTGCAGCGAGCCGAGATTGCGCCATTGCACTCCAGCCTGGGCAACAAGAGCAAAACTCCGTCTCAAAAAAAAAAGAGAGAGAGACCAAAGATCTTGCTGAGGGTGAAGAGTGGGGACCCTTTGTCCTTCTTTCTGCCTGGCATGTGGCTGTGATGCCTAGAAGTGCAGCATCCACCCAGGACTACAGACAAAAGCTAAGAAGGGCAGAGCAGAAAGCTAGAAAGACCCTGGGCCCCTGTCAGTGTCCCTGTGCCACTGCCCAGTCCTGAAGTCTTTAGCTCTTGACTTCACGTTATGTAAGAAAAACAAATCCCTGACAGGCGCGGTGGCTCATGCCTGTAATCCCAACACTTTGGGAGGCTGAGTGGGGAGGATTGCTTGAGTTCAGGAGTTTGAGACCGGCCTGGGCAACATAGTGAGACCCCCATCTCTACCAGAAAAAAAAAAAAAAAATAGCCAGGCATGGAGGCACGTGCCTGTAGTCCCAGCTACTCAGGAGGTTGAGGCAGGAGGATCTCTTGAGCCTGGGGTGATGTGGAGTGGGGGGTCTGAGCTGCAATGAGCTATGATATGACACTGCATTCCAGCCTGGGCAAGAAGAGCAAGATCTTCTCAAAAAATAAAAAAGTAGGCCAGGTGCAGTGGCTCACGCCTGTAGTCCCAGCACTTTGAGAGGCCAAGGCGGGAAGATCACTTGAGGTCAGGAGTTTGAGACAAGCATGGCCAACATGGTGAAAGCCCGTCTCTACTAAAAATACAAAAATTAGCTGGGCGTAGTGGTGGGCGCCTGTAATCCCACTTGCTTGAACCTGGGAGGCGGAGGTTGCAGTGAGCTGAGATTGTGCCACTGCACTCCAGCCTGGGTGACAGAGCGAGACTCCATCTCAAAAATAAATAAATAAATAAATAAACAAAATGAAAAATAAATCCCTGTGCCTTCATTCCCTTATCCACACAAAGGAGATGCAATAATCCGTCTCACAGTGTGGCGGTTAAGTGAGAGGATATAGATATCCCCGCTTAGCTTGGTGCCTGACACATAATAAGCATTTGATGAATGGCTGCCTGCTACTGTCAGCAGCAGCGGCAGCAGCTGCGCCATCTGCATCACAATTATTTATTACTAAGCCTGTCATTAGCCTACATGAAGCTTTTGAGGGAATTACAGAAAACCTCCCCACTACTTCTGTCTGTTGGAAATTTGTCATACATATGGATTTTTTTCATAATATACTGATTTTATTTGAGCAAGACACTTTCTTCTAGAAAAGCCTAGTTAATCTACATTGTCTGTGATACGAACCCCTCAGACATGCCCTTGTGAAGTGTTCAGCCATGCAACGGTGTATGTTGGCTGTGCCTGTCCTAGCAAAGTGACATTTACGTTCCTTTTCTTTTCTTTTTGAGACAGAGTCTCGCTCTGTCGCCCAGGCTGGAGTGCAGTGGTATGATCTCGGCTCACTGCAACCTCCGCCTCCCAGGTTCAAGCGATTCTTCCGCCTCAGCCTCCTGAGTAGATGGGATTACAAGTGCCCACCACCAAGCCTGGCTATTTATTGTATTTTTGTAGAAACGGGGTTTTGCCATATTGGCCAGGCTGGTCTTGAACTCCTGGGCTCAAGTGATTGCCTGCCTCAGCCTCCCAGATTGCTGGGACTACAGGCGTGAGCCACCGTGCCTGACCAGCAAAGTGATATTTAAAGATCCGTCTGTCTTGGGCTCCCCCAGGACCTGGAGGGCCTCTCCTGAGGCACAGGGAAGCTGCTGGGCTGGGGGTGGCCCCAGGACCTTGGGGGCATTTCTGGGGCCCTGGCAAGAGTCTTCACCTCTTTTCCGTCAGGGCAGTGCGGCTGAAGTGCAGGACCAACTGGTGCAGGGGGTCTGGCTTCTTCTCTTCCACCTCTTCCTCCTCCTCCTCCTGCTCCCCAGCTTTCTGGTGGGAGAGGGGAGACTTGGGGAGAGGGTTTCTAGAGTCCCCTCCTGTCACTGCCCCCATGTCCCTGTTGGTCTGGATTTTTTTTTCTCTTTTCCCACATCCTGCGCCCTACTTTGGTTCTACTCAAGCCAGGAGCTGGCATTTCTATACCCCTTGATGTGGAGGGCCGACCCCTGGAGGTGTGCCAAGGGTGGCCTCCGCCCCAGCCCTATCCAGCTCGCCCCCCACTCCCCCAGGCGGGTCCCAGCTCACTGAAAGGTCATCTATCATGCGGTCCTCAAAACTGTGGTCTTCAGTCAGGATCCATGCAGCCTTGTAGCTCTCCAGGAACATGTTACATGCCCGGTGCCTGCAGGGGAGAGGTGTGACGTCACTGGGACGCGCCCTCCTCCGTGCTTCCCGACCTCCCATGCGCCTGCAGCCCCCAACCACCCTCAAGGCCCCATCACGTTGGCCCTCCATTCTCCAGACTCTCCAGCCACCCTTTCTCCGCAGCCCTTCACGCTTCCCTTGTCCCTGGGGGCCTTACGTGGGCAGGTTGTACAGGGGCGTCATACGGAAACAGGCCACGACTGCCCGCCGGCGCTGTTTGGACAAAAGCTTGTGCCACACGGCCTTCTTAGACTTGTAAGGGTGCTCGGTCTGGGGAGGGGATAGCAGGACAGTCACATCCCCAGACCCTGCCCCTCTCACTCCCAGCCCTGGATGAAACTGCCCAGCTGTGTCGAAGTCCATATTCAGGTTAAGACTCACACGGCAGAAGGAAAACCTTGTCTCCACCAACAGAGTCAGGGTCCTGACTCCGCCTCCAGACCTAAGTTTCCATCCTAGGCCAGGTCCCACAGAGCCAGGACCACGAGCCAGGCCACGACCAATTCTACGACCCACCCAAGGCCCTGCCCACAAACTCAACGCATCTCCTCTAGGCCCCACCCCTAGACCTAAAGATCTGCCCCTTCCCTGTCCCGCCCCCAGATGCAAGATTAAGCAGCAGACCCCTCCCCCGATCCATTCTAAGCCTCGCCTTAAACTCGAGGCTCCACCTCCTGCCCTGCCCCAAAACTTAATAGTCATCTCCAGACCCCACCCACATCCTTGAAGCCCCTCCCCCCGCCAGGCTCCGCCCAGAGACCCAGTAGAAAGACCCCTCCGGCCCCACCCACCTGGTCCAGGTAGTAGAGCACGGCTGACACTTCCTGGACTCTGCGCACGATTTTCTCGGGGTCATCGGCGTCCTCCTCGCGACCCGGGACGCCCCGGTACAGAGCCATCTGCCAGCGCAGAGACGGGGAGCCTTCGACCTGAAGGGAGGAAGAAGGAGTGGCCGGCGTGAGGGACCCTTCCCACAGTGTCCGCCGGATGTCCCCTTTCCGTTTTTGGGAGGACTCAATGGGTGAGTGCATGTTGAGGCCTTTCTTCTTCTTCATCTTTTTGTTTTGAGACGGAGCCTCGCCCCATCACCCAGGCTGGAGTGCAGTGGTGCGATCTCAGCTCACTGCAACCTCTGCCTCCTGGGCTCAAGCGATTCTCCTGCTTCAGCCTCCTGAGTAGCCGGGACTACAGGCACCCGCCATCACACCCAGCTAATTTTGTACTTTTAGTAGAGACGGGGTTTCACCACGTTGGCCAGGCTGGTCTCGAACTCCTAACCTCAGGTGATCTGCCCGCCTTGGCCTTCCAAAGTGTTGGGATTACAGGCATGAGCCATTGTGCCCGGCCTAATTGTTGTATTTTTAGTAGAAACATGGTTTCGCCACATTGGCCAGGCTGGTCTCAAACTCCTGACCTTTGAGGTCTTTCTTCAATGCCTGGTCTTTGGTAAATGCTCAAACCTTCACTAATATTGTGGTTACTTTCTGACTTGCTTCTTTTGCTTGCAGAGGAAGGAGGCATACCTTTCCCTGAAGGTGAAGGTTGTTGTGCAGAAATTCCCGGACCTCCTCATCTGTGTCTTTCTGGGGAGACAGAGCCAGGCTGGGTCACTCTGGAGGTCCCATCCTCCTTCCTGACCCACAACCCTTTCCTTCCAGGCCCAGCACCCCAGGAACTGAAGAGGTTTTTCTGGGGTGGGGGTGGGGGTCTGAGAGAAACAAAAGGATGCAGAGGTTGACGGGGTCAGAAGGGGTCCTAGAGGGGCCGGAGGGTCACAGAGTCACCTTGAAGATACAGTAAGGATTCGAGGGGCCTCGTGGAGGTCTGGGAAGAGGCAAAGGGTGACAAGAGGATCTCATCAAAGGTCAAATATGGCCAAAGAGGGATGACTGGGGGGTCAGAGTGGGGCAGGGAGTCTTTGAAGATCAGAAGGGGTCAGCAGAGGTCATGGGGGATCACGTAGGTCAACGGAGTCACTGGTTACACAGGGGCCAAAGGGGGCATCAGCAGGGTGGGGGTTCACTGGGGTTCTAGGACGGGGAGCCCTCAAGGACCAAGGTGAGGGGTCCATGGAGCCCTGGAGGGCTCTCTGGCGTCCTGGCAGGACTCAGCAGTCCTGGGAGGTGCCTGAGGTTCTGAGGGAAGGGGTGTCCTGGTGGTAGCAGGGGAGAAGTCGGTGGTCTTTAGGGGTCCAGGGGGTTAGTAGGTTGTCAGGGTGTTGGTGTGGTCCTGGGGGGAGGGCTATAGGGGTCTTGGGGCAGAATCCTGGGAGGGTTCCTTAGAGTCCCTGAAGCTGGAAAGGATCGGAGAGGAGGGAGATTGTCCTTGTTGTCCCACACAAGGGGTAAGTGGGGTCCCGGGAGGCCTCCTTGATATCCCAGCAAGCTTAAGAGGTTCTACAGCCCGGGTATTTTGGTCTCCAGGACAGTTGAGACCTCAGAGGTTTGGGTACAGTCCCGGGCTTGGGGTTCATGGATCCTGGGGAGTTATGCAGGGTCGCAGGGCTCCCTGAGCCCCTGAGAGTCTTGGGGGCTTAGTTGGGCTTCAACAGGGCCCAGGTGTCAGCAGGGTCCTGAAGGAAAGGGATGGTGAGCCAAGGGCTCAGCAGGAACCCAGAGGTTCAGTCTTGGCAGGGAGGGAAGGAGGGGTCATGAGGGTCTCAGTAGGTCCCAAGGGGCTTGAAGGGGCCTTGGTGGAGGGTTCAGAGGATCTCAGGGGCTCATCTTGTTGGGGGGACTCTCAGGGTCTCAGCAGGTTTGGCATGGTCCGGTGGGGGGGCAGTGGGGTCCTGCAGTCCTCATGCGGGTCCCAGGGGTCCTAGAGCTTTTCTAGGTTTCAGTGAGGGCTCTTAGGTCTGTGGTGCCCTGGCAATATCTTGAACGGGGTCCTCAGGGCATCCCAGGGGCACAGTGAGTCCTCAGCATCCCGGAAAAGAACTCAGTGGGGTCTGAAGGGAAGGCTCCCAGGGACCTGGGGGGCTCAGTGGCATTGTGGTTGTTCCCTAAGGTCCCAGGGGTTCAGTGGGTGCTGGGCGGCATCCTGGAAGGTTCCGAGGACGGGGCTGGGCAGGCACCAGGGCGTAACGGGTCTTGGCCAGCGTGATGAGGTCTTGGTCGGTGGGCGCACACATATTCAGGCCGATGGGCAGCATCTTCTTCAGTGTGGCCACGATCAGTGACGTCTGCACAGAGTACCGGTCCCCCCGGCGCTTCTTCTTGGTGCGTTCCTGGTCCGAGCCACCGGACTGTGGGGACACAGGGCTCAGCACCAGCCCAAGCCCCAATCCCATGCCTCAGCCCCAACCCGCGGCCATCATCCACACCCCAGGCCCCAGTCTGGACACCAGGCACTCCCTCCCCAACTGCCGACGACACCTCAATTTCCACCCCAGACTTGCTGACTCTACACTTCAGGCCCACAGCCATGACCGGAGACCCTCCAGACCCAAGTCCACAACCCAAATTCCCAGTTTCTTGTTTTTTAAACAAATTTATTTTTAGAGATGGTGTCTTGCCATGTTGCCCAGGCTGGACTTGAACTCTTGGCTTCAAGTGATCCTCCTGCCTCAGCCTCCCAAGTAGCTGGGACTACAGGCACATACCACCATGCTTGCCTGGCTCCAATTTCTAACCCAGGCCCATCCAGATTTTCCCCCGTTCTGGGCCTGTCTCAACTTCTAGCAGTCCTCTTCCAGAATCCCCTAGGAACCCCAGTACAATACCCCCTCCACAGCATGCACAACCCCACACTTCACATCCCAAAACCAAGTTCTCAAGAATGAAACAAAGATGCAGGTCCACAAAGAGTTCAAGCGACAAGAGAAGTTGCAAGAAAAAGACACTGAGAGACTGAAAAAGACAAGGAGACAGGAAGACCAAAGATGCAAGAGACATCCAGAAAGATCTGGAAGCAGAGACACAGGGCACAGAGTCCCACAGCCGTGTTCTGGAGCCTTGGGTGCAGACCCGGGGCCAGGGCCACCCCAGTCACGCCAGCGAGAAGCCCTGATGACAAGCTTTTGGGCAGAGCCACATCCACGCCGGCTGGCAACTTTGAGCATGACCCCTGTGCCAGGCACTGCTGCAGGCCACACATGCAGCTTCTCCCTGAGTCCTCGCAGAGCCCTGGGGTGGGGGCTGCTGGCTGGATGCCCTCAGAGGCTCAAAAGGATGACCCCAACCAAGGTCACACGGCTAACTATCAAGACAGGATTCTAACCCCAGTCCATACAGTCCAGAGCCCAAGCTTTAAACCATCCACGGCGAGGGTGCTGCCCCCTCCCCAACCATGCTCCGTGTGCCTCTCCCACCCCCATTACCCTTGACCTCAGCCCACGATGCTTTGGTAAAAGCTGAGAGTTGCTCTTTTTTTCTTTTTTTTTTTTTTTTTGGGAACAAAAGTCCAGAAAAAAAAAAGGAAAGAAGAAAAAGAAAAGAAGTCAAATTGCCAAAAGCTGAGGGTTGGGATGGGAACGGATGGGGGTGGTGGGGAGGGAAGGGAAGGGAAGGAGGATGGGTGGGGGCTGGGAGGGGAGGACGGGGGTGGGGAACAGAAGCAGGGGTTTTCTCGAGGCGGGGGCGTGCAGAGGCTGGGGGAAGAGGGCATTAGCCAAGAGACATGCGGAAGGTCCCAGATGTGGGGCTGACCTGTATATCTCCCGCCTGCTTCACCGGACCGCAGACAGAGACAAGAAGGGTTACCCCAGCCCCGCAGAGAAGCCCAGGCCCAACTCCAAGTTGCCAGCACCCCACCTCCTCTGCCCCACCCGCCATGTATTCTCTAGCTGGGCATTTCCAGGCCTTGGCTCGGGGTGGGGGGTCGTTCTCTGAGACCTGAGAAGGGCAGTGCTGAGAAGGATAGGGAGGAAAGCAGGAAATGGGGTAATGGGGAGAGGAAGAAAGAAATGGAAGAGGGGGAAAATGGGGAGGAGGAGGAGGAGGGAAATGGGAGGAGAGAGAGGCTTGGAGAAGAGGAAAATGGAGAGGAGGGAAATGGGAGGAGGGAGAAGATACAGGAGGAGGAAGGAGACAGAGATGAGAGAAGAGGGAGATGGAGAGGAGGAGGGAGATGGGAGGAGGGAGAAGATACAGGAGGAGGAAGGAGCTGGGGAGGAAGGGAGAGGGAGAGGAGGTAAGAGGGGCTGCTCTGAGGACTGCAGGGATTGCGCCCAGGACGGGCTGGCTGGGTGAGGACAGGCCAGGTAGGAAGTCCTAGAGGGTGCTCCCGCCCTCTCTGCCAAGTGCTCCTCCCAGAACCAAGCCCCGACCTTAGCCATTTTGCTTTTGTTGTCAGCAGTCAGGAAGGACATGTTGTTGATCTCATTCTGGACCACAAAGTTCTGCTCCTCGCGCTTGAAGTTCTGGTGGGGGAAGCAGTGTTGCAGACCGGACAGGTGAAGGCAGGCGCCTGTGGGCTGCGGCTCCTCTGGTTGTGGGGAGGGCGGTTGGGGTGGGCACTCACGTGGGACTTGGACCAGTAGATGAAGATCTCGCCCACCATCCTGAACAGCTCCTCCGCGCTGGGATTCGGCTCCGTCAGCCACTGCGCCCTGGGGTCAGCGGAGGGGAGGTGAGGGAGGGGGTGGGGATCCCAGGGAAGGGGGCTGCCCAGAGAGAGATCTTGGAGGAGGAGATGGGGACCAGGAGACATCCAGTCAGAGGGATGGGGTTTCTAGGGTCATCTGGCCATGCAGATGAACATTAAAAAAATTTTTTTTCTCTGTCTCAGCCTCCCGAGTAGCTGGGACTACAGGGGCCCGACACCACACCGGGCTAATTTTTGTATTTTTAGTAGAGACGGGGTTTCACCATGTTGGGCACGCTGGTCTTGAACTCTTGACCTTACGTGATCCACCCACCTCGGCCTCCCAAAGTGCTGGGATTACAGGTGTAAGCCACTGTGCCCAGCTGAACATTTAAAATTTTTTAACGATCCATTCTCTCTCTCTCTCTCTCTTTCTTTCTTTCTGAGACAGGGTCTCAATCTGTCAGGCTGGAGTACAGTGATGCGATCTCCACTCACTGCAACCTCAACCTCCCAGGCTTAAGTGATCCTCCCACTTCAGCCTCCCTGAGTAGCTGGGACTACAGGTGCACGTCACCATGCCCAGGCCTGGCTAATGTTTTATTTTATTTTTTGTAGGAAGAGGGTCTCCCTAGGTTGTCCAGGCTGGTCTTGAACTCCTGGGCTCAAGAGATCCTCTTTCCCTGACCTCTCAAAGTGCTGGGATTACAGGTGTGAGCCACCTTCCCTGGCCTGACTATTCCTTTTTTAAAAAACTTTGTCTAACCTTTTCATCGAAATACATAAATATAATACATGCATGCAATACATAGACACACATGATACATACATATGTATTATATAACCTACATATTAAGAAATATCAACCTGGTGAATTATCACAAATGAACACACTTGTGTAGCCAGCACCGAAGTCAAGAAATAGGACATTTCTGGTCCCTGGAAGTACTATCATGGCCCCTCCCAGCCACTCCCCCTTCCTCCTCCTGAAAAATCATCCATATTCTAACTTCTAGGCTAAAAACTTTTTAAAATTTTTTCTTTCAGCTGGGCGCAGTGGCTCATGCCTGTAATCCCAGCACTTTGGGAGGCCGAGGCGGGCAGATCACGAGGTCAGGAGATCGAGACCATCCTGGCTAACACGGTGAAACCTCATCTCTACTAAAAAATACAAAAAAATTAGCCGGGTGTGGTGGCAGGCACCTGTGGTCCCAGCTACTCAGGAGGCTGAGGCAGGAGAATGGCGTGAACCCGGGAGGTGGAGCTTGCAGTGAGCAGAGATCGCACCACTGCACCCCAGCCTGGGCGAGACTCCATCTCAAAAAAAAAAAAAAAAATTTTCTTTTTTTCTTTTTTGAGACAGGGTCTCGCTCTGTCGCCCAGGCTGGAGTGCAGTGGTGTGATCTCAGCTCACTGCAACTTCTGCCTCCCAGGTTCCAAGTGATTCTCCTGCCTCAGCCTCCCACTCAGGAGTACTTAGCTGGGACTACAGGTATGCGCCACCACGCCCGGCTAATTTTTGTATTTTCAGTAGAGACAGGGTTTTTGCATGTTGCCCAGGCTGGTCTCAAACTTCTGAGTTTGAGACTGAGTTTGAGTGATCCACTCTCTTTGGCCACCCAAAGTGCTGGGATTACAGTCACGAGCCACTGCACCCAGCATAAAATTTCTTTTTTTTTTGAGACAGGGTCAGAATCTAAGTAGGTTCACATATTTTATTTTATTCATTTACTTGTATTAAAAAAAAACAAACCTTATTGAGACAGGGTCTATCTCTGTTGCCCAGGTTGGAGTGCAGCGGTGTGATCATAGCTCACTGCAGCTTTGACCTCCTGGGCTCAAACGATCCTCCCACCTCAGCCTCCCAGTCCCAGCCTGAGGCAAGGACTACAGGTGTGTGTCACCATGCCTGACTAATTTTTGTATTTCTTTTCTTTTTTTGTAGAGACAGGGTCTAGCCATGTTGCCTAGGCTGGTCTCAAATTCCTGAGCTCAAGTGATCCTCCCGCCTCAGTCTCTCAAAGTGCTGGGATTACAGTTGTAAGCCACTGCACCCGGCCCCAAACTTATTCTTATCTGCTCGTGAACATTAAACAGATGGTAAAATATGTAGTTTATTTCTTGGTTTTCTGGCTTCTTTCATTCCACCTAACATTTGTGAAAGCCAATCACATTGTGCATAGAAACAACTTGTTCACTCCCACTGCCGTGGAGTCTTCTGTTGTATGAATAAACCACAATTTGTTCATATTTACTGATTGAAAAATTGAACTATATCCAACAGCAGAGAATGTCACACGACCACCAAGACAAAAGAGGTGAATCTATACATCTTTTTTTTTTTTTTTTTTTTTTTTTTGAGGTGGAGCCTCGCTCTGTTCCTAGGCTGGAGTGCAGTGACACGATCTCAGCTCAGTGCAACCTCTGCCTCCCAGGCTCAGGCGATTCTCCTGCTTCAGCCTCTGGAGTAGCTGGGATTTCAAGCCTGCGTCACTACGCCTGGCTAATTTTTGTATTCATAATAGAGACAGGGTTTCGCCACGTTGGCCAGGCTGGTCTCAAACACCTGACCTCAGGTGATCTGCCCACCTCGGCCTCCCAAAGTGCTGGGATTACAGGCATGAGCCACCACACCCGGCCTATATGTCTTTCATGGTGTATTGTTGTGTTAAAAAAAAAAAAAAAGCAGCTAAGTGTGGTGGCTCACTTCTGTAATCCCAACACTTTGGGAGGCTGAGGTGGGAGGATCACTTGACCCCGGGAATTCAAGACCAACCTGGGCAACATAGTGAGACCCCATAAAAATACAAGAATTAGCCGAGCATGTTGGTGTGAGTCTATAATCCCAGCTACTCAGGGGCAGAAGCAGAGGATCGCTTGAACCCAGGAACCGAGGCTGCAGCAAGCCATGATCATGCCACAGCACTCCAGCCTGGGCAACAGAGAGAGACCCTGTCTCAATAAAAAAAAAAAAAAAAAAAGCAAACTATTCCTTACGGTGTTGTGCATAGTGACAAAGAAATCGACACAATCTAAATGTCCAGCATTAGGAGAATGATTTAAAAAAAATCACACTGGCCAGCTGCATTGGCTCACAGCTGTAATCCCAGCACTTTGGGAGGCCGAGGCAGGCAAATCATGAGGTCAAGAGTTCAAGACCAGCCTGGCCAACATGGTGAAAATCTGTCTCTACTAAAAATACGAAACTTAGCTGGGCGTGGTGGCATGCACCTGTAATCCTAGCTACTGGGAAGGCTGAGGCAGGAGAATCACTTGAACCCGGGAGGTGGAGGTTACAGTGAGCCGAGATCGCGCCACTGCATTCCAGCCTGGGCAATAAAGCGAGGCTCTGTCTCCAAAAACAAAAACAAACAAAAAAAAACCCAAAAACCAAAAACAAAAAGAAACAAACAAGTGGGCTGGCTGTCGTTGGACCAATGTGCTCAAAGCCAGAAGAAACCAGGAGGAAGAGTCAGAAGGTTGGTGGGGCCAGAGCATTGGAAGAAGTTTCTAGCCAGTCAGGAGGCGGAGATCAGATGGGGCTGGAGGACGTGGGAGGTCGGGGCGGAGGGCATGGGGACAGCGGGGCCCCGCTGACCTGTTGTTGTCCACGTAGCGGATGAGCAGCGGATACAGGGCGTAGAGGTCCCGGCAGAGCACAGAGAACTCGTCCCGCACCAGCAGCTCGCCCTCCTGGGCCTCCGCCTTGGCCTCCAGGCGCAGCTGCTCCTCCTCGGACACCACCTTCCCTGCCCTCTTGCGCAGCCGCCCGATAGTTGGGATGAAGTGGGACTGCAGGAGCTCCGGCCGTGCACGGCTCACAATGGGCTGTGCGAACACTGCAGGGGTGCGATGGGCTCTGATGCCACCTCCGGCCTCTGACACAGGCCCCAAACTCCGTTCCCAGCCCGACTCCCAAACAGCATCTCCAACCTAGCAGCTGCCATTTGACCCCAGCCTGACCCTAACCTTGGATATAGTCCCTGAACACTGATCCCAGCCATAGCCCCTAACCTGAACCTAAGACCCAGTCCCTATCCTGTGACCCCAGCCTGGCACAAATCCCTGACCTCTGACCCCCAACAACAGACGCCTCACCTGTTACCTAACTTTTTTTTTTTTTTTGAGACAGAGTTTCACTCTTGTCACCCAGACTGGAGTGCAATGGCGCAATCTTGGCTCACTGCAACCTCTGCCTCCCGAGTTCAAGCGATTTTCCTGCCTCAGCCCCGAGTAGCTGGGATTACAGGCGTCTGCCACCACACCCAGCTAACTTTTGTATTTTTGGTAGAGATGGGGTTTCACCATGTTGGCCAGGCTGGTCTCGAACTCCTGACCTCAGGAGATCCACCCGCCTCGGCCTCCCATAGTGCTGGGATTACAGGCGTGAGCCACTGCACCTGGCCTGTTACCTCACCCTTAACTAGCATGACCCCTGACCCCAATCTTTAACCTCTGACCTGGCCCATACCCAGAGTCTTACCTCACTATGTGATTTCTGGCTATGACCCCAAGGTTGTGAATGGGCTTCTTACCCCAGCCTCTGGCCCCTTACCCTGGCCTCTGATCCCAGCTCCTGATTTCTAGGTTGACCCTGATCTACAACCTGTTTCCTTACACAAATATTTCTTTTTTTTTTTTTTTTTTTTTTAAATAATAGAGACGAGGTTTCACCATGTTGCCCAGGCTAGTCTTGAACTCCTGGTCTCAAGTGATCCACCCACCTTGGCCTCTCAAAGTGCTGGGATTACAGGCATGAGCCATTGTGCCTGGCCCTGACATGAAACTTCTGAATCAGGAAACCTAACGCTTTGAGGATCCATTTCTTCCTTCCTTCCTTCCTGCCTTCCTTCCTTCTTTCCTTCCCTTTTATTCCCTCCCTCTCTCACTCCATCCTTCCTTCTTTCTTTCCTTTTGTTTTGTTTGTTTGTTTTGAGAGAGTATCTCACTCTGTCACCCAGGCTGGAGTACAGTGGTGCAATCACAGCTCACTGCAGCCTCCAACTCCTGGGCTCAAGAGATCCTCCTGCCTCAGCCTCCCAAGTAGCTGGGACTATAAGCATGTGCCACCACACCTGGCTAATTAAAAAAAAGTTTTGTTTTGTTTTTTAAAGAGATGGGGTCGTGCTATGTTACCTAGGCTGGTCGCAAATGGCTGGCCTCAACTGATCCTCCCAAAGTGTTGGTGTTACAGCTGTGAGCCACGGTGCCCAGCTGACCCCTGGTCTTTTGATGCTGAAAAAACCTACACTCTGACTCCTCCCAACTCCGAGGGGACCATGGGTCTCCCTTTCAGACCATCTGCCAAGGGAGCCCAGGCTGCTGACCCACCCCTCAGAGGCCCAGTGCCCCCCGACCCACCAGCCAGCCGCTTCATCCAGGAGGCCTCGTCAATGCCCAGGTTGTTGACGATGATTCTCAGGATATTCCCCAGCAGGGAGTTGAGGTGGTCAGAGGTGACAGCTGTGCAGGGTGGGGGGGCGCCGGCGGGCAGGGCGGAAGGGGGTGCCTCGGGCCCGCGCTCCCACCATCGGGGCAGGTAGCTGCATAGCATGGGCAGCGTGATCTCGATGACATGCGGCATCTCTGTGTAGCGGGCACCTGACTCGGCCAGCCCCCCAATGTCTGCCATGAGCCGCTCCAGCACCGGGATGTCGGGACACATCTCCTCCACACTGTTGGGGAGCCCCAGGACTGGGGTACAGGGACGGGGGCAGGGAATGTCAAGCCATCACCCCCAGACCTCAGTGCCCTGGCCTCCCCCGCAATACATCAGACACCATTGAATTGCCACCCCCCTTAAACAGTCTCCCAAACCCTATTCTTCCCATCTCACCCTCCAACCCAACTACCTCTCCCAACCCTCACATTGAAACTCAGTGGCCCCGCAAACACTTCACACCCCCGAGCCTGTCTGCTCCCTAAAATCTCACCCCTAGAAACCTTCCCTCCTAAAATCTCCCACATCCCAAGCCCATTCCCCTCACCCCTGCTGTACAGCATACTCCAAAAGAGACCTTTTCCAACCCCACCCTGTCTCCCCGCCTTGTCTCTCTGAATCCCACACCCGGTTCAGTCCCTTGAAACCGACAACCTGTCACTTGCTCACTTGCTGACTCTGGGCCAGGTGCCATTCTGGGAGAACAGCTGACCAAGAAGACAAGTTTCCTGCCTTGGAGCGTATATTTCCCCCAGGTCCACACCTCATTCTAGCCTCTGGACCCAGGACTCAGGGGATTTTTGTCTGTTTTATCTGTTCACTGCTGAACCTCAGGTGACTAGGACAGCGCCTCATACATAGTAACTGCTCGATACATATTTGCTGAATGAATGAATGAACCCTGCCTTCCCTCAATCCTCTTATGCTCAAATACCCCTCACCCTATGTCTCCAAGCTTGATGATGCCCTCAAATGTCACCATCACTAAAATAAATTCCATAGCTCCAAATTCCATGGATGGGGTTTTGCTATGTTGCCCAGGTTGGTCTTGAACTCCTGGACTCAAGCAATCCTCCTACCTTGGCCTCCCAAAGTACTGGGATTACAGGCGTGACCCACTGCGCCTGGCCACCAAGTGCTACTTTTCTTAACTTTTATCAATAGATTCTGTTTTCAAAAATCAAATTAATCTCTAAATTCTCCCCATGTAACGGCCTTGAAATGCCCCCGAACCATAAACTCTGGGGTTCCTGAATGTGTGGCACTCCCAACCTGGGGAATCCTCAGCCGCTCACAGCCCAGCCCAGCCACACTACCCCCAAATTAGGGTCTCCCCAAGGCCCTGTGCTGGGGAGATTTGGACTCCCAGCACTGCTCCCGCCCCACACAGCTTACTGGCCCGCTCCCGCGGAGACTTGGTGGTGTACACGGAGCAGGCGTTGTACTCGTTCAGCTGCGGCTCCAGGAACGCCACCGGCATGGCTGCTGCCAGACGGGCCAGGCACTCCCCGAGGGCTGGCCGAAGCCTGGAAGACGGGGCTGTGTTTAGCTGCCACGTGTCCCCCTCTTTGGGGTCCTGGGTCCCAGCCCCATCTCCATAGAAACGGCTCCTCCCAGAACCCTTTGGGACAGAGCTGCCATTCATCCATGTGTGCCACTTGTTTTGTTTTTTAAGACAGGGTCTCGCTCTGTTACTCAGGCTGCAGTGCAGTGGCCTGATCTTGGCTCACAGCAACCTCACATTCCTGGGTTCAAGTGATCCTCCCACCTCAGCCTCCTGAGTCGCTGGGATTACAGGCACACACCATACCATGCCTAGCTAGTTTTAAAAAAAGTCGTTTTTGTAGAGATGCAGTCTCCCTATGCTGCTCAGGCTGGAGCTCAAGCGATCCCCCCATCTCAGCCTTAGGAGTAGGTGGATTTACAGGCACCAGCGCCACTACACCACACCACACCAGGCTAATTAAAAAAAATTTTTTTTTGTAGAGATGGAGTCTCACTATGTTGCCCAGGCTGGTCTCAAACTCCTGAGCTCAAGTGATCTTCCCGCCTCAGCCTCCCAAAGTGCTCACAGGTGTGAGCCACCGCGCACCGCTGGTGTCACTTGAAATCTGAATAACTTCAGAGCTGGTGGAAACAGCCGCAGCCTCGCTCTTGCTGTATCAGTAATCTCAGCTCAGAAGCGGTCACATGGCCACTGCCAGGGGCCCTCCCCAGTGACCCCAGTGTTGCGTGGCTCCTGTGTGCAGCCCCCGTGGTCTGCGCCTCCCTTTCTTCCCCAGCGAGGCCTGCCTGCTTCACAGCCCCAGACCTGGCGGCTCTACCTCCGTGGCTGACCTGTCCCTGAGCGCCCTCACGCGGCCGCCGTGGGGAACCGCGGCTGCCGCCGTGTGCGGGAAAATTCTTAACATCTACCCTGCTTTTCACCCACCCCATCTTCTTCCCCTGCTCCCTCCCTTCCCCTCCAGCCCCACCCAGCCCCAAACGATGGCTCCCTCTCCTTACTTTTCCACATAAGTGTTCTTGGTGGTTCCCAGGGAGTAGATACTGCACAGCGTTCGGTAGCAAGAGACCTGGACGTCGTCCACTGAGGGAGACAGGGGGCGAGGCTGCGGCATGCGCTCACAAGACAAGCCCTCCCCACCCCACCTCCCTTGTCTCAAATAGGCCCATGCAGTGGGGAAGAGCAAGCAGATGTACAGCCAGCCTTCCATGTACGAGTCTTGTGACTTGAGCAAGTTACCAACTCTCTCTCAGCCTCAGCTTCCCTACCTGTAACATGGGGATAGTTATAGTACCTTCCTCACGGGGTGGTCGTGAGTATCAAATGAGTTACTACTTGGAAAGCCACTAGAACGGGGCACACAGTAGGCACTCAATAAAGGCTAGATGTTGTTTCTTCCGTGGAGAGGACTCATGGCCCTCTATAATGAAAGTGAGGGGTACTTCCTCCAGAAAAATGCAAACAGAACTGCAATATTGCTGCAATTTTAGGCTATCTTTTTCATTTTATTTAAAATGTATATATTTTTAGGGTTGGCGCAGAGGCTCATGCCTGTAATCCCAGCACTTTGGAGGCTGAGGTGGACGGATCACCTGAGGTCAGGAGTTCGAGACCAGCCTGGGCAACATGGTGAAACCCCATCTCTACTAAAAATACAAAAATTATCTGAGTGTGTTGGTGAATGCCTGTAATCCCAGCTACTCGGGGGGCTGAGGCAGGAGAATCACTTGAACCCGGGAGGCAGAGGTTGCAGTGAGCTGAGATTGCGCCACTGCACTCCAGCCTGGGTGACAGACCGAGACTCTGTCTCAAAAAAAAAAAAAAAATTAAAAAAAAATTTTTTTAGAGATGGGGTCTCAGTATGTTGCCCAGGCTGATCTCAAACTCCTGGTCTCAAGTGATTTGCCCACCTCGGCCTCCCAAAGTGCTGGGATTACAGGTGCGAGCCACTGTGCCCAGACCAATTTTAGGTTAACCACATGCCCTCCAGAAGGCCAAGTTAAGAAGCTCATCATGAGGCAAAAAGAGGGCGGGGCTATTCTAGACTTTAAAGACACTACAGAGACACAACCACCAAATGCAGCAGGAGAAACTTGACTGGATTCTGAATTTCTTTTAAAAAAATCAAAGACATTTTGTGGGTAATGAGGGAAATTTAAATATGGTTAGGTTAGGTATGATAATGATACCGTGGTTACACAAGAGAAGGTTCCTATTCTAGGAAAGCCAGCTGATGAACATTAAGGGATGAGGTTACCCTGGTGTGTGCAACTTACACCCAAAAGTTCAACAAAAAAAACTAAATACTTTCAACCATACAGTGAAGGGTAGGCACACAGGGCAAATTGTTAACAATTTTCTTTTTTTTTTTTTGAGATGGAGTCTTGCTCTGTCGCCCAAGCTGGAGTGCAGTGGTGCAATCTCAGCTCACTGCAACCTCCACCTCCCAGATTCAAGCAGTTCTTGTGCCTCAGCCTCCCAAGTAGCTGGGACTACAGGCGTGAGCCACCATGCCCCGCCAACAATTTTCTTCTTTCTACCTTCCTGTATGTTTTGAAAATTTCAAAATACAAAGTTGGATGGGAGAAGAACCCTATCCAGGTGCTACTTTTCTTTTCTTCTTTTTTTTAAGATGGGGTTTTGCTATGTTGCCCAGGTTGGTCTTGAAATCCTGGGCTCAAGAGATCTTCCTACCTTGGCCTCCCAAAGTGCTGGAATTACAGATATGAGTCACTGTGGCTGGCCACCAACTGCTACTTTTCTTTTCTTTTTGAGATGGAGTCTCGCTCTGTTGCCCAGGCTGGCGTGCAATGGCACGATCTTGGTGCACTGCAACCTTCGCCTCCTGGGTTCAAGCAATTCTCCTGCCTCAGCCTCCCAGGTAGCTAGGATTATAGGCGACCACCACCATGCCCGGCTAATTTTTGTATTTTAGTAGAGACAAGGTTTCATCATGTTGGCCAGGCTGGTCTTGAACTCCTGAGCTCAGGTGATCTGTCCGCCTTGGCCTCCCAAAGTGCTGGGATTACAGGCGTGAGCCACTGCGCTCGGCCAAGTGCTACTTTTCCTAACCTTTATCAATAGACTCTCTTTTTTAACATCAAGGACCCTATTTTATTATTTATTTATTTTAGAGACAGAATTTTGCTCTGTTGTCCAGGCTGGAGTGCAGTGGTATGATCATAGCTCATTGCAGCCTCCAACTCTTGGACTCAAGTGATCCTCCCTTGTCAGCCTCCCCAGTAGCTGGGATTACAGGCATGTGCCTCCATGCCTGGCTAATCTTTAAATTTTTCTTTTTTTTTTTAGTAGAGACAGGGTCTCGCTATGTTGCCCAAGCTGGTCTTGAACTCCTGAGCTCAAGCGGTCCTCCTGCCTCAGCCTCCCAAAGTGCTGGAATTACAGGTGTGAGTCACTGCGCCAGTCCACTTAGGGTCTTTTGTTAGAGCTGCTGAGCTCGCGTCCTCATTAACTCATTTGCCACCTGCCAAGGTACTGACTGCATGCTTTGCTTACAGCAAGAAATCCACACATTCAAACACCCAGGGACTCTCACAGGCACCCGGATGGGTGGTGTTGGCCACACTGACTCCCCGCAACCTGCCCTTGGGTCAGGCGCCCTTACGGATGACGTCATCTCCGAACTGGTGCTGGGCGATGTGCTGGAAGAGGGTGGTGAGGACCGGCAGCAGTGCCACAGTGGTGTAGGTGAGGTTCTGGCCCACGCCTTTCACCTGGGTGCGCGCCTGCGACACCTTGCCCAGCCGCAGGTTCTCCACCATCTTCTCGATGTCCTCCGAGGCACTCTCGAAGAAGGAGCGGAGGCCAGCCTTCACGATCTCAGGGCCTGACTTCATCACTGTCCTAGAAGG
Source organism: Homo sapiens (assembly GCF_000001405.40). NCBI lineage: Eukaryota > Metazoa > Chordata > Mammalia > Primates > Hominidae > Homo > Homo sapiens. Next base: position 38,512,236 of record NC_000019.10, on the reverse strand, counting down.
GCAGCGGGGGAACATCAGCTCTGGAATCGGAGAGTCTAGGAGACCAGGGGTTGGGGTGGGGGCCCGATGATGGTGGGAGTGGGCGCCACTGCCTATGGCCCTACCTGGCATCCAGGGAGCGGGCCAGGATGTGAAGACAGTTGACCACAGCTGGGGCGTCTGTCCCTGGGAGAGGAAGATGGGCCGGGGGGATGCCATGGCTAAGAGGACAGAGGACAGTGCCTCCCTCTACATCCACCCCAACCGCTCTCTTCCTGAGGCTACCTGCGGGCTAAGTTGGAATGCTACTGCACCCCCACCCCCCCAGACTCCTACAGCGCCTCCAAATGTCCCTCCTCCCCAGCCCAACCACTCTCCTGGCCTTCCTCCTGCCCAGCCCTGACCCCACTGGGCTGTCCTTGTCTGGAGATAGGTCTGTCTCTCCCACTGGCCTGGGAGCTCCATTGAGGGCAGGCCCAGGGCATCTCAGTCACTGCCCTACCCCCCGGATACCTGGTCCATGTCTCCAGGTCCAGGGGAAGAAAACAACAAAGGTTGTTCAAATTAAGGCAGAACCTGGGAGCTATTTCTTCAGGGTGGGGAAGAGAAAGATTAGGGAGGAAGACCGAAGGTGTGGAGCCACTTACCAAAGAGAGAGACTCGGTGGCGGACGAGAGCAGCAAGTTTGCAGAAGAGGCTGAAGAAAGAGAAAGGGACAGAAGGCAGGAGAAACAGCGAGTGAGGAGGCCAAGGAGACGAGGACAGCGTGACCCAATTAGAGGAGACAGGGACAGAGAAGACAAGGAGAGAGGAACCAGGAGGGGGTCCAAATGATGGAGACAGGAGGGATGGGAAGGGGCAGAGAGATGGGCAAGCTGGAATGTCACAGGCAGTAACTGGGATGCTGGGGAGGTGAGGGGTGAGTCAGCCTTTCTTATTATTCTTTGTTTGTTTATTTTTTTTAGACAGGGTCTTGCTCTGTCACCCAGGCTGGAGTACAGTGGCACGATCCCAGCTCCCTGCAGCCTCCAACTCCTGGGTTCAAGTGATCCTCCCGCCTCAGCCTCCTGAGTAGCTGGGACTACAGGCATGCACCACCAAGCCCGGCTAATTTTTGTATTTTTTGTAGAAATGGGGTCTCAGTATGTTGCCCAGGCTGGCCTCAAACTCCTGGCTTCAAGTGATCTTCCCACCTCAGCTTCCCAAAGTGTTGGAATTACAGGCATGAGCCACCACGCCCGGCCTTGAGTTGGCCTTCCTGGACAGGGTGATCGATTTGTCCCAAGTTGCCTGAGAGTCCCACATCCTGGGAAACCCTTCAGTCCCGGGTACACTAGGATGGCTGGTCACCCTTCAATCGCCTTTGCAGGAGACGGTCAGTACCCAACACCCAGCACCCAGGACAGAGCCTCCATGGGCAAAGGATTACAATCCTGTGAGGTCAGGGGGCTGGGTCCAGGGTCACAGGCGGCCCACCTGGTGATCATTTCCTTCTCCTTGTTAGAGGCGTGGCCACCGCTGCCCAGCACTTTAGCCGGAGTGGACAAGAAATAGAGGCAGTGGTTGGTGAAGTACTGGTTGATCAAAGGGAGCAGGATCTGGAGACGGGTTGGGGGAGATAAAGGGTCCAATGAGGGGTGGGGAGAGCCTATGAGTCCCCAGCGCCCTCCAGCTTCTAAGCCCACCTCTCACCTTGGCAAAGAATTTAATCTCCTGTTCATGTGGGGACTTTTCCACTCGCCCACTGCTGACCACAGCCTCTGTAGGGAGGGCAAATAGGGTTCACAGTGGGTTCAAGGCTGGGGAACCCAGGGTGTTCTGATGGGAAGGATGCTGGGAGCAGAGTTGGGAAATGATGGGGGATAAAGTATTGGTATGAAGTCATTTGTGTTGGCTTTGAGATAAACCTTTCTCCTATCTTTCATCTGATTCCCCCAACTCCTTTTTTTTTTCTTGTCACCCAGACAGGAGTGCAATGGCACGATCTCGGCTCACTGCACTCTCTGCCTCCTGAGTTCAAGCGATTCTCCTGACTCAGCCTCCCAAGTAGCTGGGATTACAGACATGCTCCCACACACCAAGCTAATTTTTGTATTTTTAGTACAGCCAAGGTTTCACCATGTTGTCCAGGCTGGTCTCAAACTTCTGACCTCAGGTGATCCACCCGCCTCAACCTCCCAATGTGCTTTCCCCCAACTTCTTGATCAAATCCTTCTTGAAGCTGACAACTCCTTGATCAAACCCTTTCTGAAGCTGACAATGGGGAAAACAAACTGGAATGGGTTAAGGTCATGGAACATGCCCTTCCTCACCCACCATAAGTGCTTTTCATTCTAAACTTGAATACATGGCACTGAGTTAATCTGCAATAAATGAATGAATGAACCAAATGAAACAAGAAGTCAATGTAAACAAATTAGAGTTAATTTCAAAATGGAAATAAATTTCAAACAATAATAATGGTGACAGTCATAACTGATACTATTAAAATAATAATACTGGGCCGGGCGCAGTGGCTCACGCCTGTAATCCCAGCACTTTGGGAAGCCGAGGCGGGTGGATCACGAGGTCAGGAGATCGAGACCATCCTGGCCAACATGGTGAAACCCCATCTCTACTAAAAATACAAACACAAAAAATTAACCGGGCATGGTGGCAGGCGCCTGTAGTCCCAGCTACTCGGGAGGCTGAGGCAGGAGAATGGCGTGAATCTGGAGGCGGAGCCTGCAGTGAGCTGAGATCGCGCCACTGCAGTCCAACCTGGGTGACAGAGCAAGACTCCGTCTCAAAAAAAAAAAAAAAAAAAATAATAATAATAATAATAATACTGGCTCCAATTATTAAACACTTGCTATGTCCTTGGCACTGTGAGACATGTCATCCTCACACAGTCTCCTTACAACTTGGAGGTCTGTGCAGTTGGTTCCCAACCCCCATTTTTCAGATGAGGAAACTCAGGTGAAGTAACTAACCCCAGGTCACCCAGTAAGTAACAGAACCATGGCTAGTTATGGTGAACATATGCCCATATCACAGGTGAGGAAACTGAGGTCTAGAGAGGGAAGGGAATTGTCAGGGGGATGTGCAGCACTGAAGCTCAGCAGGCAGGCTTTGAGGTGAGACGTGACAGCGAATCCTGCTCTGCCACTCACCTGGAGGGAATTTGGGGGTTCCTGAGGGTAGCTCTCAAGGGGAATGCTGGGGGGGGTCTCTAAGGGAAACTGGAGGGGATTGTAGGGCCTAGCTGTAATTCTTAGTGGCCTGTAAGAGGCACTGGGGGGCACCCCAGCAGCCTCAGCCTTCAAAATAGATCCAGAAATCTGCCCAGTTCTCACCCTTTTCGGCTCCTGTCCCCACCCCAGTCAAGCCAGAGGGACCCTGTGAACACCAGAATTATGGATCACGTCCCTCCTCGGCTCAGCCCCCAACCCCCAACTCCATCTCATTCCAGGTAAGGTCAAAGTCCTCATCACAGCTTGCAAAGCCCTGCATGATCTGCCCCAGTCACCTCTGTGACCTCGTTTATCTCACCGTCCCCCTCGATGACTCTGCTTCAGCTACAGGGCATCCTGACACTCACACCAGGGACCTCTCAGGGCCTTTGCACTCGCTGTTCCTTTGCCTGCAAGGAACAGATGCCCCCAGAGGTCCACACAGCTCCTCTCTGACCTCCTTCATGGCTTGCCTCAGATATCACATTCTCATCAAAGTCTTTCTGGAACACCCTATTTAAAATTACAACTGGCAAGCCGGGTGCGGTGGCTCACGCCTTTAATCCCAGCACTTTGGGAGGCCGAGGCGGCAGATCACGAGGTCGAGAGATCGAGACCATCCTGGCCAACATGGTGAAACCCCGTCTCTACTAAAAAATACAAAAAATTAGCTGGGTGTGGCGGCGCCCGTGCCTGTGGTCCCAGCTACTCAGGAGGCTGAGGCAGGAGAATCGCTTGAAACCAGAAAGCAGAGGTTGCAGTGAGCCGAGACCGTGCCACTGCACTCCAGCCTGGGCAGCAAGATCGAAACTCTGTCTCAAAAATAAATAAATAAATAAAATAAAAAATAAAAATAAAATAAAATGAAATAAAATAAAATTACAACTGGCTCCACACTCCCAATCCCCTCTACCTGGCTCTATTGTTTTCTTCTTCCCATAACACTGATCACCTTCTAACACTAAACGATTTAGTTATTTATGATGCTAATTGCCTGAATCCAACATAGGAGTAGTTGCAGGAGAGCAGGGGTCATTTGTCATCTTCACTGCTGTACCCCAGCATCTAGAACAGTGTCTGGCACATAGTAGAAGCTCAATAAACATCAGATAAGGGGAGGACGGATTGAGTGCATGAACAGGTGTCCTAGGTGAGTCTGGTCTGCAGAACTGGTGTCTGCAGGTGGGGCGGGCATAAGCGGGGGGTATTTCTCCGTACCCAGGTGGGCAATGAACTCCTGAGAAATGTCCATCCAGCGCAGCAGCTGCTGCAGGAAGCCAAAGGCAAACCGCTTTTCAATGGAAGACGAGTCCAGTTCCATGTCCTTAAGGCCTCTGCATGGAGATGTGGAGAGAAGGATCAGCCCAGACGCCGGCCCTACAGTTTCCCACCCTTCTCAGGTCCGCCTCTGCTCCTGCTGGCCCCGTCTCTATCAGCTTTGGCTTCACCCCAGGTTGGGGCTCCACTCTGAGTCCCCCATGCCCCACCCCACTTAGCCTTCTCCCCTCTCTGGCCCCACCTCTGTTCCCCAGGGCCGGCCCCTCTCAGCCTCCTCCCCTTTGGCCCCACCTCTGTTCCCCGGGCCCTGCCCTTCTCAGCCCTTCTCTCCTCTTTGGTCCCGCCTCCACTCACCAGTCCCCGCCCCTCTGTACCTCCCCACCCCTCTCTGGCCCCGCCTGTGCTCCCCAGCCCCCGCCCCTCTCAGCCTCTTCCTCTTTGGCCCTACCTCTGTTCCCCGGGCCCCACCCTTTTCAGCCTTCTCTCCTCTTTGGTCCCGCCTCCAATCACCGGTCCCCGCCCCTCTCAGTCTCCTCCACTCTCTGGCCCCGCCTCTGCTCCCTGGGCCCCGCCCTTCTCTTCCTCCTCTCCTCTCTGGTCCCGCCTGTGCTTAAGCCCCGCCCATTTCGAACTCCTCCCCATCTGGCCCCGCCTCTGTGTCCAGGCCCCACTCCCTTAGCTCCTCCCCTCTGGTTCCATCTTTGCTCCTCAGGCCCCGTTCCTCTCGGCTCCACCCCTCTCTGGCCCCGCCCCTTCCAGCCTTTGCCGGGTGTGTTCTGCCTGCTGCTCTTCCGCGGGAGCCCCAACCCGCGTGCCTTGTAACCGCGTAGCCATTCATCTGCAGGAATTTCAGTAGCTCCTGGGCCTTCTCTCGATCTCGTGCCTTCTCCTTGGCCGTGAGCGTGTCGTAGGGGACCAGCAGGGGGTGGGTCCCACCGCCTGGGGAGGCAAAGACCAGAAATCAGGGCTCTGGGGAAGACCCGGGCCACTCTCACTGAAGTGGTTCCTGCAGTGCCCGGCATGCGTAATTATGGTGATAAAGAAGATACGAATAACGGAAACATTGCTTGCTGGTGCTCATCTCATTACCCCATGGTGGTAAACGCTGTTATTATTCCCATCTACAGATGGAGAAACCGAGTTTCAGGGGCATGAAGGCAATCAGCAAAACCACACGGTGAATCCACGGGGGTAGCGTGGGGGCGGCATGGGCGCCCTCACCTTTGGCTTCCAGCTCCTGCTTCTTCTTCCGTCCCCACGTGTTGTGGTAATTTTCTGCCAGTTGTTCTGCCATGGCCTGGGAGTGGATGCAGAGTCAAGGGCTAGATTCAGAGGATGCCAGCCCCCCCAAAGACACCCTATGTCCCCCCAAAAGGATCAGGGCTCTCACCTGCAGCTCCCGGGACAGGGTAACAGCACTAAGGTCGGGGGGCTGAGGGTTGTAGCCTTCTCGAGGATCATAGGTCTGAGAGGACAAGGGGAAGATGGGAGGTGGGCTGATGGGCTAGCAGGAAGCCCAGGCCAGCCCCTCCCCAGGCCCCACTAGTCCATTCTACCCCCTCCACCCTCCCCTGGCTCAAGACCCCTTGTCCTTTCCTTAAGGCCCTGTCTCTAAACCACCCCATCCTTCTCTCCTCTGCCCTTTGCAGTTCTTCAGACCCCTGCCCTCTCCTTTCCCAGATCTCAGGTTTCTGCACCCCTCTTGCCCCACCTACCTCCCTGGGCCCCTCTCCTCTCCATCCCTTCCCTGTCTGGCCATGCCCCTTGTTCTAGACCCTCCCCCCATCGTGCCCCTGCCCTCCACCCAGGCCCCGCCTTCACCTGGGCACTTTGTGATATCTTCCGCGTTTTTTTCTTTTCCGTCTTCTCCTCCTCACCCTCCCTGGCCTTCTCTATCGTCCATTCCCAGGCAATCATGGCCTTCAGGGACTCCTTGATGGGCCAGCGGTAAATCTCTTTGTCCTGGGGTGGACAGGAGGGTGGGGAGTTGGTGGAATGGGATGAGAGAGGGGTGGAGGAAGGACCCCAAAGGAGAAAACCCTGACCATGTGGCTAGGCAATGGTCCAGTCTGGATTCCAACTCAAGTCTCTTACCTGCTCTGTAACAGAGCCTCCCAAACCCAATCTCCTTATCCCATTAGACACTTGAGTCTCCGAGAAGTCTTACTACAGCCAAGGAATCAAACCCACTCTCTCGGAGTCTCTACCCACTCTACCAAGTTTGAGAGAAGGCAAAGTCCATGAATGGGGAGACCTAACCCACAGATCCACCTAGATGCAAACATGTGAAATTGCCTCACTCCTCCCCGAATCCTCAAATTTGGGGGTTTCATTTTGACCCTCAATGCTGGGCCCCAAGGCCTGGTCACCTTCTCTGAAAAGGTCTTGTAGGGCCTCAGCATGGGGTGGGTCTTCAGCTCCTCGTCTATGTTCTCTCCATAGGACCAGTTGTTCTGGATCTAGAGATGGAGGGGAGGCAGGGTGAGGGGGAGGCAGCAGTTGGGGACACACGGGGCGACCCTGGAGGAGCCGAGGACAGAGAATCCTGGGGGGGTCCCAGAACAAGCTAAGGGTCTTAGGGAAGGCTGGGGGGTCTCAGGGAGATCTGGGGCCTCAGGGAAGAACCAGGTCGGGGGGAAAGCTGGGGTCTTGAGGGTTTCTTGGATAGGAGGACCCTGAGGCCAACCTTGTCGAAGGCCCACTTCTCGTGTGTGTACTCCGCAAACTTGTTAATGAAGGAGTCCAGCTTCTCCGGGATGATCACACTGTTGGGGGCACAGGGTCAGCAGATGTTGGAGCTGGGGTTCCCTCCACCCCTGAAATCTTCCTCTCTGTCTCCCAGCCCCCAGGCCTCACTTGAGGGTCTCCACAGGCCGGGGATCAAAGTTGCCTTCAGCATCCACTGTGGCCTTTTTCTCTGCCTTAGATGAGTATGAGGCATCCACATAGTCGGGGGGCAGAGCCCCGGCAATGGCGCACAGACAAGGCATGGCCATGCGGTACAGCTCCGGGTCGTATTTCTGGGAAAACCGGGTGAAGCAGGGGTAGGAGGTCGCTATAAGCCTTACTGACCCCCAGGACCTCAAACTCACACACTGCAATCATCAGCCCTCCTCCCTGAACCCCAAACCTGAATTATGGTCCCTCTCCTTGAAACCCAAATGTCAGTCCCAATTGTATGCTCAAATCATCCCCATATTGCCCTCTCCAAGCTCCCAAACTAGAGGTCCACCCCCTCTTTCATAACCTCCAAATCGAAGCCTCAACCCATAGATCCTCCTAGATCCAAACTTGCAGAACCTTCTCCTCCTTGAACCCCCCAAAATTGAGGGATTTCACTCTGGACCCCCAATTTTGGGCCCCAAACCCTCCACATAGGCCATTTTGGGGCTCCCTGCTGCCCAGACCTTATGGGCCAGAGAGTCAAAGATGCCCCAGAAGAGTTTCCGTGTGAGGTGCAGCTCCTCCTCTGAGGTGACCCCGAAGTTGGCCCAGCCCGTGGGTAGGCAGTAGTACTTCCAACAGCGCTCATAGTGGTTGGTGAGGAGCTGGGTGGGAACAAGAGGGGGACACACAAATGAGGGGGGCACCAGCGAATGGCAGGCAGACGAAGGCCCAGAGAGACACAGGCATGCCAGTGCTTTTAAATTATGAAGGAGGTGTGGGTTATGCAAATGATATGCTAATAAGGGAAGAAATGGTATGTTTATTGAGGAGTGGTCCTAGACAGCTTAGTATGCAAATTTAGCATTCTTAATTTAGAGTTAAAATGGGCATTAAACTAGAGCTGGTTGTGTCTGGTATTGCTTTACACAAATAAGCGTGCTAATATTAATCCATGGGTATGTAGTGAGTAAATGGGCATATGGATGCAGCAATCTGTGCTTATGTAAATTAACATACCAAGTAGAAACAAAGGCTGCACCCCATGCAAATATATGGTAATTGGGAAGAGGGCCTCCACTATCCAAAATGCAAATTTTTTTTTTTTTTTTGAGGTGGAGTCTCACTCTCTTGACCAGGCTGGAGTGCAGTGGCACGATCTCGGCTCACTGCAACCTCCGCCTCCCAGGTTCAAGAAATTCTCCAGCCTCAGCCTCCAGAGTAGCTGGGATTACAGGCGTGCTCCACTATGCCTGGCTTATTTTTGTAGTTTTAGTAGAGATGGGGTTTCGCCATGTTGGCCAGGCTGGTCTCGAACTCCTGACCTCAAGTGATCTGCCCACCTCGGCCTCCCAAAGTGCTGGGATTACAGGCGTGAGCCACCGCGCCTGGCTAAAATGCAAATTTGAAATAGGAGCTGATTTCGATGTATTATGCAAAATAGTCAAAATATCTGAGTTGGGGGTATCTCTTTATGCAAATTAGCATGCAAATGAAAAAATAAGAGAGACAGTGTGCAAATATTCAGAATAGCTGTGATAATGTTTATTCAAATAAATGCACTCATTTGAATAGTGGAAGTCTGGTGGTCCAGGCATGCAAATAAACATGCTAATTAGGGAAAGTGGTGTGCTCCATGCAAATATATGCTAATTGAAGCGGGGGCTGGCTCACTGTTAAGCAAATTAAATGCTAATTAGGGAACGCTAGAGGCATCAATGAAGCAAAGTGAATGTTCTGGGAATCCTAGTATGCAAATAAGGATGCTAAGAGATTTCTACGGGGACGCTGCCCTAACTAGTGCAGGTTTATTGGGCTGGGCAGTGCCGACACAAATGAGCCCCGCAGTAGGAGGGAAGAGCAAACCAGTGGGTGCGGCCTGGAAATGAGATGCTAAAGAGCGCTTGCCCTCACCTTGAGTGGCATCTTGGCGAACTCGTTGAGGATGGGCACGTCGAACACCAGGCGGCGCAACAGGTGCTGCAGCATCGACGGGCGGATGTACCTGCGGGACAATGCACAAGATGTAGAATCCCCCGTCCAGGCCCGCTCTGCTGCCCCTGCCCCTGCTCCTCCCCCTGCCCCTGCCCCTGCCCCTGCCCCTGCCCCTGCCCCTGCCCCTGCCCCTGCCCCACCCTGAAGCCTGCCCCGCTCCACCTGCAGAGCGACATGAGGCAGTCCTCGATGACGTCACGCTGCGCCTTGGTGAGCGAACGACCCCGAGACAGGCGGTACACGGTATGCAGCATAGAGTCCACCATGATGGCGCGGTGTTCTGTGCCCGCAAAGAGCGGCGCACACTTGGTGATGAGCGGCAGCACGGCCAGGCACAGGTAGCGGTTCAGCGCCAGCGCCATCTCGGTGGTGCTGAAAGTGGCCTAGGGCGCAGGGTGAGGACATCAGGCCCGCTGCACACCCCTGGGGCTGCTCTGGCACCTGTCTTGAGCGACTGTGGCCAAAGGATCCAAGCTTCTGATGACTCCCCCAAAACCTGCTCCTCCCAATCTCTACCACCCTCCTCCCACCCTATGCCCACACCCCTATGCCCACAGCCCCCACCCCACCACTTACTACTTTGGATTATGCAAAATTTCAAACACACACAACTGGTCGATGAGATTAATGAACCCCATTACAGATTTGGCTCTTCTGTAAATATCAATGGTCTGCACGCTTATCTCCTCTCTAACCCTCATCTTTCTTCCTGTAATACATTCTTTTTCATCTGTTAGAGACAGGGGTCTCTGTCGCCCAGGCTGGAGTGCAGTGGTGCAATCATAGCTCCCTGCAGCCTCGAATTCCTGGGCTCAAGTGATCCTCCTGCCTCAGCCTCCCTAGTAGCTAGGACTACAGGGACGCACCTCCATGCCTGGCTAATTTATTTTTCTTTTTTTTTTCTGAGATAAGGTCTCGCTCTGTCGCCCAGGCTGGAATGCAGAGATGTAATCATGGTTCACTGCAGCCTCAATGTCTGTCCCTCAAGTGATTCTCCCACCTCAGCCTCTCTAGTAGAGGGGACTACAGGTGTGCAGCACCATGCCCAGCTAATATTTAAATTTTTTTTGTAGAGACAGGATCTCTCCATGTTGCCCAGGCTGGTCTCAAAATCCTGGCTTCAAGCAACCCACCCGCCTCGGCCTCCCAAAGTTATTACAGGGGTGAGCCACCATGCACAGCCCCAGGCTCTCTTAAACCCCCTCTCGGAAGGCTTCTGTCCCCTGCTGAAACTGCTCATCCCCATTTCCAGTGACCTTGACTTTGCCAAATCGGTGGTCACTTCTCAGTGCTCATCTTCCTTGCCCTGTCACCCTTCTGTTATTGCTGTTCCTGTACAGAGTTCTGTGTGCCCACAGTACCAAACCAATACTGCGAACAAAATATTTTTTTTGAGATGGAGTCTCGCTCCATTGCCAGGCGGGAGTGCAGCGGCACGATCTCGGCTCACTGCAACCTCCGCCTCCCCGGTTCAAGTGATTCTCCTGCCTCAGCCTCCTGAGTAGCTGGGATTACAAGTGTGCGCCACCACGTCTGGCTAATTTTTGTACTTTTAGTAGAGATGCGGTTTCACCATGTTGGTCAGGCTGGTCTCGAACTCCTGACCTTGTGATCCGCTCGCCTCGGCTCCCCAAAGTGCTGGGATTACAGGCGCGAGTCACCACGCCTGACCTCAAATGATGATTTCTTATAACTGGAGGTCTTGGAGATTCCTACTCACCCTTCATCGGAATTCAGTGTTTCTTCGTTTTCATTTTCTATCTTGATGATGGTATTGGGGATTATGATATGTCCACAATCCCAAGAAAAACAAAAGCAGCTGCTGCTGCTCTACCGTGACCCATCTCCTGTCCCTCTGTGGAAGTGGGGAGGGTGGCCAGGCTGGGCAGGGTTGCTCACCGTGTCCAGCGAGGCGGCTGCCCTCATGTCGGGCAGGAACCCCACGTCCAGCACGTGCAGCAAGAAGTCCTGGTTCTCGATGCCATACACACGGTCCAGGAAGAGCACCATGGACGCCTTGTGGTCCGGCACGAAGGATGCTGACATCTTTGGCTGCACCAGAGCCCCATCTGCAGGCAGGGAGGGTGGGTTCGGGGATGCCCTGCGGACCCAGCCGCTCCCTCCCCAGCATCACTCCTTCGCCAAGTTCCATCCCCTCTGCACCTTTGCCCAGGGTGGGAATCTGCAGTGGGAGGCTGATGATGCCCACAAGGTCCTCCAAGGGCACAAGGGAGCGGAGGATGGCGCGGATCCGCAGGGCCTCACCCTTGCCGGCTTGGATTAGCTGGGGAGTAGAGGGAGGGAGAGGGGCACTCATCAGGCGCTGGTGCCCCACTCAGTGACTGCTCTGCTCCCTCCCTTACCACACAGGAGGGTAGAGCAGGCCTCTTTCTCAGGAGGCTGTCTAGAGTTTCCAGCCCTCGTTCCTCTGCCTGTGCCCCCCCACCCCAGTCCCGACCTCTCTCCTTGTTCCCCCCAACCTCATCCTGACCCCTCTCCCTGCGACCCCTCATCCTGGCCCCGACCCCTATCCCTGTGACCCCATCCCCATCCTGACCCCTCTCCCTGTGTTCCCCATCCCCATCCTGAGTCCTCTCCGTGTGCCCTGCAATCCCAGCCCCGACCCCTCTTCCTGTGCTCCCCCATCCCAGCCCTGACCACTCTGGGTGTCACTGTCCGTCTCCCCCATTGGACTGGGAGCTCTGTGAGACCAGGCCCTGGGGCTGTCTTGGTCACTGTTGTGTCCCCAACATTGCTAGTCCAGGACCACCCACATATGGGAGCTCACTCCGTGTCACCGAGTGCCTGCATGAGGCGTTCAAAGCGGCTGTGCCTGCCCTCCCTTCCCATCCTGCCCTGGCTCAGGGTCTCACATGCATCTCTGGTGCACAGCGTCCGAGCAGGTCGATCAAGGCGGCATAGAAGGACATGATGGCGTGTCCCAGGTGCACCCGGTTTTCTTCAGGCGGTTCCTCACCAAAGCTGCAGGGAAGGTGGGTGGGTTGGGGAGGCAGCCAGGGGCCAGGGAGGGCGGGTTGCCCTATTGAGGAGGGGGCCGGGAGACTCACTGCTCGCGCCGCCGGTCCCTGCGGATGCCTGGGCCATCCCTCGCAGGGTCCTCGGAGATGCGGATGGCCTCTTCGATGGCAGCCAGCAGCCCTGAGCCACCCTCACCCCGCAGGGCGGGTCCGAAGCACTCAGGCTTCCGGATGAGCAGCCGCACCACCACATTGGCGTTCTCCTCCACGCTCTCGCCTGGCCACCCGCATGGGGAAAGGGGGTCTCATGAGCCACCATCAGAGACCTCCCCATGCAGCCCCAGGACCCAACACCTCCAGGGGTAACACAGGTCCCATCCAGCTCCAGGACCCAACACCTCCAGAGGTAACACCAGGCCCCTGCCAGCCCCAGGACCCAACACCTCTAGGGGTAACACCAGGCTCCCGCCAGCCCCAGGATCCAACACTGCCAGCCACAGGACCCAACACCTCCAGGGGTAACACAGGCCCCTGCCAGCCCCAGGCCTGCTGGAAGGGATTCCTGCCTGGACCCCATCTGTGGCTCAGGGTGCGAGCAGTCATCTCGAGGGAGGTGTGTGACCAGTGACTCCATACTTCCCGCTCTGCCACTGCCACCCCCTCCTCACCGTTGACGAAGACAGCAAAGCGCAGGAAGTCCAGGTAGCGCTCTCCACCACAGGGGTTCCAGCCAATGTCTGGGTACCCTTTGGCCACAAGCATGGGGCAGCTCTGGAGGCCACAGCCTGCCAGGTAGGACACAACCTGGGGGCAGAAGGGGCTCAGTCAGAGACCAGACCCATGCCACCTTCCTCCTGGGGCTCAGCCCTCTGCCCTGCCCTGCCCTGCCCTGCGGCTCCTCAGTCCGGTTCAGCTCTGATCCCTCGGCCCATTAGCCCTGGTCCTGTCAGAGGCCTGTAAACTACAGCAACTCCATCTTGAACAGGAGCTTGAGACCTACTGGGCTGCATTCCCAGATGGTTAAGGCATTCTAAGTCACAGAACAAGATAGAAGGTTGGCACAAGATACAGGTCATAAAGTCCTTGCTGATAAAATAGGCTGCAGTAAAGAAGCCGGCCAAAACCCACCAAAACCAAGATGGCAACGAGAGTGACCTCTGGTCATCCTCACTGCTGCACTCCCACCAGCGCCACGACAGTTTACAAATGTCATGGCAATATCAGAAAGTTACCCTACATGGTTTAGAAAGGGGAGGCATGAATAATCCACCCCTTGTTATGCTAAACAGCATATCATCAAGAAATAACATAAAAATGGGCAACCAGCAGCCCTTGGGGCTGCTCTGTCTATGGATTAGCCATTCTTTTATTCCTTTACTTTCCTAATAAACTTGCTTTCACTTTACTCTATGGAGTTGCCCTGAATTCTTTCTTACATGAGATCCAAGAACCTTCTCTTTGGGCCTGGATCCAGACCCCTTTCCTGTAGCGGTTCTGTCCACCCTTGTCTCCCACCTGGACCACAACACGAGCCTCCTCCCTGTCCTTCTGTCCTTCTGCCTTCCCCTCAATCTGTTCCCCACACACAGCCAGAGGGACCCTGTGAACACCTGAGTCAGGTCACGTCCCTCCTCTGCTCAGAATCCTGGCCTCCTCTCACTCAGGGTAAAAGCCAGAGCCCTTGTTGTGACCGATGAGATGCCACATGACCCACCTGTCACCTCCTGCCCTCACCCTCACTACCTCTGCTCCAGCCACAGCTGTCTTTCTGCTGTTCCTCCAGCTTATGAGGTTTGCTCCTGCCTCAGGGCCTTTGCACTGGCTGTTCCCGCTGCCTAGAATGCTCTTCCCCATGATGACCACCTGACCTGTCACCTTCCTTCAGAGCTTTACACAAATGTCACTTTCTCAATGAGGCTTTCTCTGGCCACTTTTTTTTTTAAGGGGTCTCGCTCTGTCCCTGAGGTGAAGTGCAGTGGTGTGACCATAGCTCACTGCAGCCTCAGCCTCGCAGGCTCTATCAAATCCTCCCACCTTAGCCTCCTGAGTAGCTGGGACTACAGTTACGTGCCACTACACCCACCTACTTTTTGTATTTTTTGTAGAGACAAGGTGTCCCTATATTGTCCAGGCTGGTCTTAAACTCCTGAGCTTAAGTGATCCTCCTGCCTCGGCCTCCCAAAGTGCTGGGATTATAGATGTAAGCCACTTTGCCTGGCCAGACAGGGATTTTTGACTGTCATATTGCTACTGCTTTGCATATGGTAAGCTAACACTACATATTTGTTGAATGATAATATAACAGCAGCTAACGTTACTGACTGCCCCTTTACAAACACTTTACTGGATTAATTCATTTAATCCTCAGAATGACTCCATGAAGTCGTTTCTATGACTACATTCATTGTACAGATGAGACAACAGGGGTCTGGAGAGTCTAAGTCACTTATCCAAGGCCACACAGCCAGGGAGCGAGGGGAGCAGAAGCAAAGTTGCTGAAGTCTGGAGCCCACGCATTTCACCACTGTACACAGAAGTGGAAGCTCGGAGAGCGAAGAAATGTGCCAAGGCCACCTGGCTGGAAGCCTAGACTGTGGATCGGCCCCCAACCCGGAAGCGTAGCGTGCGGATCCGCCCCCAGCCCGGAAGTGTAGACTGCGGATCCGCCCCCAGCCTGGAAGTTAGAGTGCGGATCCGCCCCCATCCCGGAAGCGTAGACTGTGGACCTGCCCCCAGACGGGAAGCGTGGAGTGCGGACCGGCCCACAGCCAGGAAGCATCCCATGAATGAACAACTGGGTGCCGTTCTCTCCCTGCAAATTAGTCTCCTTCTGGTTGGGCACTGGACCATCCAGAATTGCCCCCCAGAATGAGTTTGGAATCAGCAGGTGTCCCAAGCAGCCGGGTAGCGGCCCGATTTCCTCCCTTAGGCCTGGGGCCCAGCCCTGCCCTCCACACCTTTTCCAGGTCCTGCTCCTGCAATGCCAAGGCCAGCTCATTGTTGTCAATGACGGAGGCAGCAGCCACGTCCAGGGGCGTGGAGCCCTGCATGCCTGCAGGGGCGAGAGGTGGGGAGAACATCTCACTCCTGCTTGTCTCGCCTCCTCTGGGAAGCCCTCCCTGACCACCCTTTTTCCAGCCTGGATCAGGTGCCTCCTCTGGTCTGTACTTCCCTCATCCAAGCTCTGACCACTCTGGGCTGTCACTATTGGGGTCACTATTGTGTCCCCAGCATTACTCATTACAGGGCCAGAACCACAGTTGAGAGGGAGTGTTTGTTGAATGAGTGAGCTGGTGGAAAGTGGGGCAGGCCTGGACGGGGTGCCAGGAGTGGGTTCTGGGGGACAGCCCCTGGGCTCGGGGGTTCTCACCCAGGCCGATGCCACTGTTCTCCAGCAGGTAGCTCAGGTGGTCAAACATGGAGCGCTGGTTCTGCCGGCTGATTCGGCAGAAATAGCAGAGGAAGCGGCAGCAGCTTGTCACCATCTTGGGGAAGCGGATCTCCTGGGACAGGCAGGGTGGTCAGGGCCTGCCCTCTGTGGCTGCCTCCCCTGAGCTCCCCAGCACCTGCCTGGGCCCTCACCTTGGACTCGCCGCCCCCGAGGACGTTGACCATGACCTCCATGACCGTCTCGTGCATGCCCAGCGCCCTCATCAGGTTCGGGTGTTGGTAGAAGACTTTGTTGTTCATGATGTTCCTGTGCACGGGCAGAGTGTGCGGGGTCACCAGGGGCCCAGGTCCGGAGAGGGCCATAGCCACCACTGTGACAGCGTTGGCATTCTTGACCCTCTCACTCTGTGCCTAGCACCACCGCCTTTACAGATCTGAACTCACTCAATTCCTACAGCTGGCCGGGTGCGGTGGCTCATGCGTGTAATCCCAGCACTTTGGGAGGCCGAAGCTAGAGGATCACTTGAGGTCAGGAGATCGAGATCAGCCTGGCCAACATGGTGAAACCCCATTTCTACTAAAAATACAAAAATTAGCCAGGCGTGGTGGCGCATACCCGTAATCCCAGCTACGCAGGAGGCTGAGGTGGGAGAATCGCTTGAACCCGGTATGCGGAGGTTGCAGTGAGCAGACATTGCGCACTCCAGGCTTGGCAACAGAGCAAGACTCCATCTCAAAAAATAAAAAAAAAAAATTCCTACAGCCACTGTGGGAGGAAGGGTCCCTGTTTCCCTCATAAGGAGACTGAGGCGTGCACCCAAGGCAGGCTCCTCTAGGGCAGAGATCTTTGCCATGTTGCCCTTTGTCAAATGTTGTCCCAGCATGGTGGCTTTTGCCTTGTAATTCCAGCCCTTTGGGAGGCCAAGGCAGGAGGATCACTTGAGCCCAGGAGTCCAAGACCAGCCTGGGCAACATAGCAAGACCCTACCTCTACAAAAAAATTTACAAATTAGCTGGGTATGGTGGTGTGTGTCTGTAGTCCCAGCTACTCAGGAGACTGAGGCAGGAGGATCGCTTGAGCCCAGGAAGTTGAGGCTGCAGTGAGCTGTGATTGGGCCACTGCACTCTAGCCTGGGCAACAGAGTGAGGCCCTGTCTCAAAAACACCTAGAAATGCCTGGCACGAAGTAGGTGCTTAATAAATGTTTACTGTGTGAATGAGATTTATTTGACAATGAGTGCTCAATACTGCTACCATAATTATTATTATTCGCATGAGCTCACTGAAGCCACAGCACAACCCTTCAGAGTAGGCTTGGCTCTCCCCGGTTTTACAGATGAGGAAACTGAAGCTCAAAAAGGGTAAACCTCAGCTGGGTGTGGTGGCTCACGTCTCTAATCCCAGCACTTTGGGAGGCCGAGGCGGGTGGATCACCTGAGGTTAGGAGTTCGAGACTAGTCTGATCAACATGGTGAAACCCTGTCTCTACTAAATATAAAAAATTAGCCTGGTATGGTGGTGCGTGCCTGTAATCCCAGCTACTTGGGAGGCTGAGACAGGAGAATTGCTTGAACCTGGGAGGCGGAGGTTGCAGTGAGCTGAGATTGCGCCATTGCACTCCAGCCTGGGTGACAGAGTGAGACTCAGTCTCACAAAAAAAAAAAAAAAGGGGGGGGTGGGGAATGTCCTGCTGAGAGTCACACAGAAGCGGAGCTGCTACCACTGAGGGCGGAGAGGTAAGGGAAGGAGACATTACCCAGGAGGTGAGCTAGCCATCGAGAGACTGAGATCACCCAGAGGATGGGCCAGAAGTTGGGGAAGGGAATGTTATTGTATCCTGAGGGTATTCATTACCCAAGGGGATATGCAAAGTAAGGGGGAAGGGCGGTGTCTCACCCGATGCTCTGGATCATGAGGTTCTCCTCCTGGGGGCCCATCTGCACGATGAGCAGCGAGCGGATCTGGCCGAGGCACTCGAGCAGGCTCATGGTGTCTTCCACGGAGGACGGTGAGATGGTGTACGCCCGCGGCAGGGCACGCAGCAGCTCACCCAGCCCGTCGTACTGCCGGTGCAGGAGGCTGAACATGGCCCGCACCAGCTCGGGGCTCTGCACGAAGTCCTCTTGGGCCCAGCGCACCACCATGTGGGACACCAGCTCCTGCAGGGACCCTGGGAAGGAGACAATGCAAGGCTTGGAGCACCATGCAGGGCAGGTCGGCACATGGGGCCTTGGACCAGAACAATGTGGAAGGGGCCCCCTGTTCCAGAAGTTTTCCCAGTTACTACCACCTGCGCCCTCCACCTGCTGGGAGCAGGCAGATTCTAGCAGATTGTTTTCCTTTTTTTCTTTTAGAGACAGTGTCTTGCTCTGTTGCCCAGGCTAGGGTGCTGTGGGGCTATCACAGCTCACTTCAGCCTCGAACTCCCGGGCTCAAGTGATCCTCCTACTGTGGCCTCCCAAAGGGCTAGGGTTATAGGTGTGAGCCACTGTGCCCAGCCTGGCAAACTTTTTTCTATTCGCCCAAGAATCTCTCTGTTCTGTTCACCCTAATATCCAGCCCACAAGGGCTTCCTAAAAATTTCAATAGGAATAATAAACTGTACAACTGCAAGATACCAGAGCCGACCAGAAGCACTTCGCCATGCACCTTTGAAGGCACATGTCACAATCCCACTTGTTCTATAAAAATACTGTGGATTTGGCTGGGTGCGGTGGCTCACAGCCGTAATCCCTGCACTTTGGGAGGCTGAGGCGGGTGGATCACCTGAGGTCAGGAGTTTGAGACCAGCCTGGCCAACATGGTGAAGCCCCGTCTCTACTAAAAATACAAAAATTAGCCAGGCATGGTGCTGCGCGCCTGTAGTCCCAGCTACTCTGGAGGCTGAAGCAGGAGAATCGCTTGAACCCAGGAGGCGGAGGTTGCAGTGAGCCAAGATCGCGCCACTGCACTCTATCTAGCCTGGGCGACGCAGTGAGACCCTGCCTCAAAAAAAAAAAAAAAAACGAAAAAGAAAAAGAAAAAATCTAAACTCGTGGGCAGGGGCTTTGACTTTCCCCCCTCGGCTGTATTTCCCAGCCCTGGTAACAGTGCCTGGCCCATAGTTGGCCCCATAAAAGTTTCCTGAATGTTGTGGGATAAAACCTGTACCAACGTCAGGAAATCTGTCCTTGTTAGATGTGGCTAATATACAGTTTGCAAAATAACACATTGGCCCAACATTAATGATAGCTGCTTGTCTAATCCCTCAGCATGGTAATCCTCTCATCAAGAAAGAAAAGAGAAGCCCCAAGGCCACGGAAGCCACAGTGGTTCAGGGTTACCGCCATCCCTTAGTTAGAGGTTTGCCACTAAGCTGGTAGGCTGTGTCACCCTGGTCCAACACACACGTTCTACAGCCCCCATCTCTGGAGGCAAACCTCCAGCATGCATCTTTGTTTTTGTTTTTTTTTTGAGACAGAGTCTCGCTCTGTCACCCAGGCTGGAGTGCAGTGGCGCAATCTGGGCTCACTGCAACCCCCACCTCCTGCATTCAAGCAATTCTCGTGCCTCAGTCTCCAAGTAGCTGGGATTACAGGCATGCACCGCCACACCCAGCTAATTTTTGTATTTTTAGTGGAGAAGGGGGTTTCACCATGTTGGCCGGGCTGGTCTCCAAATCCTGACCTCAAGTGATCCACCCGCCTCAGCCTCCCAAAGTGCTGGGATTACAGGCGTGAGCCACCACGCCTGCTTCCACTTTGCCCGCCACTCTTCCCCTCTCACTCCTGCCTATCTACCCCTCCCTTGCATCTGTCCTCATGCCCTCTTTGGGACCCAGAGGCTCCGCAGGCATGGGGCTACCCACCCCACCCCTGCCCTCTCCCCAGTGACCCCAGTCCTCACGGGGTTTGCTCTCCTCTGCTGACCGCTCCTCCTCAGGTTTCTCTTCCTTCTTCTTCACCAGCCGCACTTTCTCCAACAGGCTCATGAGGCGGCTGCCCAGGGTGGTCTCTTCCTCTGGTTCCTCCTCCTCTCCATCTAGCTGAATTCCTGGAAGTGGTCAAGAAGGCGGGAAATGTCATTCATTAGTTTGCTTATTCACCTGCTTACACACTCATTTATTTGTGCATATGTGCATGCATGCATGGAGTTTTTCATTTCCTTTTTTTTTTTTTTTTTGAGACAGTGTCTTGTTCTGTTGCAGTGGAGAGCAGTAGCATGATGTCAACTCACTGCAACCTCTGCCTCCTAGGCTCAAGCCATCCTCCTACCTCAGCCTCCTGAGTAGCTGGGACTACAGGTGTATGCCACCATGCCCTGTTAATTTTGTATCTTTTTCTGTAGAGATGGGGGTCTTGCCATGTTGCCCAGGCTGGTTTTGAACTCCTGAGCTCAAGCAATCCACCCACCTCAGCCTCCCAAAATGCCGGGATTGCAGGCATGAGCCACCACCCCTGGCCTCATTTATTTCTTTGTATGTTCATGTATTTGTTCATTTATTCATTCTATCAAACATTTATCTTTTAAATCAATTTTGCAAATATGTTCAAAGAACTAAAGGAAACCATGTCTGAAGAATTAAAAGGAAATATCATAATAGTGACTTATCCAGTAGTGAATACTAATAAAAAGGCAGACTGTTAAAATATAGAAATTCTGGAGTTGAAAAATAAAATAACTGAAATAAAAAATTATTAGGGGGGTTCAACAGCATATTTGAGCTGATAGGAGAAACAGTCAGTGAACTTGAAGATAGGACATAGAGATTGTCTAGCCTGAAGAACAGAAAAGTAAAAGAATGAAGAAAAATGGGCCAGGTGCAGTGGCTCACACCTGTAATCCAGCACTTTGGGAGGCCCAGGCATGCAAATTGCTTGAGCCCAGGAGTTCAAGACCAGCCTGGGCAATATGGCAAAACCCCGACTCTATAAAAAAATTAAAAAATTAGCCAGGCGTGGTGGCACACACCTGTTCTCCCAGCTACTTTGGAGGCTGAGGTAGGAGGATGGCTTGAGCCCAGGAGGCAGAGGATGCAGTGAGCTAAGATTGTGCCCCTGCACTCCTGCTGGGTGACAGAGTGAGACCGTCTCAAAAAAAAAAAAAAAGCAAAATGAAAGAAATCCTCAGAGACCTGTGGGATGCCATCAAGTGTACCAATATATGCATAATGAGAGTCCCAGAGGAAGAGGAAAGGGGCAGAAAAGTATTTGAATAAATAATTGTCAAAAATATTCCAACTTTGATAAAAAGTAAGTATATATCCAAGAAACTCAACAAACTTTCAACAGGATAAATTCAAAGAGCTCTACACCTAGACACGTCATACTAAATTGTTGAAAGGCAAAGACAAAGAGAAAATCTTAAAAGTCAGCCAAGGAAAAATAATTCATCATGTGCAAGGGAATCTCAGTAAGACTATCAGCAGACTTCTCATCAGAAACTATGGAGGTCATCCATCTGTCCTTCCACCCAGCCAGCCATCTCTCCACCCAGTTCTCAACCATCCATCCATCCTTCTCTTCATCCTTCCATCTATCCAGCCAGCCATTTTTTACCCACTTCTTCTATCCATCAATTCACATACCCATTCATTTATCTGGCTTATAGCCATCCACCCAAATACCCATATAAACACGCATTGTCTAACTGTTCACTAACACATTCATTCACTCACTCATTCATTCATTCAACCAATAGTTACATAGCAC
Source organism: Homo sapiens (assembly GCF_000001405.40). NCBI lineage: Eukaryota > Metazoa > Chordata > Mammalia > Primates > Hominidae > Homo > Homo sapiens. The sequence goes on along the minus strand of NC_000019.10, from coordinate 38,490,831 downwards.
CGATACTGTAGAGGGTTGTCAGGAAATCTTAGGGAAACTTCTGGAGAGGTCTCGAGAGAAAGTTAGCATGGGGAGGACTCTCTGATCCCCACTCCTTACCACAGTGTGCCAGCAGGTCTTGATGAAAGTCAAGCAAATCCTGTCGAATCTCTTCAGGGAGAGGACAGTCTTCCTCATCTGTACCATCTTTGAATTGCAATAGCATATTGATCTAGGGGAAGGTCAAAGATTAGAATGAGGGTCTGAGATCCCAAAGCAGGAACTCTGAGATCAGAGATAGAAGATGCAATTGTTAGTCCATGTCTAAGGTCATGAGTCGAAGTGTGAGTTAATGAAGACTATTTGGGAGACTAGGGCCAGAGGTTTGAAAAGAGTCAGCATCAGTCTGAGGTGACTCAGAGGTCAGGTTGATTCAGAGAGTAGGAGATAAATGTATCACTAGGGTCAGGGGTCAAGCACGGGTTTAGAGGTTGAGGGTCCTCAGTGATCAGAGTCAGGAGATGTTGAGGTTGGGGTTTAGACAGTAAAAGTGGCCAGCGTCAGGGGTCAGATGACCTGTTCCTGGGGTGGGGAGCGGAACTCGCGGGTACGTCTTGCAGTCTCTGCTGCGGTCATGCTGAAGGCTTTTATGAGGAGGCCATAGCGGCTCCGCTGGTTGGCCTGGAGCTTGTCCACATAGCGCTCCGCAAAGGCTGCCAGGGACTCCACACGGTGCTGCAGCTCTTGGTCACAGAAATACTCCAGCAGGTGGCACATCTGTGGAAGGACAGCCGTGTGGGAGGAGAGATGGAGGTGAGACCATCAGGACTTCCTTGAAACTTCTCTTGCTTCCTCTCCCCTCTCCATGGCCCTGCCCAGGTCCAGCCAAAATCATTTCCCGCCTGGAACCTTAAGCCTGCCTTCCTCAAGCATGGTGGCTCATGCCTGTAATCCCAGCATTTTGGGAGGCCGAGGTGGGTGGATCACCTGAAGTCAGGAGTTCAAGACCAGCCTGGCCAACATGGCGAAACCCCATCTCTACTAAAAATACAAAAAATTAGCTGGGCGTGGTGGCACATGCCTGTGATCCCAGCTACTCAGGAGGCTGAGGCAGGAGAATTGCTTGAACCCGGGAGGCGGAGGTTACAGTGAGCCGAGATCGCACCACTGTATTCCAGCCTGGGTGACAGAGCAAAATTCTGTCGCAAAAAACAAACAAAAAAGACTGCCTTCTCCATGGTCTCATCTCCATGGAAAACAGAGATCTTTCCAAGTTGGCATTGCTCACTGCCATATGCATTTCCACAGCTCCCCACTGCCTGAGGACGAAGTCCAGACTCACATCCCACCTACCCTGTGTCTCCCAGCCCAGATGGACAGAGGCCGAAAAGCAGGAAGCAGCAGCCCACCTGTAACTTCACAGACTCTGGCAACTTCATCTGGAGCAGCCCTTCCTCCAAGCCTTCTTCTTTCTCCCCTTCTGCTGCCTCCTCTTCCTCTTTTTCCTCATCTTCCTTTTCCTGTGCTGTTTCCTCCTCATCCTCCTCCTTCTCCTCCTCATCTTCCTCTTCACCCTCTTCCTCCTCGTCCTCCTCCTCTTCTTCCTCAGTGAAGACCTCAGGCTCAATCATCTTCAAGATCTGTTTCACATCCTCATCGCCAAAGATGCCCATCACCTACAGGACAAAGTCTCGGTTCTTCACTGTGGCCTGCAAGGCCTCCATCATCAGGCCCTGGCCTCATTCTCCAGACCTGCCCCTCATGCACATGCCAATCATTCCTGCATTGGCTGATCCGATTCCTCCCACAGCAGGAATGGCATCCCCCGCCTTGCCATCCACCCTCCTTAAGATCCACCCAGGTCCACACCCTGTGTCCCACCCACACAGCCCAGACCACAGACCCAAATATGAGTGCCTCTCCCATCACAGGCGAGTGTCCTTTCTCCCAAGCCTAAGCATGTGCTGTGTCCTCTGGCCCAGGACACACCCTACGCCTGCATAGCTCCCAGCATACACCAGCTCTCAGTCAACATAATGAAGATGCTAACACATGAGGCGAGGCTCACACCTGTAATCCCAGCACTTTGGGAGACCAAGGCGGGCAGATCACTTGAGGCCAGGAGTTCGAGACCAGCCTGGCCAACATGGTGAAACCCCGTCTCTACAAAAATACAAAAAAAAATTAGCTGGGTGTGGTGGTGCACGCCTGTATTCCCAGCTACTCAGGAGGCTGAGGCAAGAGAATCACTTGAATCTGGGAGGCAGAGGTTGCAGGGAGCTGATATTATGCCACTGCACTCCAGCCTGCATGACAGACGGAGAGTCTGTCTCAAAAACAAAATAAATTAAAGTTTAAAAGATGCTAACATATGGAAGTAAAGAGGGAGTAGACGAAAGGGAAGAAGAGTGCAGGGGAGAGAGAGAGATGGATGAATGGAGGGAGGATTGGATGGCTGGCTGGATGAATCCCGAGTCGGAATGGTAGAGGTTTGAAGGAAAGATGAATAAGTGGATGATGATGGAGAGATGAAGGAAATGATGGAGGAAGAGATGATGGGTGGATGGATGAGAGAAGGATAAATGATGTATAGGTAGGTGAGTAGGTGATGGATGGGTTGATAGATGCATGAGGAAGTAAATGAATATGTGGATAAATAGATAAATTAGTGAATAGCCATGAGGGTGGGGGGATGGTTGGCCACATGGCTGGATAGGTTTGTGTATGAAAAGTTGGGGCCAGGTGTGGTGGCTCACACCTGTAATCACAGTACTTCGGGAGGCTGAGGCAAGATGACCACTTGAACCCAGGAGTTTAAGACTGCAGTGGGCTACAATCATACCACTGCATTCTAGCCTGGGCATTACCCTGTCTCTTACAAAATAAAATTAAATTAAAAATAATAAATAAAAACAAAATTAGGTTGAGCAGAGCGTCTCATGCCTGTAATCCTAACACTGGGAGGCCAAGGTGGGAGAATTGCTTGAGCCCAGGAGTTCAAGACCAGCTTGGGCAAAATAGCGAGACTCCACCTCTACAAAAAATTTAAAACTTACCTGGGCATGGTAGTGCACACCTGTAGTCCCAGCTATTCAGGAGGCTGAGGCAGAAGGATTGCTGAAGCCCAGGAGGTTGAGGCTACAGTGAGCCATTATTGTGCCATTGCACTCCAGCCTGGGTGACAGAGCGAGACCCTGTCTTGCCTGGACACGGTGGCTCACGCCTATAGTTCCAGCACTTTGGGAGGACGAGGTGGGCAGATCACAAAGTCAGGAGTTCAAGACCAGCCTGGTCAACATGGTGAAACCCCATCTCTATTAAAAATACAAAAATTAGCCGGGCATGGTGGCGGGCACCTGTAATCCCATCTACTTGGGAGGCTGAGGCAGAAGAATCTCTTGAACATGGGAAGCGGAGGTTGCAGTGATTTGAGATTGCTCCACTGCACTCTTCAGCCTGGGTGACAGAGCAAGACTTTGTCTCAAAACAAACAAACACACAAACAAAACCAAAAAGATGGATATATAAATGAATAGTTAGATGGGTCTACGAATAAAAGGGTACATGATACAAGGGATGGAGAGAAGGATAGGGAACGGGTAGATGGATGGGTGTGGATGGCTAAATGGATTTGTGGGTAGGTGGATGGGTGTACGTACATATGAATGGAGAGATGGATGGATGGATGAAGGGTAGGTGGGAACTGGAGGAACGGATGGATCTGTGGATGTAGGTATGGATGGACGCATAGGTGGGAGGAGATGATTATTGGACCTACGGAAGGAAAGATAGATTAATACATAAATGGGTAGGTGGATAGATGAACAGATGGAATGGTAGATGGACTGCTGTATGAATGAATGAAAAGATGGATGGGCAAATAGATTGAAACTTGGATAGATGGGTACATGAATGAATGAATGGAGTGGGTGGAGAACAAAAGGATAGAAAGGCAGATGGAAAGATGTTGATGGAAAGATCTTGTTGATGGAAAGATGATCTATACACATGAATGGATAGGATGAATGGGTGGATGGAAAGGCTGGTGGAGGACTGATGGATTGATGGATGGATGAATGATGGTTGGTTGGATAGATGAATAGGAAGAAAGAAGAGATGAATAAACATAAAGAGATGACAGGTGAGCAGATGGAGGGAAAGGTGAATGAAAGATAGGGAGATGGTGGGAGGATACATAGAAAGGTGGATGGAGGCCGGACGCGGTGGCTCACGCCTGTAATCCCAGCACTTTGGGAGGCCAAGGTGGGCAGATCAGGAGGTCAGGAGTTTGAGACCAGCCTGGCCAACATGGTGAAAGCAGTCTCTACTGAAAATACAAATATTAGCGGGGCGTGGTGGCACATGCCTGTAGTCCCCGCTACTCGGGGGGCTGAGGCAGGAGAATTGCTTGAACCTGGGAGGCGGAGGTTGCAGTGAGCTGAGATTGCGCCACTGCACTCCAGCCTGGGCGACAGTGAGACTCCGTCTCGAAAAAATAATAATAATAAAAAGAAAGGTGGATGGATGTATAGAGGAGGGAATGAATGGGTGGTTGGATGCATAAATAGAGGAGGATTGATGCATGTATCTCTGGAGTTTTGGGAATGTGGGAGAAGAATGGGACAGAGGAAAGCAGGAGGAAGCCATTACCAGCAGGGTGGACACGAGCTTGAGCACAGGCACAAACTGGAACTCCACGGAGCCCCCGACGGGGTCGCGAGCGTGCTGCCCACCGTCGCGCACCGCCTCCCCCAGCATCCTCAGTGCCTTGTCCCGCAGGGCCTCCAGCGGGATGGCAGGGCTGAGGCGGGCCGGGGCCTCTGCTGCCCCAGCAGCTGGCAGAGCGGCCACGAAACAGGGGGGCGAGAAATGATGCGGGGGCCTCAGCGAAGTGGTGACTCCAACTCCCGGCAGGCCATGCCGGGGGTGACCATTTTCTGTGCTCCTTCCAGGAGGGAAGAGCGTGATGGCGCGGGTCTCAGGCGTGAGGGGCACGATGTATTCAGAGAGCATGGAGCGGCGGCTGCGGCAGGCACTTTCGAGGTGGATGCTGATGAGGAGGTCATAGTAGCCTGCGCGCAGTGGGCCTGGCAGGTGCGCGTCCTCCAGGGCGTGCAGCAGCTGAGCTTGGTCTACGTGGCTGCACAGAGCGTGCGCCACGCGATTGTTGCCCAGGGCGCACACAGCGCGGTAGAGGCGCAGGGTGTGCGAGTGGAAGCGCTGCAGGTCCAGGCGCTCCGACAGCTCCAGGATGTCCATGCACCTGCAGCAGAGGTGGGAAACAGACAGGGACAGATGAATGAGCCTCCTGCATCAGTCAAGCCACCATCTCTTCCTCCATTTCCTTCATCACTATCCACCCATTTATTCATTCGTCTTTCCTTCAAACCCCTACCATTCCATCTATCAATTCACCCATCCTGGGAGAAGATGGGAGACAGAGGCACAGACCCCAGAAAGGCAGAGATGCTTAGACGAGTGTCGAAGGCTGCAGCAGGGAGTTCCAGTGGCCTCCTAGCTTAGGGTTCTGTGAGGGCAGTGGAGCTGGGTCTAGGAGTCTTTCAATGGTTCTGGAAGTCCCTAAGGGATCTGGGGGCCCCTGGGATACCTCTGGGGTCCCTGGGATGGTCTGGGACTTCGTAAGAGTCTGAGAGTCCATGTAGAACATCTGATGTTTCCAAGATGTGTTTGGGCCCCCAGACTGGGTCCCCCTCTGGCAGGTCTGAGTATACTAGTTGTGTTTGAGTGCCATTAGAATGTAAATTCCAAGGGCAGGACATTTCTGCCTGTTTTGTTTCTGCTTTTGTTTGTTATATTCCCAGCACCTAAAACCACACCTAGCACATAGTAAAGTGCTTAGCATTTGTTGTTGTTGTTGTTTAGTGATGGGGTCTTGCTCTGTTGCCCAGGCTAGAGTGCAGTGGTGCGATCCTAGCTCTGCAGCCTTGAACTCCTGGGCTTAAGCAATCCTCCTGCCTCAGCCTCCCAAGTAGCTGAGACTACATGTGTGTGCCACCAAGCCAAGCTAATTAAAAAGAAAAAAAAAATGTGGAGACGGGTTCTCACTGTGCTTCCTGGTGGTTTCAAACCCCTGGCCTCAAGCAACCCTCCCTCCTCCTCAGCCTCCTGAAGTGCTTAGATTACAAACATGAGCCACTGTACCCATAAATATTTGTTGAATGAATAAATTAATAAACGGGTGTGTCTGGGGCCCTGGGGATGACCCTGGGTCCCTTTGGGCATGTCCGAGCATCCTGAGTTATGTACAAGCATTACTAGAATGTCACTTCACAGGGGCTTGGTGTCTCCAGCCTGGAATACTACCTAGCACATAGGAGGGACCCAAAGCTATTTGTTGAATGGATGAATGAATAAAGGAAGGAAGTGAGGGAGGGAGAGAGGAAGGAAGGAAGGGAGGGAGGGAGGGAGAGGGGAAGGAAGGAAGGAAGGGAAGGAGAGAGGGAAGGAGGGAGGAAGGAAGGAAGGAAAGAAAGAAAGAGGCATGTCAGAAGCCTCCTGGGTGAGTCTGGGATTCCTCCCACGTTCAGAATTCTATTTTTTGAGATGGCATCTTGCTCTGTTGCCCAGGCTGGAGTGCAGTGGCGTGATCCTAGCTCAATGCAACCTCCGCCTCCTGGGTTTAAGCAATTCTCATGCCTCAGCCTCCCGAGTAGCTGGGACGATGGGTGCACACCACCACAACTGGCTAATTTTTGTATTTTTAGTAGAGACTCCTGACCTCAGGTGACCTGCCTGCCTCAGCCTCCCAACGTGCTGGGATTACAGGTGTGAGGCACTGTGCCTGGCCACGTTCAGAGTTCTTAAGAGTAACCCTGCCATCCATGTGAACGCATCTGTGGCCCTAGGTGTGTCTGGGTCCCCTGGGGTGGGTTTGAAATATCCACGGGATTCTTCTTAAAGCCTCCCTGCATATGCCCAAGAGACTCTAGGGTGCATCCAAGCCTCCCTGAATCATGTCCAGGGATCCTGGGGTGTACTTGGGGCCCCCTGGGGTGTTGATGTGGGTCTGGCTCCCTGAGATGGGTTTGGGGCCCTGTGGAGTGGGTCTGGGTCCTTGGGGTATTGTCTGGGTTCCCTTAGGGTGGGCCTGCGGTCCACTGGGATGGTGTAGAGCCTCCTGCGTTGAGTCTGAATCCCCCTGGGACATAATCTGGGGATGTCTGAGCTGAGCCCGAGTCCCCTGAGGTAGGTCTGGAGATTCCTGGGGTGTAGTCTGGAATCCCGGGGTTGTGTTGAGGAGGGGCACTGAGTGGGACCCAGACCCCAGAGGGCTTGCAACACCTGCCCACCCCTGCATAGCTGGGCTGGCCCTGACCGGTTCTCCTCGGGGATGTGCAGCGCCATCATGGTCAGCGGCTCCTGGCACTGCACGGCCCAGCCCAGCCGCTCGCCGGCACGCCTCGTCTCCACCTGCAGGAAGTGGTTGGGCATGCGGCTCCAGGACACTGGCATCAGCATCTGCATCTCCAGCCGCGGTGGGCACTGCGGGGCCGGGTTCTTGCGCTCGCTTTGGAACATGGCGGCTGACAACGGCATGATGTTCTGAGGGCAGAGAGACACACATGGGTCAAGATGGCCAGCCCCCTCTGTCCCACCACACCACTTCCAGGGAGACCTCTTGGATTGCCCCCTCCCCTTCAGTGGCTCTGCCCGCCTGGCCTCCCCACATCTCCTGCCTCAGCCTGGCCCCATTAGTGCCCCCATCACTGCACTTGTACCTTCTGCTTCCCCAGCTCAAACTGGATGACGTTCTGGTGGGTGGGCAGGACGAAGACGGCAGGAAATAGCTTAGTGTTGGGTTCCACCTGGCAGAGGAGAAGAGGACGAGGTGAGCAAACGGGTGGGCTGGAGGGAGGGTTGACTCTGGACCTCAAACTCTGGGGCCAATTTGTAGGTCCTCATCTGGGCGTTAGAGGCTCCAAAATGGCTCAGAGGTCACCCTTAGACTGTCCCACCTCTGATCCAGCCAGGCCAACCTCCTCCAACTTTCCCAGAGCAACCTGTCATCTGTCTCTGCACACATCACACCCCGCACTGGGAATGCCCTTCGCATTTCTCTCCCAAGCATACTCATTCAAAACCCAGAGAGTGTGATGGCTCACACCTGTAATCCTAGAACTTTGGGAGGCTGAAGTGGGAGGGTCACCTGAGCCTAAGAGTTCAAGAGCAGCCTGGGCAACGTAGTGAGACCCCATCTCTACAAAACATAAAAAATTAGCGAGGCATGGCGGTCCATATCTGTAGTTGCAGCTACTCAGGAGGCTAAGATGAGAGAATCGCTTGATCCTGGGAGGTCGAGGCTGCAGTGAGCCATGATTGCACCACCGCACTTCAGCCTGGGTGACAGAACAAGACCCTATCTCAAAACAAAAAATTCCAGGAAGTGTCCTCAGACTGTCTTGCCCCTCTCCCGTCTTCCCAGTGGAGCCCATCCAGCCAGCCTCTGCCTCCACAAACAACATTGTCTCTGAAGCAGTCCCGCCCACACCAAACCTGATCTAATTGCACCCTGGGACCCAACTCCCAGTTTACAGGAAATATGGGGGACAAAGGAAAATGTTAAAAAGCCACCACAGGAATGCACCAGCCAGATCCAGGCTATGGGAAACCAGGCCAGCCCTCTCCAGATTTAATATACACAGGAAGCCCCTGGGATCCTGTCAAAATACAGATTCTGATTTGGCAGGCATGGGAAGGGGTCTGAGACTCTGGGTTTATTTAATTTTGTTTATTTATTTTTTTGAGATGACGTCTCACTCTGTCATCCAGGCTAGAGAGTGCAGTGGCATCATCTCGGCTCACTGCAAACTCCACCTCCCACGTTCAAGCGATTCTCCTGTCTCAGCCTCCCAAGTAGCTGGGATTACAGGCGCCCGTCACCACGCCAGGCTAATTTTTGTATTTTTAGTAGAGATGGGGTTTCACCATGTTGGTCAGGCTGGTCTCGAACTCCTGACCTTAGGTGATCTGCCCAACTCGGCCTCCCAAAGTGCTGGGATTACAGGTGTGAGCCACCACGCCCGGCCCATTTTAACTTTTTTAAAAAGAAGCAGTGTCTCGCTCTGCCACCCAGGCTGGAGTGCAGTGGCGCTATCATAGCTCACTACAACCTCTGCCTCCCAGACTCAGGTGATCCTCCTGCCTCAGCCTCCAGGGTAGCTGGAACTGCAGGTGCCCATGACTAGACCCAGCTAAAGATCCTGCAGCTCTCCTGCTGGTTGGTCCAGGGACCACACTTTGAGGAGCAAAGTGCCACAGGACAAATAGCCTGGTTCCTTCAACAAATACATTTCTGGGGGGTTGGGAAAGAAGAAGGAATGGAGGGGGAAATCTACATATGAAATGAAACTCAAGGTACAGAGCAACCACCTAAAATATATGACCCTGGTCGAGCGTGGTGGTGCACACCTGTAATCCCAGCACGTTTTATATTCTGGGATTACATGGGAGGTGGAGGTGGGCGAATAGTTTGAGGTCAGGAGTTCAAGACTGGCCTGGGCAACATGGCAAAACACCGTCTCTACAAAAAATACAAAAATTAGCCAGGTGTGGTAGTGCGTGTCTGTGGTCCCAGCCACTTGGGAGGCTGAGGTGGGAGGATCGTTTGATCCCAGGAGGTTGAGGCTGCAGTAAGCCAAGATTGCACCACTGTGCACCAGCCTGGGTGACAGAATGAGACCCTGTCTTAATAAATTAAAATAAATAAATAAATAAGGTTGAGTACGGTTGGCACCACTGCGCACCAGCCTGGGTGACAGAGCAAGACTCTGTCTTAATAAATTAAAATAAATAATTAAATAAATAAGGTTGAGCATGCTGCCTCACACTGTAATCCCAGCACTTTGGGAGGCCAAGGCAGGAGGGTCACTTGAGCCCAGGAGTTCAAGACCAGGCTGGGCAATATAGCCAGACCCCGTCTCTACTAAAAATACAAAAATTAGCTGGGTGTGGTGGCGCACACCTGTAATCTCACATACTTAGGAGGCTTGAGCCCGGGAGGCGAAGGTTGCAGTGAGCCAAGACCATGCCACTGCACTCCAGACTGGGTGACAGAGTGAGACATTGTCTCAAAAAATAAAATAAAAATAAATAATAAATAAAATAAAATATATGACCCTACTTAGATTCTGATTCAAACAAAGAAATGGTAAAATGACATTTTGGGGACAACCAGAGAAATCTGAACACAAACTGGATATTTGATGATATTTAGAAACTATTGTTTTTTTTTCTTTTAGGTGATAGTGGTATTGTGGTTATGCTCTTTAAGATCATCCTTATCTTTTAAAGCTACACACTGAAAACAGAGGAAACTATCTGATGTCTGCAATTTCCTTCAAAATTATCCAGTGGGTGTGGAAGGGAAGTAGATATAAAAAGATGAAACAAGCCAGGCGCAGTGGCTTATACCTGTCATCCCATCACTTTGGGAGGCTGAGGCAGGAGGATTGCTTGAGCCCAAGAGTTTGAGACCAGCCTGGGCAACATAGCAAGATCCTGTCTCCACTAAAACTAAAAAAAATTAGCCAGGCATGGTGGTGCATACCTGTAGTCCCAGCTACTCAGGAGGCTGAGGTGGGAGGATCACTTGAACCTGGGAGGCAGAGGTTGCAATGAGTCGAGATTGCGCCACTGCACTCCAGCCTGGGTGACAGAGGGAGACCCTCTCTCAAAAAACAAACAGACAAAAAAGATGAAACAAGATTGGCTGTGAGTGGGTGACAGTTGAAGCTGTGTGACAGGGGCATGGCAGTTCATTATACTATTCCATTCTTGTATACGTTTTTAATTCTCCATTTAACATAAAGCTTTAGCCAGGAGCAGTGGCTCACGCCTGCAATCCCAGCACTTTGGGAGGCTGAGGCAGAAGGATTGCTTGAGACCAGGAGTTTGAGACCAGCCTGGGCAACATAGTGAGACCCCGTCTGCACAATAAATACAAAAAAAATTAGCTGGGCATGGTGGCACGTGCCTGTGTTCTCAACTATTCAAGAGGCTGAAGTGGGAGGATCGCTTGAGTCCAGGAAGGTTGTGGCTGCAGTGAGCTGTGATCTCACCATGGCACTCCAGCCTGGGTAACAGAGCGAAACCCTGTCTCAAAAAATAAAAATAAAAAATAAGCCAGGCACAGTGACTCAAGCCTGTAATCCCAGCATTTTGGGAGGCCAAGGTGGGGAGATCGCTTGAGCCCAGAAGCGAGAGACCAGCCTGGACAATATGAGGAAAACCCATCTCTACAAACAATACACACAAAAAATCAGCTAGTCAAGGTGGTGCATGCCTATAGTCCCAGCTACTTAGGAAGCTGAGACAGAAGGATTGCTTGAGCCTGGGAAGTTGAGGCTGCAGTCAGCTGTGATCACACCACTGCACTCCAGCCTGGGGGACAGAGTGAGGCCCTGTCTCAAAATAAAGAAAATAAAATGCAATAAAATTTCATAACCAACAATGGATGCCAAAAAATTAAAATAAAGTTGTACAAACCCACCTTAGATTAATGGACAGGTAGGTGAATATGTGATAAAGCCAATATCTACAACATTGATAGTAGATTCCAGGTGGTGGGTACAGGGTGTTATCTACATAGCTCCTTCAATTTTGCTGTATGATTGAAATTTTTCAGAATAAAATGTTGAAAAGGAAAAGGCCACCTTAGGATTCTGGCCCATCCTAGCGTGTTCCCTGGTTGGAGAGAAGTTGGTGACTGGTGTCACCCAGCTCAAGAGGGAACAGAAACCTCTTTCCAAGGTCAAGGCTGGACTCTGGCTGGGTGTGGTGGCTCACGCCTGTAATCCCAGCACTTTGGGAGGCCGAGGTGGGTGGACCACTTGAGGTCAGGAATTTGAGACCAGCCTGGCCAACACAGTGAAACCTCGTCTCTACTAAAAACATAAAACTTAGCCGGCTGTTGTGGTGCTCGCCTGTAATCCCAGCTACTCAGGAGGCTGAGGCAGGAGAATCCCTCTAACCCAGGAGGCGAAGGTTGCAGTGAGCCAAGATCGTCCCATTGCACTCCAGTCTGGGCAACAGAGTGAGATTCTGTATCTCCTCCAGTCTGGGCCTTAGTTTCATGGAAGTTTCAACAAGGTGGTCTCCCAGCGACCTCTTGAGGACAGCCTAGGAGCTGTTTTTGTTCCATCTCTGAGGTCTGGCCTCAGGGGACATCTATAAGAGCTGTCCTGGGATGCTGGGACATGATGCTCTCGCTAAATTGCTGTGGCCTGGACTCACCTGGAAAAAGGTGTTGCTCTCTTTGCCATTGGCTGTAAAGGTCATTAAGCCAGTGGCCAAGTCCACCAGGCACCCAATGACAAGGTCCGTGTGGCTGATCCGGCCCTGCTGCCCGGGACTCACAAAGTCTCCGCCCCACACCATGTAGCAGTTGCTACACTTGAGGCTGCAGGAGACAGAAGCGGTCACTGCACTCCTCATGTGAGTAGCTCTGGACCCTGGACACCCCCTTCCCCAAGCTCCCGGAAACACACAACCTCAGAGTCCCATCCCCAAACACCCACCGCCTGCAGACCTGAGAGCTGAAACCCCTCGCCCCGGACACTGAGCTCTTCGGAGCTGGGATTCCTAGCAGCTGGCGCAGTGGGGAGTCAGGATGGGGGTGGGGGTCTGAAAGGAGGGAAAGCAAGGGAAGCAGGAGGAGAGAGAATGAGATGACAGAGAAGGAGAAGGGTGAGATGAAACAGGATGAGAAGGAAAAGGAGAAAATGGAATAGGAGAAATGCATAAAGAGGAGGAGGAGGAGAAGAAAAATACCAGGGCAGGAAGAGAGGAGGAAAAAGAGGAGGAGGGAAGCTTCCGAGCTGGGTGCCCAGTGCCCCAGAGAATCCTCCCGCTCCAGAAAGTTCCTAGGTCCCACAACCAGGCAGCCACAGAGCTGGTGTCGGGAGCTCTGACTGCCTCCTGCCCTCCCCACCCTGCACCTCCCACCTCCCCCCAGCCCCGGCACCTGCTGTGGACGTTGCCTTGTTCATCCCCCATGGTCACCGTCACGACCCGGACCTTGCTGAGGTCGAAGCTCATGTCGTGCTGATGGTAGTCAGGGGTGACCCAGCCCGCCCACACGCAGCTGGGCTCCTGTCCAGCAAAGACCCTCACGGAGTAATAGTACTGGTGACACAAGGAGGGGAACTAGTGGTCAGTCTGGAAGTCAGGGACTCGGGCTCCCTGGGACTCGAAATTGGTTTCCCTGGACTGTTGGGTCCTCTGGGAGTTTAACAGGAAGTTGTTGGATCTGAGTCCCCCACCCCCTGGTTATGTCTGTTTCTGTGTCAATTTGTGCAATTCTAGATTTAGGAGTCCCTTGGGAATATTGTGTGACAGTGCCATATTTGGGTTCCTCCCAGGTTACAGTAGACTGACAAATAAATAATTGCAGGCCAGGCATGGTGGCTCACGCCTGTAATCCCAGCACTTTGGGAAGCTGAGGAAGGTGGATCACCTGAGGTCAGGAGTTTGAGACCAGCCTGACCAATATGGTGAAACTCTGTCTCTACTAAAAGTACAAAAATTAGCCGGGCATGGTGGTGGGCGCCTGTAGTCCCAGGTACTCGGGAGGCTGAGGCAGGAGAATCGCTTGAACCTGGGAGGCAGAGGTTGCAGTGAGCCGAGATCGTGCCACTGCACTCCAGCCTGGGTGACAGAGTGAGACTCCATCTCAAAATAAAAAAATACAAAAAATAATTAAATAATTGCTCACAAATAGCACTGACTGTGCTAAGGTCTTTTTTTTCTTTCCTTCTTCTTCTTCTTTTTTTTCTTTCCTTATTTTTTTATTTTTATTTTTTTTGAGTTGCAGTCTCCCTCTGTCATCCAGGCTGGAGTGCAGAGGCACCATCGTAGCCTGCAGCCTCAAATTCCTGGATTGAAGTGATCCTCTCACCTTGGCCTCCCAACGTTCTGGGACTACGGGTGTGAGCCATCATGCCAGGCCTGTTCTAAGGTCTACACAGATTAACTCACTTCATCCTCCATATCAGGTAGGTATAATTTTTACCCCCATTCTACTGATGGAAAACCATAGCACCTCCATAGGAGAGAAGGCATAGAGTGGTGAAATGACTTTTGCCCAAGTGGCACCCAGTCGGCCCATGATCTAATCTCGAGGCCAGGGATCCCCAACCCCAGGCTGTGGGCTGGTACTGGGATCCAAGCCACCTAGGGTGAGTACTCCTTGTAAGAATCTACAGCCGAACGCGGTGGCTCACACCTGTAATCCCAGTACTTTGGGAGTCTGAGGCAGTAGGATCATTTGAGGTCGGGGATTTGAGACCAACCTGGCCAACATGGTGAAACCCCGTTTCTACCAAAAATACAAAAATTAGGCCAGGCACGGTGGCTCATGCCTGTAATCCCAGCACTTTGCGAGACCGAGGCGGGTAGACCACGAGGTCAGGAGTTTGAGACCAGCCTGGCCAATATGGTGAAACCCCGTTTCTACTAAAAACACAAAAATTAGCCGGGCATGGTGGCGTGTGCCCATAGTCCCAGCTACTTGGGAGGCTGAGGCAGAAGAATCACTTGAACCCGGGAGGCAGAGGTTGCAGTGAGCCGAGATCGCGCCACTGCACTCCAGCCTGGGCGACAGGCTGAGACTCCATCTCAAAAAAACAAAAAACAGAAAACAAAAATTAGCTGGGCATGGTGGCAGGAGCCTGTTATCCCAGCTGCTCAGGAGGCTGAGGCAGGAGAATCGTTTGAACCCAGGAGGCAGAGGTTTCAGTGAGCCAAGATCACACCACTGCACTCCAGACTGGGCAACAGAGCAAGACTCCATCTCAAAAATAAAAAGAAAAAAAAAAGGAATCTATGCCTGATGATCCGAGATGGAACATTTCATCCTGAAACCATCCTTCCCCGCATCCGTGGTCCACGGAAAAACTGTCTTCCACAAAATTGATCCCTGGTGCCAAAATAGTTGGGGAGCACTGCACTAGGCTGTCTGTCTATGAAATATTTTGGATTTGGGGAAATCCCAAAACTATATTAAGACAATTATGAATTTTTGTTCCCAGTAATATATTAGAGTAGGTATTACATTGAGGGTATTGTGTTTATATGAGTGAGCCCAAATGTTGGGGTCCCTAGTCTATATTGGCTTATATCATGGCTTTGGGGATCCCCAGGAGTTATATCAGTGTGCTGTACACCTCTACTGTACTCCCTGCCGTTTGTGGGCCATAGCTATATGGATTTAGGGGTTCAAAGGATTAAATCTGTGTGTGCCATATTTTATGAGTTTCTAGTGTATATTGGGGAGTCCCCAGTGTAAGGTGGGCAGCTACTGGGGACTGTCACACTAAACTTGGAAATTCAGGAGTGCCTATGCTATGCGGGGGGACCCCAAAATTGAGGGTTACTGGTCCACACCGTGGTGGTGTTGAGGATGATCTCGGGGTCATCGCGGTTGTCTGCAGGCACCACGTCGTGAGGGAGTCGGGGCAGCGTGGGGGTGGCCGGTGGCTGGGTCATCATGGCGACCTTCTTGGCCTTGAATAAGAAGCTGGTAGTGGGAGGAGAGGCGCCATGAGAGCCAGCTTTCAAGCCCAGCCCTCCCACCGCAATATTCATGCCCCCACATCCAGCTTGGATACACCCTGCTTCTAATACCCCAGGTCTTGCCTCTAGAGGGCTGGATTCCCACCTACCCCAGACTAATCCATTCTAGAAGTGCTATGCTCTGCGCTTGTGGATGCTGAGTTACCCAAATTAAAGGCGCCTTCTGGGAATATGGAGGTCCCCACTGGGTTATATGGGGGTCCCCCTAAGTCAGCATTTCCCACATGCATTTCTCGTATAGGTGCTAAATGCACTTGGAAAAGGACAATTCTTCATTGTGCGGCACTGTTTTGTACACTGCAAGGCAGGCGGAACCCTGGGGCCCCCGCCCAGCAGCAGCAGCCCCTCCCAAACTGTAATGACCACAAAGACTCCATCATTTCCAAACATCCACCAAGAGACACAATGGGTTTTCAATCCCATTGAAAACCTCTGCCATCGTACGGATCACCTGAGGTCAGGAGTTCAAGACCAGCCTGGCCAACATGGTGAAACCCTGTCTCTACCAAAAATACAAAAATTAGCCGGGTGTGGTGGCACACACCTGTAGTCCCAGATACTCAAGAGGCTGAGGCAGGAGAATTGCTTGAACCCAGGAGGCGGAGATTGCAGAGAGCCAAGATCGTGCCATTGCACTCCAGACTGGGCAACAGAGCAAGACTCCATCTCAAAAAAAAAAAAAAAAAAAAAAAAAAAAGGAGCCGGGCGTGGTAGCTCATGTCTATAATCCCAGCACTTTGGGAGGCTGAGGTGGGTGGATCACCTGAGGTCAGGAGTTTGAGACCAGCCTGGCCAACATGGCAAAACCCCGTCTCTACTAAAAATACAAAAATTAGCTGGGCATGGTGGCGCGTGCCTGTAATCCCAGCTACTCAGGAGGCTGAGGCAGAAGAATCGCTTGAACCCGGGAGGTGGAGGTTGCAGTGAGCTGAGATTGCGCCATTGCATTCCAGCCTGGCGACAGAGATTCCTCCTCAAAAAAAAAAAGATAGAAAGAAAAAAAGGAAACCACTGCCATTGTAGGGAAAAAGCAGATTTAGTACCTTCTCAGAATCTCCCTTTAAGTTAGATTTCGGGGGGTACATTTGTGACACAGAAAGGATCCCCATTTAGAAGACCACTGGGTATTCACTGGGATACCTTACTGTGCAGTAAACTCTCCTAGGAAGATACTGAAGTCCCTTTTAGTGTCCACGGATGATAAGGTCCATTGGGCGAAGCCCTTTGGGGCCCTCCAGGTACTCAAGGATAATAGAGTTCTCCATATAGATACTAGGGTACCCAATTATATATTCTTGGGGACATTAGGGCATCCCAGGAAAATAATGGGGTTCATTGGAGACATGATAGAATCTCTCGGTATTCTTACTCCACTTAGCATATATGGGTCTACTTTGGGGTACAATGGGGGTTTCTCAGGTTACTGTGGTTGCCTACTTGGGGGTCCCAAGGCAGCCCCCAATCCCCACTCTGGGCCCCCCTCGACTCACCCTCTCTTCTTGTTCTTCTCGGTGGTGGCATCCTTCTCATTCTCCGCCCTGGCGGGCTGCGCCTCTCCCCCCGCCTGCGGGGTGCCCCCGGGGGCGCCCTCCTTCGCAGTCCCTTCTTTGCCGTTCTCTGCCTCGCTCCAGCCCCCAGCTGAGCGGCGCAGGTTTTCGTAGTCAGGGTCGGGTTCCGCCGCCCGGGCCTCGTCCTCGGCGGGGGGCTGCAGGCCAGGAGGTGCCAGCGGGGTGGCCCCTGCAGTGCAGCGGAAGTGCTGGTGGAACTGGACTGGGAGGCTCAGCCGCAGGAAAAGCATCTCCACCAGGCTGTTCTGGGAGCCCCAGGTGCGGTGGGTCAGGCGCAGGCAGGGGGGCGTGTCCACAGTGCCGTCCACTCGGGATACCTGAGGTGGCAGGGAATGGAGTACTGGGCTGGGCAGGCGGGCTAGGCCAGGCCGTTGGTCCTACACCTGGTCACACACGGAGCCACCATTAGGCCATAGTGCACCTGCATGGGAATTAGTCAAGGGCCCCCCACTCCTGCAGGGGGATGAAGCTCCCGGCCGGGTACACCGCTGGGCCCTGGGGTGCTTGCAGCCCTCTGCAACATTTCTCTGGGCGTCGTGTACACTAGCAGCCCCGGACACACACTGGAATCACTTGGGGTAACTTCCAAAACCTCCCTACATCCATCTAACAATCTACTCTGTCATTCTGTAACCAGTAACCAGGCAGCTCAACTTCAATGCTTTTTTTTTTTTTTTTGAGACACAGTCTTGCTCTGTGGCCCAGGCTGGAGTGCAATAGCAGGATCTCGGCTCACCGCAACCTCTGCCTACAGGGTTCAAATGATTCTTGTGTCTCAGTCTCCTGAAAATTTGCCCCAAAAACTGTGCGTACAAGATTCTTTGTTCTCAGACTTCTTTTTTTTTTTTTTTTTTTTTTAGACAAGAGTCTTGCTCTGTCACCCAGGCTGGAGTGCAATGGTGTGATCTTGGCTCACTGCAACCTCTGCCTCCTGGATTCAAGCATGAGCCAACACGCCTGGCTAATTTTTGTATTTTTGGTAGAGACGGGGTTTCACCATGTTGCCCAGGCTGGTCTCAATCTCCTGAGTTCATGTGATCCGCCTGCCTCAGTCTCCCAAAGTGCTAGGATTACAGGCGTGAGCCACCACCCCCAGCCAAGTTTCCCCTTTTTAAACCCTTGCTTTCCCCCCTAGATTTGAAGTGGTTGCTTCGGATGGGAATCCGGTCACTTCTCCATGACTAGTTTTGATGAATAAAGTCATTTTCTTTCTACCAGACCTCGCTCTTGTTAATTGGACTCTGTAACTGATGAGCAACTGAACCTGTGTTCAGTTACAATTCCACAAATAGCGACAGGGCGCAGTGGCTCATGCCTGTAATCCCAGCACTTTGGGAGGCTGAGGCGGGCTGATCACCTGAGGTCAGGAGTTTGAGACCAGCCTGGCCAGCATGGTGAAACCTCATCTGTACTAAAAATACAAAAAAATTAGCCAGGCGTGGTGGCACATGCCTGTAATTCCAGCTACTAAGGAGACTGAGGCAAAAGAATCGCTTGAACTCGGGAGGCAGAGGTTGTGGGGAGCTGAGATCTTGCCACTGGACTCCAGCCTGGGTGACAGAGTGAGACCCAGTCTCAAAAAACAAAAACCAAAAACAATGGACTCTCAAAAGTCTCCTAGAGACTCGGTAAACAATGAAAGTTGTTCTCTTTCATGCCCCTCCTCACGTTGACCTCTCCAAGGACCAGTTGCCAAGATGAACCTAGGTACTCCTTGCCAGCCAATGAATTTGCCCTAAAACTGTGCATACAAGATTCTTTGTTCTCAGAATCTTTTTTTTTTTTTTTTTTTTTGAGACAGAGTCTCGCTGTCACCCAGGCTGGAGTGCAATGGTGCAATCTTGGCTGACTGCAACTTTTGCCTCCTGGGTTCAAGCAATTCTCCTGCCTCAGCCTCCCGAGTAACTGGGATTACAGGCGCCCGGCACCATGCCTGGCTAATTTTTTGTATTTTTAGAAGAGACGGGGTTTCACTATGTTGGCCAGGCTGGTCTCGAACTCCTGACCTCAGGTGAGCCACCCACATCGGCCTCCCAAACTGCTGGGATTACAGGCATGAGCCACCGAGCCCAGCCTGTTCTCAGACTCTTTAGGGGTCTTTTTTCTCTCCTCTTTCTCCCCTCTGTCTTATAAATCTGGTTTCTGCATTCACTCTTTTTTTCTTAGAGACAGGTCTTGCTCTGTCACCTGGGCTGGAGTGCTGTGGTGCAACCACGGCTCACTGCAGCCCCGAAATCCTGGGCTCAAACAATCCTCCCACTTCAGCCTCCCAAGTGGCTGGGACCACAGGCACATACCACCATGCCCAGATAATTTTGTTTATTCTGTGTAGAGACAGGGTTTTGCTATGTTGCCCAGGCTGGTCTTGAATTCCTAGGCTCAAGTGATCCTCCCACCTTGGCTTCCCACAGTGCTGAGATTACAGGCGTGAGCCACCGCATCCAACCAGCCTTTGTTCTTTGGCAATAGTCTACTGACTGAGCTCCCTCCTGTGATTTGCATTCAAAGTAACTAACAATGTCTCTGAGTTATTCTTTCATAGTAACCAATTTCCCAACTGAGCACACCACAGATCCGCTCTGCCTGTTCTTGAACTTTCTGTGAATGGAATCCCACAGCCTGTGCTCTCTTGTCTCCGGCTTCTTCTACTCGACATTATGTCTGAGATTCGTCCACATGGCTGTGTGTATTTCCAGGTATTCATTCTCACTTCCGTGTAGCATGCTGTGCCTTGGGTTGGGGACATCTGGTAGTGGCAGGTGTCAGGAACTCTGCGTCCACTCTGCAGTACTGCCCCGTCCCAGCCACCTCTAGGATCCTTCTGACTCCACTGTCACCTCCTACAATCCACTGCCAATAGGGACCTTTCCAAAACTCAGACCTCAACTGGACGTTCCCATACTTAAAACTCCTTTTGCAGAGTCCTTCTGTTTTGTTTTGTTTTGTTTGTAAAGATAGGGTCTTGCTCTGTCACCCAGGCTGGAGTGCAGTGGTGCAACCTCAGCTTACTGCAACCTCCACCTCCTGGGTTCAAGTGATTCTCCTGCCTCAGCCTCTTGAGTAGCTGGGACTACAGGCACCCGCCACCACGCCATTAATTTTGGGGGAGTATTTTTAGTAGAGATGGGTTTTTGCCATATTGGCCAGGCTCATCTTGAACTTCTGGGCTCAAGTGATCTGCCCGCCTTGGCCTCCCAAAGTGCTGGGATTACAGGCATGAGCCACCATGCCCAGCTCTTTTTTTTTTTTTTTTTTCAATGAGACAGGGTCCTCTCTGTCACTCAGGCTGGAGTGCAGTCGTGTAATCAGCTTACTGCAGCCTCGACCTCCTGAGCTCAGAGGATCCTCCTGCCTCAGTTTGCCGAGTGGCTGGGACACCAGGCATGTGCCACAGCACCCAGCTAAGTTTTAAAAATTATTTATTAAAAAAAAATTTTTTTTTGAGATAGGGTCTTGCTCTGTCTCTTAGGCTAGAGTGCAGTGGTGTGAACACAGCTCACTGCAGCCTTTAACTTTTTTTTTTTTTTGAGATGGAGTTTCGCTCTCCTTGCCCAGGCTGGAGTGCAAGGGCGCAATCTTGGCTCACTGCAACCTCCATCTCCCGTGTTCAAGCGAGTCTCCTGCCTCAGCCCCCTAAGTAGCTGGAATTACAGGCATGTGCCACCACATCTGGCTAATTCACTGCAGTCTTGACCTCTTGGAATCAAGCAATCCTCCAGTCTCAACCTCCTGAGTAGCTAGGGCTATATGTGCATACTACACACCTTGCTAATTTTTTTTTTTATTTTTTGTAGAGACGGGGTCTCCCTATGTTGCCAAGGCTGGTCTTGAACTCCTGGGCTCAAGGGATCCTCCTGCCTCAGCCTCCCTAAGTGCTGGGATAACAGGCATGAGCTACCATGCCTAGACTTAATTTTTTTTTATTTTTAGAGATGGAGTTTTGCTTGTTGCCCAGGCAGGGTTTCCCTTATTTTATAGGTGAGGCACCTGGACCTCAGGAAGCTGTGGTTTGCCAAAGTTACACCCGGAGTCATACAGCCCGTGAGCCCATCACTCTGACACTTGCTTCCATGTGGTTTGTGTCCTAACATGGAGGGAAAAGAGAAACTCAAAGAAGAGCACTGTGGAAGGAAGGAGCTTTGGAGGCAGATGAGAAGGCATTGAGGGGCTCAGTCCTTACCTCATAGTGAGGGTGTTCAAGGGGCACTGGCTCAAACTGGGGCAGGCCTTTGCTGAACCAGGTGGTGACTGGGCGCTGCATGTTGATGGCAAATGGCTCGAAGCCTTCCTGGAGGCCACAGATGGCAAAGAACCTCAGAGAGCTCACGTCCTGGCCCAGGTTCAGATGACCCACCTGGCCAGGTCCCAAGCTGCAGACGGGCAGGAAGCCTGGTGGGAGGGGATGGATGGGCAGGGGTGAGGGCAGGTGGGCAGGGCAGAGGGAGCCGAGGGGAGGAGGTAGGGATGGGAGAGTTGGAGGCAGAAGGGCAGTGCAGGGTTGGGAGAGACAGAGGAAAACAAGAAAGGGCATGTGAAGGGGTCTCAGCCCTCACCGTCCCCAATCTCAATCTCCCGGAAGGCTGTTTCGGAGCCTGAGTCAGACATGAGGACCTCGCCATTGAGGGTGAAGATAATGGTGTTCTCTGTGAGGTCGATCATACAGCCAACGACATCGCCCGGCTGCCAGGGGCGCCCAAATGGTTCACTGCCCAAGTGCCAGCGCTGGCCCTGTGAGGACAGCCAGAGAAGACATGGTGTGGGGAGACACACAGAGAAATGGAGAGATAAGGAAGCAGGGAGGGAGAGATATATGAAGACAGACATTCGAAGTGTCAGGTTCAGGGCAGGTGGTATGGAAGAGGGGTCACCCCACAGTGTCTCCATCTTTCCTCACATTTGCATCCATGATCACAGGAATTTTTCTCCCCACTAATCTCTGTGTCTCATCCCTTCTGCCTGGGTTCTCTGCTGTTGCCATGGCTAGCATTATGCAGACCACCAAAGTGGTAGTGGGGGGCTGGAAGCAGCAGTAAGTAGAGGGATGGAAAGGAAAAATGAACCTATCAGTGTCCCCATACAGATCCATATATGCTTATATACATGCACAAAATAGATGAGTGGCTAATGAGACAGATAGATGGATGAGAAATTGGGTACATGGCTGGACAGAAGAATGATTGGAAAGTTGAGAGTTTACCTGGGTTGATACAGAGAAAGAACAAAGTGTAAGTAGGGGCAAGCATAAATAAATGGATGACAGATAGAGGGAAGAAGGGAAGGATGGTTGTATAAATGGTTGTTGGATGGGCAGATGGTTATTGGATGGATGGATGGACAGTTGGCTGGAAGAATGGATGGATGGATGGTTGGTTGGATGGATGAGGGATGAATGGATGATGGATGGATGGTTGAATGCATGGATGGATGCATGGTTGGCTGGTCAGATGGATAGATGATGGATGGATGGATGGATGGATGGATGGATGATGGGACTATATGTGCATGCTACCTTGCCTAGCTAATTTTTTTATTTTTTGTAGAGATGGGGTCTCCCTATGTTGGCTGGATGAATGGATGGTTGGTTAGCTGGATGGATGGTTGGATGGATGGATGGATGGATGGATGGATGGATGGATGGATGGATGATGGATGGATGGATGGATGGATGAATTGTTGGTTGGATAGATGGATGTCTGATAGATCGATGGATGGATGGATGGATGAATCATTGGTTGAATGGATGGATAGATGGGTGGATGAGTGGTACAGTAGATGCATGAAGTGGGGACAGAGTGAGGCACAGACAGAGGCAGGGCCAGAGTAGACAAGCTGTGGGAGAGACCACAGGACCTGGCAGAATGGTGCCCAGGGAGGTACCCACGCGGTGCCCATTGAAGACATAGGCCAGCTCGTCAGCTCCCAGCTCTACATCAGGCCTCAGCTCGGGCCTCGCCCAGCCCACGCGCATCTCGCCTGTGGTGACTGCTTCAAACTCGAAGTACCAGCGGCCGCTCTGCACTGTATAGGATTTCTCTGCCCGGAAGATGCGCACCCGGTCACAACGAGACTGGTTCTCCACCTGACCTATAAATGAGGCCAGGCAGAGTCAGAGAGGCTAGGGAAGATGTGGATCCCAAGACATCGAGAAGTTGGTAGAAGACAGGCTTTGGGGGACAGTAAGGGCTTTGGGGAACTGTTGGAAGAGGGTCAATTTCTTGGAGTTAGAGGAGAATTGGGGAACCTCAGAAAAGTCAGAGAGAGGCAGGGACCTGTTGAGAGAGACCCCCATCTCTGTAGCAGTCAGAATTCTCAGAAAACAGGGATACTGGCAGAGACACAGAAGGAAAAAGCCAGCTCAGTGAACTGGTCAGAGTTATGGTCTGGGGTTAAGGGTCAAGATCAGGGTTGATTAGAATGAAGGGCTGAGACCAGGATTGGAGGGTCAGAGCCAGGATTATGGAAGGGATGGAAATTCAGGTTGGGGCCAAGAGTTGAGAAACTGAAGGTTGGGGACCATGGCCAGGGTTTGGGGTCAAGGCTGGGATTGGAAGCCAGTGATAGGTCAGGAGTCAGGTTAGGGGTAGGGGTGACCAGGCTCTCTAAGCCCTTGGTTGGGTGCCTTCATGTGGTAGCTACAGTTCAGAGATTAGTGATTAGGGATCAAAGCTAGAGGTCAGGAATCAGAGTCAAAGGTGGGGTTGGCACTCATTGGGTTCCTAGGCTGACGGCTCTGGTTTGCAGTCATAGCCCAGGCAGGGCTGGCGTCAGGTAAAGGGAAGTGGTTCCATCAGGTTCCGAGTTGGAACTGGGGTAAGGCTCAGAGTTTCGGGGAGGGGTCAGTCCTTTCTGACCTCCTGGTCAGTCTGCTCGATGTGATAGATATAGCCCATTTGGGCCAGGTGCAGTGGCTCACGCCTGTAATCCCAGCACTTTGGGAGTCCGAGGCAGGCGGATCACGAGGTCAGGAGATCGAGACCATCCTGGCTAAAACGGTGAAATCCTGTCTCTACTAAAAATACAAAAAATTAGCCAGGCGTGGTGGCACCCGCCGGTAATCCCAGCTACTCGGAAGGCTGAGGCAGGAGAATGGTGTGAACCCAGGAGGTGGAGCTTGCAGTGAGCAGAGATCGCGCCATTGCACTCCAGCCTGGGGACAGCGAGACTCCGTCTCAAAAAAAAAAAAAAAAAAAAAGATATAGCCCATTTGGGGGCTGAGTCAGGTCAGAGATCAGGGATCGGGGCTGGGGTCAGAGTTGGGGTAGGAGTCAGGGCCAGGGCCAGGGGTGAGCACTCACTGGGCTCCTGGTCAGGAGGCTCGATGTTGTAGCCGTAGCCCAGGAGGGTGCGCACGGCCTGGCAGAGGCTGTCCCGGTTGCTGCGCTTGGTGGCTTCATCCAGCAGGCGGTAGGGCACCAGCCGAGGGTTTCGGCGCGCTGGGATGTCCTGCACTGCGCTGTAGCTCCAGCCCTGGCCCACGCGGTCTCGGGCCCACACGTTGTGCCCATTTTCTGCCAGACGGTCCACCAGTGTCGTCTGCGCCGGCGTCAGCCGCACGTGGCTCAGGTCCAGCGGAGCCGGCTTGTACCCATTGCTCATCATATACCTGCGGGCATGGTAGGGCTCCATGGGACAAGGCCCTCACCTCCACTTCCGGGCTCTGCACTATATGGGATCCCTGACTGCTGACCCTTGTCCCAGCTTCGGCGTTTCTGACCTTTGATATAATGTTGCAGTTCTATGAAATTTTAGAATAAGTTTTGAGATCCCTGGCTTCTGACCCTAGGATCCTGGGACCCTAGCAAGGGCTTTGACATCAATGACCTCTAGCCCCCTTTGTCTTGACTTTGGGACCCCTATCTCTAACCCCGGAACTCTCTCAGACCTCTCACCACTAACTTTGAGGTTTTTCTCTCTCTTTGTTTTTTTTTTGATACGGAGTTTCACTCTTGTTGCCCAGGCTGGAGTGCAATGGCACGATCTCGGCTCACTGCAACCTCCACCTCCTGGGTTCAAGTGATTCTCCTGCCTCAGCCTCCGGAGTAGCAGGGATTACAGGCATGTGCCACCACACCCGGCTAATTTTGTATTTTTGGTAGAGGGTGGGTTTCACCGTGTTGGTCAGGCTGGTCTCGAATTCCCGACCTCAGGTGATCCGCCCGCCTCGGCCTCCCAAAGTGCTCGGATTACAGGCGTGAGCGACTGAGCCCGGCTCTTTTTGTTTTTTTGAGGTTGTTTTCTCGTTCTGTCACCCAGGCTGGAGTGCGGTGGTGCAATCATGGCTCACTGCAGCCTCAAACTCCTGGGTTCAAGCAATTCTCCCATCTCAACCTCCCAAGTTGCTGGAACTACAGGCATGTCCCACCACCATGTCCTGCTAATTTTTAAATTTTTTGTAGAGGGGTCTCACCATGTTGCCCAGGCTGGTCTTGAACTGGGCTCAAGTGATCTTCCTGCCTCAACCTCCCAAAGTGCTGGGATTACAGGTGTGAGCCACCTCACCCAGCCCACTCTGAGGTTTCTTACTCTGATCCCAGTCCTCATCCACCCCAAACTCCTGGGTCTGGAGTCCTTGACCTCTGAACTCAGGACGTGTAACTGCTCACCTATAATTTCAGGATCCCTTACTTAGACGACTCCAACGACCTCCAGATTCTCACCTCTTACCATTGGCCCCTTACCCCTTACGTGGACATGTGACCTCTGCTCTCATTTTCCCTGACTCTAGGCAGACCCTGAGCCTGGATCCTGGACTCATACCCTCCCTCTCTCTCTCTCTGAAACTCCTAACTCCTCAATCCTGGACATTCACCTCTGACCCCAGAGCCCTGACCCTATGACCTTCACCCTAACCCAAGTCTCCTTCCTCCCTAACCTCAGCCTCCCCACAAGACCCCTCGACCTCCCCAGCCCTTAGCACAGCATCCCCAGCCCCCAGTCCATCCCCAGACGGGACCTGGCTGCCCACACTCACGTCTTGGGGAGTTTTGTCTTCTTCAGGTTGTCCTCCGCCTTCTCATCCGCCATGCCCACGTGGCAGCCCAGAGCCAGCAGAGTCCTGGGGGTGGGGGAGTGGAGGCGACAGGTCACGCCCCTCAGAGCTCCCTGCCCCGTCTCCTCCCACGGCCTCAGGGTCTCCAGCTCCCTCTACCTCTGCTGCTTCAGTGCCTGGGGCGCTCTGGCCCTGTCTCTCTTGATCCTGGCCTCAGGCTTCATGACTTCTGTCTTTCCCTGCGCCTTGTCTGTATAACTAACTATGTCTGTCTTTTCCTGTCTGCCACTTTCTCCTGTCTCCCTGTCTCTTTCTGCATCTCTCTCTCTTTCCATCCCCACCTTTTCTTTCTCTCTCTTTCTGCCTCTGTCCCTTTCTTGCTCCCCGTTTGCTTCTTTTTTTTTTTTTTTTTTTTTTTTTTTTTTTCTGAAACGGTGTCTCGCTCTGTCGCCCAGGCTGGAGTGCAGTAGTGTGATCTCGGCTCGCTGCAACCTCTGCCTCCCAGGTTCAAATGATTCTCCTGCCTCAGCCTCCTGAGGAGCTGGGATTACAGAGGTGCACCACCACGCCCGGCTAAGTTTTGTATTTTTAGTAGAGACGGGGTTTTGCCATGTTGGCCAGACTGGTCTCGAACTGCTGACCTCAAGTGATCCACCCGTCTCGGCCTCCCAAAGTGCTAGGATTACAGGTGTGAGCCACCGTGCCCGGCCACTCCCCATTTGTTTATGTCTCACAATCCCTGTCCCCTCCATCCTTCTCTCTCTCAGTCTCTACCTCCTGCCCTGTCTCTCCATGCCTCCCTCCCCCACCGCACCAGCAGCCAGCCCCAACCCCCGGCTCCCCTGGGCCCTCACTTGAGCGTCTCCCCAGACATCTGCAGGTTGTAGTTCCTCTCAGGCTCTGGAAGGCTGTGGAAGTCCACAAGACACGGGTGCAGCCTCTTGTTGTCATCCCGAACCTGGAGAAAACCCAGGGTCAACTCCATGTGCTCCCCTTTCCTTCCCACTCCCCACATGCCCAGACTATGACCCCTGACCTCCAACCCTAGTTCTGCCACCCTCAGTCCAAGGACCCCCTGGTGCCCTGTGGTCCCTCCCTCCTCTCCGCCGGTGAGCCGCTCTCCCTCCTGGCACCGCAAGTCTAGCCGGCCTCCCGCAGGCTGCAGGCAGCCCCTCACCGGGCCGTAGGTCCAGCCCTGCTCGATGCGGGTTAGCGCCCAGAGCTCGTGGATGTTCTCCGCCAGCTTCTCCCGAATGCGCTCCAGATGGGGCGGCAGGACAATCTAGAGGCAGAGGGACGTTCTTGAGACCCCAAGGTCCCTCTACCCTCCTCCATCATGACCCCTCTTTCCAAGAACACCTGTGAGCCCTGGGAGGCTCCTCCAGCACCCCCTTTCCCACCATCCAGCAGCCCTGCTCCCCATCCCTCGCCTTGACTCCAGGGTTGACACTCAGATGGGTGAGGGCTTAGCATTCTCAGAATTAAGGAATTATCCAGGGCCAGCCGTAGTGGCTCACATCTGTAATCCCAGCACTTTGGGAGGCTAAGTGGGGGGGGGGGGGGCAGATCGCCTGAGGTCAGGAGTTCAAGACCAGCCTAGGCAACACGGTGAAACACCTTCTCTTCTAAAAATACAAAAAATTAGCCAGATGTGGTGGTGCGCACCTGTAGTCCCAGTTACTTGGGAGGCTAAGGCAGGAGAATTGCTTGAACTCTGGAGGCAGAGGTTGCAGTGAGCCAAGATTGTGCCACTGCACTTCAGCCTGGGCAACAGAGCAAGACTCTGTCTCCAAAAAAAAAAAAAAAAAAAAAAGAAGAGAGAGTATTAAGGAATTATCTGGGACGGGTCTGTCTCCCCCGTGGACTGGGAGCTCCATGAGGGCAGGGCCTGGGGCTGCCCTGGTCTCCACCAAGTCCCCAGCCCTATCCAGCCCAGAACCAGACTCAGACCCAGAAGAGAGGCTCAGGAAATGTTTGCTGAATGAAAAGAATGGAGGAGTCTCCTTCCTTCTCCGTATGAGGATCATAGCGATACCTAATAAGGACTCAGTGAGATCATTAATGTAAATTACTAAATGTTACATAGTTAATATCGATGCCTGGCAGAGGGTAAGAGCCTAGTAGACAGTAGCGGTGTTGGCGTTCCGCAGGCAAGAGGCAATGATGGTTTGGACTTGGGCGGGACATGGGGATGAGGAAAGCGGGGTCGGGGGGATGTCTGGGAGGCCGAGTGGACAGCCCACGAGGCTGACAGGCTGGGGGATGGGGACAGAGGCATCCAGGGTGAGGCCCAGGGCACTGGTCTGGGGACAGGGGGATGAAGTCACCCCCGCAGATGATATCACTGCTACTAATAATGAGTGACTGTCTTGAGTGCTTACTGTTTAATCAGGACTGGACTAAGCATCTTGCCTATATCCATTCATCTTACCTTCACAACAATGAACAATGCTATCAGATATCAGGGTGTTATCCCCTTTTCCTCACGGAGGAACAAACTGAGGCTCAGGGAGGGGAGGTCACATGCCCAAGATCACGTGACTGAAAACCAAACCTTTGCTGTCAGGCTTTTAAACCTAACCTATATTCCCTCCTATAGGGACATGCTTGGAGGGAAGGCAAAAACAGTCCTTTCTTTCTTTCTTCTTTTGAGATGGAGTCTTGCTCTGTCGCCCAGGCTGGAGTGCAGTGGTGCGATCTCGGCTCACTGCAACCTCCACCTCCCGGGTTCAAGTGATTCTCCTGCCTCAGCCTCCTGAGTAGCTGGGATTACAGGTGCCTGCCACCATGCCTGGCTCATTTTTGTATTTTCAGTAGAGATGGGGTTTCACCATGTTGGCCAGGCTGGTCTTGAATTCCTGACTTTAGGTGATCTGCCCGCCTCAGCCTCCCAAAGTGCTGAGATTACAGGCATGAGCCACCACACCCAGCCTTTTTCTTTCTTTCTCTCTCTCTCTCCCTTTCTTTTTTTTTTTTTTTTTTTCAGGGTTTTGCTCTGTCACCCAGGCTGGAGTGCAGTGGCACAATCATAGCTCACTGCAGCCTCGAATCCCTGGGCTCAAGTGACCCTCCCATCTCAGCCTCCCAAGTAGCTGGGACTACAGTCGTGGACCATCACCTCAGCTAACTTTTAATTTTTAGTAGAGATGGGGTCTTGCTATGTTGCCTAGGCTGGTCTCAAACTCGTGGACTCAAGCAATCCTGCCTCGGCCTCTCAGAGTTCTAGGATCGCAGGTGTGAGCCACCCTTTCTTTGTGGGGCAGTGGTGAGGACTCCCTGAGACTGCGATTCTGCTCTGACAGAATCCTTTGCCTCTCTGTGCTCAGTTTCTCCATCTGTTAAACAACGAGGTTCCCAGCTTCTAGGGCAGCTCCCCACCTCTCTCACTCCTTTTAAAAAATTGTCTAAATTTGTAAATATTAAAAATTTTTTTCTATAAAGACGGGGTATCACTATGTTACCCATACTAATCTCGAACTTTCGGGCTCAAGCGCGAGGCCCCCACTTCGGCTTCCCAAAATGTTGGTTGTTTTTGTTTGTTTGTTTGTTTTGAGATGAAGTCTCACTCTGTTGCCCAGGCTGGAGTGTAGTGGCACGATCTTGGCTCATTGCAACCTCTGCCTCCCAGGTTCAAGCAATTCTGCCTCAGCCTCCCGAGTAGCTGGGATTACAGGCACCTGCCACCATGCTAATTTTTGTTTTTTGTTTTGTTTTGTTTTGACATGGAGTTTCACTCTTGTTGCTTAGGCTGGAGTACAATGGCGTGACCTCAGCTCACTGCAACCTCCACCTCCCGGGTTCAAGCGATTCTCCTGCCTCAGTCTCCCGAGTAGCTGGGATTATAGGCGCCCGCCACCACACCCAGCTAACTTTTTGTATTTTTAGTAGAGACAGGGTTTCACTTTCACCGTGTTGGCCAGGCTGGTCTTGAACTCCTGACCTCAGGTGATCCACCCGCCTCGGCCTCCCAAATTGCTGGGCTTACAGGCGTGAGCCACCACGCCTGGCCATCCAAAGTGCTGGGATTACAGGCATGAACGATGGCACCCTGCCCCCTCTCTGACTCCTAAGAGACCCTGCCTCGCCAGAAAACCTTTGCAGGGCAGGCAGTACCTGGACAGTGTCCACAGGGCAGGGCACGAAGTCGGTGTGTGAGAGGCAGCGACTGGGGCCCACCAGGTGAGGCCCCCGGGGCCCCTCCCGTCGATACTCCTTGATGGGTTCAAGATGGAGTCGCTCTCGAGGGAGCACAGCCTCATGGCATGGAGCATAGCCAGGTGGGGGCAGGAACTTGAATTCACCATGGCGGCCACCAAGGAGGAACCGCACCCTGGGTAAGGAAGGACAATGGGGATCATTGAGGGGAGGTTATGGGGGACAGTCTGTGGTCAGTGGGGGACATGGAAGCAGTCCTGGGATCAATGGAAAGTTCTGGGGAGACCAAAGGTCACCGGGCAGTCATAGTGTCCTGGAGGTCATTTAGAAGTCATAAAAGAAAGTCTAGAGTCAAAGGAATATCATAAGGGAATTAAGAGCCAGGGAGTTGAGAGCGGGAGGGTCTCTGGTTAATCTAGAAGAGTTCAGATGACTGCAAGGTCATGGAACAGTCCTTCAGAGGAGACCCCAGGTCAACAGAGCATTCGGGGTCATTGGAAGGTTGGGGAGACCAATAAGAAGGTCATTTGAGAAGTCACTGAGCATCTGTTACAATTATGAAATAAACATAAACACCACTGAATGGACATTCGGAGAGCTTGGGGTGATTGGGAAAGGACTGGATCATTGGGGGGTCTTTGGAATAAATGGGGTTATTCGGGAGCAGGGTCACTGGGCAAGTCTGGGTCTATTGAAAGGTCATCGGGAGATGCTGGCATTATTAAGAGATTATTGAGAGAGTATGGTGTCATTGGAAGAGTCTGAAGTCATTAGGGGGTTAAGGAGGGTCTGGAGTCATTAGATCATTATCAGATTCTGGAGTCATTGGGAGAGTCTGAGGCCACTGGGGAGTCAAGGAAGGTCTGGAGTCATGAGATCATCAGATTCTGGAGTCACTGGGAAAGTCTGAGGTCATTGGGAGGTCACCGGAAGAACCTTGGGTTGTTGAGAGACCACTAGGAGAGTCTGAGACCATTATCTCAGAGGTTACTGGAAGGACGTGGGGTTAGGGAGAATCTGAGGTCATTGGAAAGAGTCTGGAGTCACGTGGAGGTCCCTGGGATCTTCAAGTAAGGGTTCTGGACACCAGTCAGTCTTGATGGTAGGCTGCAGTGTCCTGGCCTCCTGGGGGACCATGGAGTGACTGGGGAAGCTGTCTCAGGTCAGTCCTAGGTCTGAGGACTGGCCGTGGGGTGGGGGCAAGTTCTCACTTGACACCAGCCGAGAAGCTGACAACAGGGAAGAAGAGCCCGTCCAGGTTGAAGGACTCAAAGACACCCTGCACGGGGCAGCCGTTGATGCGGAAGGAGATGGACGGCACGCTGAGGTCCAGGCAGCAGCTGATCACGTCTTCAGGGGCCAGGAGGTGCTGCCCTGGGGAAGTCACTGGGCGTGCCACGTGTCCTGCATCAGTCACCAGAGATGGGTCAGACGTCACAGGTCCCACAGAACCAATGATAACAAGAGAAAAGGGACAGATATTGGAGGCTCCTGTGGAGATTGCATCCTGGAAACCCTAATGGAAAGTGCTCCCTTGGATGCTCCCGTAGCTCTGAAATGAAGGGCAGAGGTCAGGGTTCCCCTGAAGTTAGGATTCTGAGCTGTGGGGCCAGAGATTAAATCCTCCTGGGGGCCGGATGCAGTGGCTCACACCTGTAATCCCAGCACTTTGGAAGGCCAAGGCGGATGGATCACTTGAGGTCAGGAGACCAGCCTGGCCAATGTGGTGAAACCCTGTCTCTACTAAAAATACAAAAATGAGCCGGGCGTGGTGGTGCATGCCTGTAATCCCAGCTACTCAGGAGGCTGAGGCAGGAGAATTACTTGAACCCGAGAGGCAGAGGTTGCAGTGAGCTGAGATCATGCTACTGCACTCCAGCCTAGGAGACAGAGTGAGACTCCATTTCAAAATAAACAAACAAACAAACAAACAAACAAAATAAATAAATAAATAAATTCTCCTGGGGTTAGAAGTCAAAGATCAGAGATCACAGTAATCTGCGTGGTCTTCTGGGATATCTAGGGTCAGAGGTCACACCTACTCTGGGATCAGAGTTCTGTAGGTAACGAGGATACAAGTCAGAGCCGGGAATCTAGAAGCTCTGGGGTTAGGGTCTTGGGAAATGAGGACTAAAAGGTCAAAAGTTGACCTTTTCAGGGAGTCAGGATCCTGAGAACCCCAAGGTGTATGGTCAGAGACTTAGAAATGCTGGGGTCAATGGTCAGGGGTGAGGGTCCCCTGGAAGGGGTCAGGTACCTGTCCAGAGATGCAGTCCATCAAAGCCGTAGGAATAGAGGTCATCGCCGACCCCGTTGCCGCCCCAGCCCTCGCCGGCCCCAGGGTAGGGGGTGTAGCCCTCGGTGAGGGCCCAGCCCACCCGCAAGTGGGTGGCCTGAGCTGTCAGAAATGGAGTCACCTCGTCCACCATCACCTCAAAGTACCATTTGCTGTACTGCGTGGTGCCTTCCGCTCGGCCCACAAAGATGTTGGGGCGGATGCTGCAGGAGAGATGGGACAGGAGAGGGGGATGACGGAGAGGCAGAGAGGAGAGCCAAGTGGTGGGAAGCCAGAGAGAGACAGACATCCAAAGACAGAGAGAGAGAGATGGGAGAGAGACAGGGAGAAAGACATGGAGGAAGAATCAAGACAGAAACAGGCAAAGATAAAAAGAGAAAACAGAGAGAGAGGGAGAGGGAGAAAGAAAGAGAAACAGATAGAGGCAGAAATGGAGCCAGGAAGACAGAACAAGAGGAGTGGATGCCAAGGGAGAGTGGGGCCACAGTGGACATCTGTGAGGACTGGTTGTTAACCCTGGGGTGGGAGATTAAGGAAAGGACATCCATCTGGGTGTGGAGTCTCTAAGTCAGGGAGAGGGTTGAGAGGTTCTGAGTTCTGGGGTCAGATGTTGAGAGCCAGACCTGGTGACATAGTTGATGAGGTTTGTCTGCAGCAGAAGCTCACGGCCAGGCAGCAAGTTCTCAGTAATAAGATCTTGGTTGGAGCGTACAGCCACACCATTACACACACACAGGGAGCATAGCACGTCCAGGACCTAGAGGTCAAGGTCAGAGGTTAAAGGGTGTGTAGGCACCAGGGCAGGATCTACAGAAGAACCCTGGGAGGGAGGGAAGCCAGGAGGAAAGGACAGCGCATCGGGATAAGATGTGGCAATTTTGACTGAGAGGAGGTGGTGAAAGTGGAAGGTCAGGGATCAGAGAAAGGTTAGGGGTCAAAGAGGAAGATCTGGCAAGAGGCTGAGGGAGGGTCACATGAGTTGGGATAAGGTATCAGCAATGTAAGGAAGGAGATACTGGAGTAGTGAGGTAAGAGGTCAGAAGGCAGACTGAAACGACCAGTGAGAGACACAGGAATCAAGATGAAATTTTAAATCAGCAGGGGTTGCAAACTTGTGTCTTTAGGGGCCAAGTGGAAAATGTATTAGGCTGGAGCAAAAGTAATTCTGGTTTTTGTTATTCCTTTTTTTTTTTTTTTTTTTTTTTTTGGAGATGGAGTCTGGCTCTGTCGCCCAGGCTGGAGTGCAGTGGCGCAATCTCAGCTCACTGCAAGCTCTGCCTCCCGGGTTCACATCATTCTCCTGCCTCAGCCTCCCGAGTAGCTGGGACTACAGGCGCCTGCCACCATGCCTGGCTAATTTTTTGTATTTTTAGTAGAGACAGGGTTTCACCGCATTAGCCAGGATGGTCTCGATCTCCTGACCTCGTGATCCGCCCGCCTTGGCCTCCCAAAGTGCTGGGATTACAGGCGTGAGCCACCATGCCCGGCTGTCATTCCTTTTAATAGCAAAACTGCAATTACTTTTGCTCCGACTGAATAAATGTGTGAAGTGGTTAGAAATAATGCAACAGGAACTTGTAGGGCTATGGCAAACTACAGAGTGTGTGTATATATATACAGTCCACCTAGAGGCTGTAATATTTGAAAATTTTAAAAACATTTCAGCGCCACCGGTGGGGCACGGTGGCTCACACCTGTAATCCCAGCACTTTGGGAGGCCAAAGTGGGTGGATCACCTGAGGTCAGGAGTTCGAGACCAGACTGGCCAACATGGTGAAACCCTGTCTCTACTAAAATTACAAAAATTAGCTGGGCGTGGTGGCGGGCACCTGTAATCCCAGCTACTCAGGAGGCTGAGGCAGGAGAATTGCTTGAACCCGGGAAGCAGAGGTTGCAGTGAGCTGAGATCATGCCACTGCACTCCCACTCCAGTCTGGGTGACAGAGCGAGACTCTGTATCAAAAAAAAAAAAAAAAAAATGCCAGGCGCTGGTGGTTCACGCCTGTAATTCCAGCATTTGGGAGGCTGAGGTGGACGGATCATGAAGCCAAGAGATCGAGACCATCCTGGCCAACATTGTGAAACCCTGTCTCTACTAAAAAAAAAATACAAAAATTAGCTGGGCGTGGTGGTGTGTGCCTGTAGTCCCAGCTACTTGGGAGGCCGAGGCAGGAGAATCGCTTGAACCCAGGAGGCAGAGGTTGCAGTGAGCCAAGATAGCGCCACTACACTCCAGTCTGAGCGACAGTGTGAGACTCTGTCTCAAAAAAAAAAAAAAAAAAAAAACATTTCAGAGATCTAACCAAGCACATCTGTGGCCCAGAATCAACTTAAGAGTCATTGTTTGAGACCCCTGTGTGGAGATGAAAGCCAGTGGGAGTGGCGTACAGGTGAGAGATGAGATGGAGGAGGGAAGTGAGGGAGTGAGCAGAGTTCTGGAGCCCTGGGGAGAGGCCAGCATTCAGAGTTCAGGGGATGAGAGGTCAGGGGTGAGGGGCCGACCTTGTGGTTCCTCCCATGCTTGTCCAGGAGGGAGATGATGGACTTGATGTGATTCTCCTGGATGATGTTCAGAACCTCTGGACTCTCAATGAGGACACAGTACAGGACCTCCAGGATGCCTGCCAGGGTGCCCAGAATGAGAGGTGAAGCGGCCATGCCCATCCCCTCCCACAAGCCTCTGTCCCACTCCCCCGGGTTCTCCTACCAGACGAGGCCTCCAGCCGATCCAGCTTGCTGACCAGCCAGTCCAAGTTTGTGGAGAAGAGGGCACAGTTGCTACGATTGCCACGGATTAGAGAAGCTGAGGGGGGAAGAGGTGTCAGATCCAATAGGACTGGGGATCTGGGGTGTTCTCAGGGGAGTCAGGACTGGGACCCCTACCTAGGAGTTCATAGAGAAGATTCACAATCTCTTTCCAGGACTCGGCTGCCTCCTCCCCTGCAAACTCAGCAAAGTGGGCAGCAGTGGTGTAGACATTTAGGCGGTCTATGCAATTCAGGACCATGGAGAGCATCCCCTAGGATGAGGAAAATAAGAGGCATCACAATAGGAGACCCAGGCCCTCCCTTCCTTGTCTTTCTTGGATTCACGAATTCATATTCCTTCAACAACTAGTGACGGTGTGTTCCCAGATCTAAATCAGCCCCTTTGGTTTCATATTCCCAATCAGTCCCATTGCTCTCCTCTCCTCCTTGGCTCCCCATATCTATTCTTGTCCTCTCTGACTCTATCCCCAATATGAGATTCAGTCTATGATAATTCAGTCCTTATTAACACCAGGACTGAGTTTATACTTCCCCTTCCTGCACTTTTCTCTCCATCCTACTCACTTCCAGGAACCCCACTCCCACCAACCATCCAACTGGAACCCCACTCCCACCAACTGGAGAGGCCCAGTTCATTCTCCACACCAACCATCAGAAAGATTTTTCTCACTTTATCTTTTCTTTTCTTTTTTTTTTTACATTTTAATATTTTTTCTTATTTCATTGTGAATCATAATATACATACAGAAAAGTACATAAAACATATACAATCAATTCTCATTATTCATAGTTATGTTCTATAAAGTGATTATGAAGACTGAATTATCAAATACTGAACCACTGCTTCTAGGGGAAATACAGGGAGTCCCTGAGAGTCTGTGACAGTATTTTCATCAACCACTTATTACATAACCTTGTTTTTTATGTTTCTGTTTAAAGACAGTTATTTAATATATATTGTTGAGTCATTAACATTAAATTCACAGCCAACAGTACTATAACTCATGCCTTAATTAAGCTTATCTAACACATATTTTCTCAGTAAGGCACATCATAGCTTTCTTGCACTTAGGAAAGCTAGACAGCACTTCAGCACTACACTTGGGAGACATTATAAACAGTGAAATCAACAAAAAGGACAAAACTGTCTGGGTGCAGTGGCTCACGCCTGTAATCCCAGCTCTTTGGGAGGTGGAGGCGGGTGGATCACCTGAGGTCAGGAGTTTGAGACGAGCCTGGCCAACATGGCGAAACCCCATCTCTACTAAAAATACAAAAATTAGCCAGGCGTGGTGGCTCACACCTGTAGTTTCAGCTACTTGGGAGGCTGAGGAGGCAGGAGAATCATTTGAACCTGGGAGGTGGAGGTTGCAGTGAGCCAAGATCACACCACTGCACTCCAGCCTGGGTGACAGAGAGAGACTCTGTTTCAAAAAACAAGACAAAACAAAACAATTGTTGTATCTGCATCCTGGGGCCTAGATCAGTAGTGAGAGGAGCAGTGCCTCAAAGTGGAGAGCACAACCAAAGTGGCATCACACTGACCGGCTCTGCCACTAACTAGCTGTGACTGTAGAGGACCAAAACCTCCTGTGGCTCCCAAAGCCAAAGTCCTCACCAAGGCCTGGCCCTCGTCACCTCTCTGCCCTCATTTCCTCCCACTCCCCCACCCAAGCCTCCCTGCTCCAATCACCACCTGACTGTTTCTGGAACATGCCAAACACCCGCCCACCTCATGGCCTTTGCACATGGCTTCCTCTCTTCCTCCAGGTCACCCTGTCTGACAGCTCTGTCTTAAACTGCAAAACCCCAACACTCCCTACCCCTTACCTGCTGAATTTTTCTCTTTAACAGTTATTACCATCTAATATGCCATACAATTTACTTATTTATTTTATTGATCTCCTGTCTCTCCCCGCCATGTCAACTCCATAAGGACAGAGATTTTTTTCTGTTTTGTTCACAGCTGGCCTCCCCTCCCTAATGCCCAAAGATCTATTTCTGCCTCGGCACCTCCCATACCCCACACTGATTCTGTCCGCCCACCCCACAGACCCCGCGCCAGCAGACCCCGCCCGCTGAGTCGGCAGCCCTACCTCTGACCTCTGGCCCCACTCCTGGCCTCACCTCCCCAGGCCTCACCCTATACCTGAGCTTCACATAGGCCCCGCCCCTCAGCTCTTTTATTCCATCCTTCTCTCCAGGCCCCGCCCCCTGGTCGGCCATACGCCCTGCCCCTTCCCAAAGGTCCTGCCCACCAGCACAGCAGGCCCGCCCCTCCCAAGGCCCCGCCCCATCGTGTTCTCACTGGCTGGGGTTCCTGTCCGGCTCCTTCTCCTGCCCCGCCCCCTTCTCAGACCCTACTTCCCCAGGTCCCTCAGGCCCTGCCCCGCCCAGCGCCGTGGCCCCGCCCCTCAGTGGTCCCGCCCCCTGGGCCCACAGGCCCCGCTCCGCCCTCGCCACGTCCTCACCTCCTCCTGGAAGAGGCTC